>NC_000006.12:44908484-45211515 GCF_000001405.40 Homo sapiens | reverse complement strand
GAGATGTGTTCGTTGTCCTCTACTTGGAAAGCACAGAACATAATTATAATAAAAATAATCATTTTTATTGATTTTTAGAATTTAGAGTCATTCTGTGGTCAAAACATAAGTGACTTGTTTGTATTTAAGGGAGATAATATGAATCTTAATAAACTTTACAGTATAAAAATAAACATAAAGTATGAGGACCATGAAAGGGCAGGGGAGAGAGTAGGAGCCTTACTGTTACAACTTCACCTTACAGAGATGGATATCGAGATACTGTAGAACATTAAGAAATAAAAGTTTACTTACATTTATAAAAATTAGATTTTTTAACCATGTAAGTATTTGCTTGTAACTTTTATACTTGTTATTTTCAAAGACAGTTATGTTGGGAAATTTTGACTCATTAAAATTTTTTTCTTCTTTGTTTAAAAAAAATGGAAGTGTAATAAAATGAGTCTAATAAAAAACACCTTTTCCCATGCTCCTTTGTGGAATGGTCAGTTAAAGTGAAAGTCACTGGGTGGAAAACTTTTGGGACTGGTGCTTGAAAGAGGCTTGTTCAGATGGGAGCTTACTTTACTTTTTGCTCCCTTTTCTTCTCTTTTCCATTCTTGTACTTGGACCTGGTCTTGGATCTTTAAGAGAAAGACTGGAAGCACAGACATGCTTCTGAGATATTGTGGGTTTAGTTCCAGACCACCGCAATGAAGTCAGTCTCATGAATTTTTTGATTGCCTGGTGCTTATAAAAGTTACATTTACCCTATACTATAGTTTATTAAGTGTCTGTGAATGCAAAAGTATCTGAGACAGATCTCAATCAGTTTAGAAAGTTTATTTTGCCAAGGTTAAGGATGCACCCATGAGACAGCCTCAGGAAGTTCTGATGACATGTGCTCAAGGTGGTCAGAGCACAGCTTGGTTTTACATATTTTAGGGAGACATGAGATATCAATCAATATGTGTAAGATATACATTAGTTCTGTCCAGAAAGGCAGAACCTATTGAAGTGGGAGAGGGGGCTTCCAGGTTATAGGTAGATAAGAGAAAAATGGTTACATTCTTTTGAGCCTCTTAGCCTTTTACTGAAGACACAATTTATATGTGAGAGGAGGGTAGAGGAATAGTCACTTATGCCTTTGTCAGGCTTAGTGAAACAATAGGGCAGAGAAAGCAATCAGATATGCATTTGTCCTAGGTGAACAGAAGTATGACTTTGAGTTCTGTCTGTCCTTTGTCTAAAAGCAATTTCCTTCTGGGCAAATTGTGAGGTGAGTATGTAGCTTTTTATCTTTGTAGCTGTCTTATTTAGGAATAAAATGGATGGCAGATTTGCCTAACAGTCTCCAACTTGTCTTTTCCCTTTGGCTTAGTGATTTTGGGGTCCCGAGATTTATTTTCCTTTCCAGTAGCCTTATGTCTTTAAAAAAAAGCAGTATACATACCTTAATTACAAAAATACTTTATTTTTATAAAATGCTGTCTTGATCATATGAGCCTTCAATGTGTCATAGTCTTTTTGCTGATATCATCTGAGCCTTCAGTGTGTCATGGTCTTTTTGCTGGTATCGTCTGAACCTTCAATGTGTCATAGTCTTTTTGCTGGCAGAGGATCTTGCCTTGATGTTGACAGCTGCTGAGTTTGAGTGGCTGAGGCAATTTCTTCAAATAAGACAACAATGAACTTTGCTGCACCAGTTGGCTTTTGCTTTCACAAAAGATTTCTCTATAGCACATGATGCTCTTTAATAGCATTTTACCCACAGCAGAACTTCTCTCAAAATTGGATTCAGTTCTCTCAAACCTTGTATCTGCTTTAGCAACTATGTTTATGGAATATTCTAAATTATTTGTAGTCATTTCAACAATGTTCACAACATCTTCACCAGGAACAGATTTCATCTTAGGAAACCACTTTCTTTGCTCATCCATAAGAAGCAACTCCTCATTGCTTCAAGTTTGATCATGAGATTGCAGCACTTTAGTCACACAACAGGCTCTACTTCTAATTCTAATTCTCTTACAGTTTCTACCACATCAGCAGTTACTTCCTGCTCTGAATTTTTGAATCCCTAAAAGTTATCCATGAGCGCTGAAATCAGCTTCTTCCAAACTCCTATTGATGCTGATATTTTGACCTTCTCCCATGAATCACAAATGTTCTTAGTGGCATCTAGAATGGTGACTCCTTTCCAGAGGGTTTCAACTTACTTTGCCCACATCTGTCAGAGGAATCACTATCTGTGGCAACTGTAGCCTCATGAAATAGATTTCGAAAGTTGAGCTGACTCCTTGATCCATGGGCTGCAGAATGGATGTTGTGCTAGCAGGCATGAAAACAACATTCATCTCCTCGTATATCTCCACCAGAGCTCTTGGGTGACCAGGTACATTGTCAATGAGCAATAATATTTTGAAAGGAATCTTTTTTCTGAGTAGTAGGTCTCAACAGTAGACTTAAATTATTCAGTGAACCATGCTGTAAGTAGATATGCTGTCATCCAGGCTTTGTTATTTCATTTACTGAGCAAAGGAAGAGTACATTTAGTATAATTCTTAAGGGCCTGACATTTTTCTGAATGGTAAATGAACACTGGCTTCAACTTAAAGTCATCAGCCTCATGAGCCCCTAACAAGAGGGTAAGTCATCAGCCTCATGAGCCCCTAACAAGAGGGTCAGCCTGTCTTTTGAAGCTTTGAATTGACTTCTCCTCTCCAGCTATGGGAGTTTTAGATGGCATCTTCTTCCAGTAGAAGGTTGTTTTGTTTCCACTGAGAATTTTTTTGTTTGTTTTTTTTTTTTTTGAGACAGAGTCTTGCTGTGTTGCCCAGGCTGGAGTACAGTGGTATGATCTTCACTCACTGCAACCTCCACCTCCTGTGTTCAAGCGATTCTCCTGTCTCAGCGTCCTGAACAGCTGGGACTACAGGTGCACACCACCATACCTGGCTAATTTTTGTATCTTTAGTAGGGACAGGGTTTCACCATGTTGGCCAGGATGGTCTCAATCTCCTGACCTTATGATCTGCCCGCCTTGGCCTCCCAAAGTTCTGGGATTACAGGCATGGGCATCACGCCCAGTCAAGAATCTCTTTTTTTGTATAGCCATCTTCATCAGTGATCTTAGTTAGATCTTCTTGTTAAGTTGCTACAGCTTCTACATCATTGTTTGCTCCTTCACCTTGCACTTTTATGTTATGGAGATGGCTTATTTCCTTAAGCCTCATGAACCAACATCTGCCAGTTTCTAACTTTTCTTCTGAATCCTTACCTTTCTCAGCCTTCATAGAATTGAGAAGAATTAATGCCTTGGTCTAGATTAGGCTTTGGCTTATGGGAATGTTCTAACTGGTATTATCATCTACCCAGACCACTAAAACTTTCTCCATATCAGCAATGAAGTTGTTTTGCTTTCTTATTCTTGTATTCACTGGAGTAGCACTTCTGATTTCCTCCAATAACTTTCCCTTTTCATGCACAACTTGGTTAACTGTTTGGCACAAGAGGCTTAGCTTTTGGACTGTGTTGACTTTCGGCATATCTTCTTAACTAAGCTTAATTCTTTCTAGCTTTTTATTTAAAGTAGAAGAAGTAAAACTTTAACTTTCACTGGAACAGTTAGAGGCCATTGTAGGGTTATTGACTGGCCAAATTCCAATTTTGTTGCATCTTGAGGAATAGGTAGGCTCCAGGAGAGGGTGTGAGATGGGAGAATAGCCAGGTGGTAGAGTAGTCAGAATATACACAATATGTATCAATTAAATTTGCTATTTTATATGGGCCTGGTTCTTGGTGCCCCCAAACAATTACAGTGGTAGCATCAAAAATCAGTGATCACAGATCACTATAACAGGTGCGAAACTAGTGAAGAGTTTAAAATGTTGTGAGAATTATCAAAACATGACACAGAGATATGAAATGAGCCCATGCTGTTGAAAAATGGCACCAAGTAGACTTGCCACAAATGACATACAGACTTGCATGAATTTTACTCATCTTAAACAACAAACACAACATCTAGATCATACATTAGTCTCTATTTACCATCCCATTACCTTGCTTCCTTTTTAGCATAATTTCTCAAAGGAATTGCTTTCTCCCTATCTCCAGTTTTTATCCTCCCATTCTTTCTAAAATTTACTTCAGTCAGACTTTTTCCTTTTATCACTCCACCAAAGCTGCTCTTCTCAGGTTCACCACTGACCTTTATATTGCTAAATCCAGTGGCTAGTTTTCAGTCCTTATCTTCCTTGACCTATCAATAGCATTTGACACAGTTGTTCACCCTCCTCTTTAAAAGACTTCATTCACTTGACTTCCAGAACACCTCAGTCTTCTGGTTTATTTTTATTTATTTAGGTTTAACTTCACTAAGTCGTTTCTACTCATCTCCTAGATGTTGTTTGCTTTTCTTCTTCTGGATCTCTGAACAATGGATTGTGCTAGGTTTCAGCCTTTGTTTCTTATCTTCTCTATCTAAACTTAACCTATAGTTGATCTCATCCAGTCCTGTGGTTTTCAATATTAAATACCATATACCCAACTGTTTCTGACTACTCCACATAGAGCTTTCCTCTGAACTCCTTGTTCACATATTGAAATCAGTACTATACCTCTCTCTCCACTTGAATGTCTGGTAGATTTCTCAAATTTAGTGTAGCCAAAACCAGGTCCTTATATTCCCTCAAACATGCTCCTGCTGCCATCTCCCCCTCATCTCAGCAATCTATTTGGCAATTCTTTACTTCCAGCAGGTCAAAATCTTTGGAGTTATCTTTAACTCTCTCACAGCCCACATTTCTTTCCACTGCTACACATTGCTCTTAGTCATTACTATCTTTTACTTGGATTTTATTCTTGTAATAGGTCTGTCTTTCTGCAACTACTTTTGCTCCTGTTTTTCATTTCTACCCCCTGCCCCTTGTTTTATTCTTCCTGTGATATTGAGTGAAATTTTAAATATTTAAATTAGATTTTTTTTTTACTTTTATAATTTGAAATTCTTTAATGGCTTCTCATTTTATTCAGAGTAAAAGTCACATATTTTATGATGGGCTGTGTGTCCTCACTTTTCACTACTTTTCTGATCTCAGTTTCTTCTGCTCTTGCCCTCACCTTCTGCTAGAATATTCTTTCCTCAAATATCTTCTTACTCTCTTCCTCATGTTCCTGCTTAAAGGTCTCCTCATCATTGAAGACCTCATTGATCGCCATATTTGAAATAGCAGTCTTTCCCTTCTCTACTTGCCATTTCTACCTAATTTTTCTTCATAGCCTTATCTCTGTGTGACACTGTAAATATCTAATTTACATATTCATTTATTCATATATTATTCTTCCTTACTAACACATGTTCTTCATAAATGTATTTTAGTCAGTTTTGTTCAGTATTGTATCTCTCACACATGGTAGGTGCTTGCTAAATGCTGGTTAAATGAATGAGTCTTACATACTGCATAGATACATAGCTAAAAATTAATATAATGGAATGTCAAATTTTATTTTCAAGTAAGTGTTGTGACCTATTTTCAAACTCCAGCACTGTGACTCTAGAATTATTTCTCATAATTGTTGAATTTTAAGGCCTTCTGTGAAAATAATTGTAGCTGATCATAAGAAAAAGGCAGTGAGCTGATCTCAACTGGTAGTCTGTTTTCAGCACTGCCATTAACTTAGTGGTGTAACTTTGAACACATTGCTTACTGGTTTTTTTTTTTGTTTTGTTTTTTTTGAGACAGAGTCTTGCTGTGTCACCCAGGCTGGAGTAGAGTGGCGCAATCTTGGCTCACTGCAGCCTCTGCCTCCCAGGTTCAAGCAATTCTCCTGCCTCAGCCTCCCGGGTAGCTAGGATTACAGGCACTTGCCACCATGCCCAGGTCATTTTTGTATTTTTAGTAGAGATGGGGTTTCACCATGTTGGCTAGGCTGGTCTCAAACTCCTGACCTCAAGTGATCCGCCATCCTCGGCCTCCCAAAGTGCTGAGATTACAGCATGAGCCACCACCCGCAACCATTGCTTTTTTGAGCTTCCTTTTCTTATCTATGAATTGCATTTTGTAAGCTATACATTATATAAAGTTTATCAGAATTTCAGGAATTTTATATTATGTAATTGTGGAATGGTATGCCATGACCTAATGGAGGTGGAAACTATAGAAAATGTGGGAATAAATAAAGATCATTCCAATAGTGCAAACTCGGAAAACTGGCAACATGGAGTCCTTCTATGTTATGTCTGATGGTCTTCAGTAACTTAGGGCATACTACTTTGCATCTGTAGATAGAAGTGTAAAATATCCTGCTTAAATGATTCCAATGTACTTTTGAGAAAACTAAAAAACCAATCTGATAGAAGGAGAAGGAAATCTAATAGGTTGAGTAGCTAGTTTGGGCAGGTTATAGAAAGAGGATTTCAAAAGTCAGAGATGGGAATTTGGTTTTGCTTTATAGTACAGTATAAAACTGGAATCTACGAGATATTATTTCTATAGTTAAAATGAAAGTACTGCATGAGAAAGTTGAGCCCAACATGGGCATATTTAATGAAGGGGAGATTGGAGTTAAGCAAGCAAGTTAGGAAGTAAAATTACTTGGTATAGTAATTTCAGGAATAAGAAGGGTCTGAATCTGTTTTAAACTGACAATAGTGAGAATGAGAAAAATGGGTTAATGTAAGAAAGGAATAATAATAGGATCTGGTGATTGATTAGATATGGAGGAGTCAAGGAATCAAAAATTAAGGTGATTTTGGGTTTCAGCCTGAGTTATTAGGGGTGGTTTCTGTCAGTCAGTAGCCTGGGAGTGATTCCAGGAAAGGATTGT
Organism: Homo sapiens; assembly: GCF_000001405.40. Classification (NCBI taxonomy): domain Eukaryota; kingdom Metazoa; phylum Chordata; class Mammalia; order Primates; family Hominidae; genus Homo; species Homo sapiens. The sequence goes on along the minus strand of NC_000006.12, from coordinate 45,204,705 downwards.
ATTTGAATGGAAGGACTGCATCAAGATTTGGAAATTTTTCAGCATAGAGGTTTTCAAACTTTTCCCCCCAAATGAAATGTTATGTGATGACTCGATATGTTAAAAACACATAAGATTGAAGCAGATCTGTTTGATGCAGAGGTGGAGAATATATGTGGAAGGAACGAGCATCTTCCTGACTCTTGTCCTCCTTGAACCCAAAGGCTCTGATGAGTATAGTCAGAAATCACCAAAGTAGATTCTTTATAAGTGTTCCTCGTAGATCCAGTATTTGGTGAACTGCTTGTCTGTGATAACCTGTGTATCTTCTGCATGGCTGTATCTTTTGTTGTTTCTTCTCACCTTAGCAGTTATCAAATGTTTATTATTTTAGACTCTTACCTGGCTCTGAAGATGTATAGAATACAAAAGAGATACAGGTGGTTCTTCTTCTTCTTCTTCTTCTTCTTCTTCTTTTTTGAGACGGAATCTTGCTCTGTCACCCAGACTGGAATGCAGTGGCTCAATCTCGGCTCACTGCAACCTCCACCTCCTGGGTTCAAGCTATTCTCCTGCCTCAGCCTCCCGAGTAGCTGGGACTATAGGCATGCACCACCACACCCGGCGAATTTTTGTATTTTTAGTAGAGATGGGGTTTCACAATGTTGGCCAGCTGGTCTTGAACTCCTAACCTCAAGTGATCCTCCAGCTTCGGCCTCCCAAAGTGCTGGGATTATAGGCGTGAGCCACTGTGTTTGGGTGGCCCTTCTTAACGGAACTAATAATTTATTATAGAAAGCTGCCATTTAAAAGCTGTGACAGAGAAGTATTAGTAGTTCAGAGTTTAAGTAGACTTAGTGTAGTCTGTCATGTTTCATAAGAGGGATGGTCAAGGGGGGCTTTCTTGGAAAAGTTACAATTGATCTTGCCTGGAGATGAGAGAGAAAGTGCACAAATAGGTTGTATGAAAAACTGAGAGAAGTCCTTCATGGCTGGGGCAGAAGGCTCTGCATGAGGCTGGAGAGGTACAAAGTAAAACTGGTAAGATAGATTAGGACCACAGCAACACATGTCGTGTTAAAGATTCCGGACATTATTTTGACAGTATTGGTAATCCACTGAAAGGTTTTTTAGTGAGGGCATAAAGTGACCTGATTTGCATTTCAAACAGATCATCCTGGGCAGAAATATGCAGAAAAGGTTTCAAGTGAGGGAGAAGTGAAATTGAGGGCAAGGGGATGCAGTAAGACTGCCTTGGAGTTTACAAAAATAGTTCAGATGAGAGATAGTCTGAATAACAGGTGGTGCTGCTGGGGAACTAAAGACAACTCAGGATATACTTAAGAGGTAGAATTAACAGGAATTGGTGATCATTTAGGTACAGAGTGTAGGGCAGAGGAAAGTATCATTGATGACAGCTTAGATTTTGACCTGAACAGTTGGGTAAATGTTAATGCCGTTTATAAACTTTATGGACTGCACCTCCTTTATTTCGGTTGTTTTGCATGTTGTCTTTACATGGTGTTTTCTGTCTCCTCAGTGCCTGTGTTCCTCGCCATTTACTCCATGCCCTGTATTCTCTATCCACTTAAATGACTGCTTTATAAAACCTGTATTTTATTTTATTTCGAGATCTTCCTCCAAACTGTGGTGCAAGACTTCCTTCATGGAGTCTTTCATCAATATTCTCATCCTTGATTATGTTATCTTTACCTTATATTTTATCAGTATTTGTGTATAATCTATATCTTACTGTCTTGTATTTGATGCTGCTCTGTAATTGATCTCTAGTGATTTATATATATATACACACACACACATACATTTGTAGGATTTCTTCAATTTATATTATCATTTATTTCTACATTATGAATATCTGCACCTGAAAGTCAGTGTAAAATGTGTAAGTACTAACTACCTCTGTTAAATCAATTTGCTCTTTAGTTCATTAAATAGAATTGTATATTATTTATAAATGTCAGATTTATAATATTGATAAACATTTTTTGTCCGTTCTAGGTTAATGCTCCAAATGGAATGACAATGATATTTCAAAATAGAGATTTTGATAGTACGAGTAGTAATAATGTACAAGGTATTTTTTGACGCTAATGACTAGGAAAAGTTTATGGATACAATTATTTAGGCAAACTTCTAAATGGGATATTTGACTACGTTATACAAAAGATCATTGGGTAAAAGCAATCTGATTAAGTTTTTATTAACTTTGTAAATGCTTTTGAAGATACTGTTATATAAAAAGTAATCCTAAATTTTTGTTGCAGTAGTTTTGACTTTAACAAGTATGTAAGGCCTTCATTGTTTTCCTTTTTCTGTTTTCTGCTCTTCTTTCTTTTATACTATTTTATTTTTATATTCTGGATGTGAAATTTTTTTTAAACCGTTTCATAATTATCTGCAATTTTATAATTTTGTAAACGTTCCAAGGAAGGTATCATCATTATTAAAAGATTCTTATGACAGATAATGTCTAAATATTGCATGATTTATTTTTAATTTCCAATTATTGGGTATGTCAAAAGAGTTAATAGTATTGCTTTTGATGCCTGATTTTGAGAGCTGGATTTCTTATTTTGGAAGATATTCAAAGTGAAAATAAAATGAAGTCACCTTAATATTATAATGGCAAAATATATGATTTGTACCATTTTAAGAAGTTGCTTGAGTCAGTGAAAAACAATTGAGGTTTCCTAACTTTGGAAATCACAGATGTAAAATGTTGATTAGTCGTGCATATTCTACTACTTTTTAACATGTTAACATAATTTGAAAATGTACATTTTATGGGCTTAACTAGTTGCAAATTAAGCAGAACAATATAAAACTGTTAATATTTTAAAAACTAAGCATAAGGTAGTTTGGTAAATTTTAAGAACACACATGTTTTAGTTGGAACAGATGTGAAAGACATATTATTTTAAAGGAAAATGGGGTCCACAGCTATCTGTTTGGAAATGTCTTTCAATTACAGTGGCGTCCATGACTGTTGGATTAGAATGAAGATTTGGCTGGAAGTTCTCTCTGTCCTATTCTGTGTTTCCTTTTGAATAAGAAACAGCATGTGTGAAGTACATTTACTATAATCCATTCCATACTGGGTAATAAAAATTCTGTGAAGAATGATTATGCATGTTATGAAATTATTCCGATTATGTTTTTTTCCACTTTCAGCTCACTAGTATTTTTAAGTTTATATAAATTTTACAGAGTGTGTTGATATATTAATTTATTTTTAAAAATGGGAATATGGAATAACTAACTCTCATTATAGATAATCGCATTCCATTGGTGGTGTGACTTCCTGTATTTTACCAAATGTGAAACAGTATTCACTGAAAAAGAAATAAAAATTTTCTGAGTGAGCAATAAACCAACCAATTAGAAATGAATTCTTGCATTTTAAGTTGGCAAGTTGCAGTATGAGATTATTTGCATTTACCAATTCATATGTTAAACTCTAGGATTACACTGAACTTTAAAAAATAAGACAGTTGAAAGGGTAACTTTTAGTTCACATTACAAATAAAATGAATGATTATGTTACCCGTATCATTCACTTAAGCTTAAATATTAAAATTTTGGTTAATGAAATGCAAGTTAACATGTATACTTAATTATTATGTAAGTTACTAATCATCAGAAAATATTTTTATGCTTGATTTTAGTAAATTCGTTTATATTGAAATCTTCGTATTGTTCCCATAAGGAAGTAATACATAGGTGCTTATGTGTATATTTGTACACATGACTGTTTAATTCAAATTGACAAGAGAGAAACTTTGATTTTGTTACTTTGAATGAAAATGATTACAAATAAGGTACATTTATTACCAGTATGTAATTTATATAAAGTTTATGGTAGCATCCTCAAATAAGAATATTTGACATATTTGTTCTAGGCATTATGTCAGTGAATACCACAGTTTTCTTCTTTCAAATTAAAAAAAAATCTTATATTACAGTGATGCTTTTCAGGGTAGGCCTAAAGAGAATGGACTTTGGAACCAAACTGTCACTTAATAACTGTGTGACTTCTGGTAAGCTGCTTAACCCCTATGAGCTTCATTTTTTATTGTCTCTAAAGTGAAAGGTGTTCTGAGCATTAAGAAGGTTCAAAAATGTAAAGTGCTTACAAACAGTACTTTGCACATCATAAGTACTATTAGCATATGATATCTGTTAGTTTTTTTACCAGCTGCACCTAAAAAATATGAGGCTTTAGGATCTTGTTAAGTTTGTTAATATTTTTAAAATGTGCATCAAAATGGGATATACTTTAGACATTTTGATCATGGGTTAATTTTTTATTAATGTAATAAGTCATACTTGCTTTCATTCAACATTGAACAATTTAACTTTCATTTAATGGTAACTTACTAGAAATAGACAAAATATATATGGCAGTTATACAAACAATATTTTGTATGATAATACAATTAGAGAACATATAAATACAGCACTCATTATGTTTACATTTTAGGATTTTATTAAACATTTGTAGAATTGAATAAGAAATGTTAACAAATATTTACACTGAGTATTGTTACTAATTAATTTTCAAAATTATAAATGTTTTTCTTTCATCATTTTGCTTTTCATTTTTCTCTATTGCACAGAAGATTTTTATCTGTCGCACAGAATAATGATTCTTACAGTCTCTGATTTGGTTGATGGGGTGTATAACATTTGACTGAGTGAGTCTTTGCAGATGTTTATATGGACGGAAGCTAGATTATAGTATTTCAGATACAAACTGACTGACTTTCCTTGGAACAGAAAAATTCTTGTCAGTTAAGCCACAGACTCACATAAATAAGGCTCTAGACTTAAAGAAACATAATGTTTAACTAATCTTTGAAAAACCTGAGTTCAAAGTCATGTATTGATTGCAAAAAAGGAAAACATTTCTGAATTATGAATGGCTTTTGTACTGCTGTCAGATGAAACATATTCCTTTTAGGGTTAAAGACAGAAAAAAATACCCACAGAGAAACAGAAAATGTGTTATAGGTTTAACAGTGGTTTCAAGTAATGTGAAAAATTATGCTACTGTGAAACTACTGAAGAATTATCATCTGACTATTGAATTACCTACAAATGTCAGTCTTCTATATTTAGTGGGGTTGGTTGCCTGACCATAGTGTAGGAAAAATAGTCTTTTGGATGACGAAGTATTTTTGCTGTATTCTTTATTCTAAAACAAATGACTTTTTTTTTTCACTGTAAGAAGCCCAGGAAATGATCTTAATGGAGTTAAAGAAATATGCAAAAAATACTTTTTTTTATAAAATTACTTAAGGTGCTGCAGAATTGTGGAGATTCATGCTCTAATTGTAATTCCTCAGATGACCAGAGCAGGTCTCAGGTTACATTATTTGTATATAATTTTAAGTTCTGAAGGGTATAATAAAATAGTTAAAAATTAAGCTGAGTTGTTTTTTTCTGGCAAGGAAAAATAGACTTAAATCTTTATATTGGAAGCATTCATTAATCACATATATACATTTAATCCAATGCAACAACAGTATTTTAAAATAGATCTTAAGAAATAGGTGTATTTTATTGTCTTTGAGTTAATACATTTTGAAATATAAAATTGTATGCATTTCTAATTTTAAAGATGTTGTGTCTTTAAAGATGACAACAGCCCTTATAAGCACTAGTAAAAGATGTAATTATTTCTAGTCTTAAGATTTTAAAATGTTATAAAATAGCACAGATATTTGTTAAGTAACAGTATGGGAAATAAAGTGTTGTAATTGGTCTGTTATAAAGCTATTCTGTTGCATTTTTCTATATCCTTAATTACATGATTTAGTTTCATATTATTCAAAGCTTAAAATAACAGATATGATTAGAAGTTAGTACATTTACTTAAAAATAATAGGTAGCTATTTCATGATAATAATTAAGATGTTGGTGTTCCAAATGTAACTTCAGGTAGTGTGACTTAACTCAGAGTAACTCAAGGAAAGATATAGCAGCTTAGTCAAAAACCACTCATGTTACCTGTTATAAATAACCCTGGATCAAACTAATTTTCTTAAAAATTAACTTATATCAAGAAGTTATTTTAACTGTGTCGTTGTTACAGATGAGACATTGATTCATTGTTATATGCTATTCCCAAGTTCTGAAACTTGATTTGTTTTCACAAGTGAAAATTTCAGCAAATTAATGTATTGGGACTGATTCTTTTCTTTTTCTTTGTTTTCTTATGGTTAATTAAGAAAACAAATATTTTAACCTAAAGATATAACAAAGTATTAGGAGGAAGGTTTCTAGTTTTAAATTGCAAGGCTTGTGTGTTCCATAAGCCACCAGTGTTTAATTCAGTATTTCCATCTAAGAACTTACATTATAGCAAATGAGGTAGACATTTATACCTTTTTTTTCTGCTGCTGTTGAATACAAAATGACACTCAGTATTTGTAAAAGTGATCCTGTTTCAAATCAGAAAACTGCATCACTAGAATATGTATTCCTATTTTGAAAAGCTATTTTTAAAATATTTTTTTGTTCCTGCCTGGCTTTCATATTGATTAGACCAGCTCTTAAGAAGATATGATTAAGTATCATTTTAAAGTAAAAATGGGTATTCAAAGCATATAACATTTCAGATAATATCTTGTTCAGCAGACCAAAAGATAAGTTGAGAACTTTGAGAGATTTTTTTATTTCTAGAAATGCAGTGATGGAACATTATCAAGTTTGGGTTATTAAACAGTATTCAGAGTAAGAAGAAATCTGAATGCTTTTGTAAGTTTACAGTCTGAATAGATGCTAATTGCAGATGAGAAATACAGCTTTAAGTTTCTTACGTTGTATGTAATTTGGGTTTTTTTGGTGATTAATATGGCAGTTAGACTCACTTTACACTTTGTAAATTCAAAGAAAAGCAATTATCTAACAAAGTCAAATTCTTATTAAAAGACATGGGGTAAAACCATTATGCATTGTATTTTTAGGTCCCAATACATGTGGGCCCTAAAAATACAATGCATAATGGTTTTTCACTCTTTATCTTCTTATTTTATGTAAATGAAAAAATAGTATTGTCAATTTTTTTCTGCAAATACCACAAAACTTTTGTCTTTCTCATAGTTTACCTTAATTTTGTTACATTGCATATTTCAATTTGAATTCTTATTTTTTAATTAGTTTTAAAAAGCATGTATTATAGAGGATATATGAAGTATTCATCCAACCAAATAGCATAATTTAACTGATCTTTGAAAAATGTTTATTGGTTAAATGCACTTAGTAACAATGTATGTAAAGAAGAAACACCATGTAAAACAGGAGCCACTTAAAAATTCCTTGGTAGATTTATTTTTCTTTCAAATCATTTAAGTTATTAGATCATAGTATGAACTATTGTTCATGAGTTTTTGAGTCATTTATTTTAAAAATTTCATGAAAAAATCTGAAATGATCAAGTGACATTTTCTCTCCATTTACTTGATTATTTGTTCATTCAGTGTTAATTGAACACAATTTTATTGGATGCATCAAAATATTAAAAAATAATCTTTATTCCTATTTCTGATACTTAAAACCAATTTAAATATGTAGTAGCAATTTTAATATTAAAATGAGAAATGAGTATTGAAGAATTATGTCTTAAAACGAAACTTCTTCCTCCACTGTTGAATTTAGCATACTATTTTTTATGTTAACCTTTTGTACCAGGGATTTTTTTTTCTTCTCCTCAGAAGCTGAGGATGTGTTATTTTAGATGTATCTTTACCAAGGAAGAGATGGTAAATCCATGTTGTGGCTTTTTACGTATTTTATAAAGACAGGGTTTTAAAAAAATAATATAGCAACACTGTAAGTCAATCTTCTCCATGTTTTCTTGAATCATTTTTGTATTCTCATCTTTTATCAGTAGTTGTCACACTTTTTATGGAACCAAATGCCTAATAATTGAAACACATACACATGATCTTTGAGAAATCATGAAAATACAATTCTTGTGCTTAGTGATATCCAGAAAGCATAATATTCTGAAAAAAGTTATTCCCTTCAGTCAATTTAAAATTAAACACTCTAATGCAAAAGGATATCTAAGGTGAAAGATGTTTGTGTAATGCTAAACATAACCAAAGAAACTGTGGTTTTAGCAAAGGTACTATTGCTCTATTTTATCAAGTGCCAGAAATTGCATAATGAAAGTCTTTCAGTTAGTGAAAATATAAGTATAAAAACACAAAAATACCACCCAGCTGGTAGAGATCTTCCTAATTTTTACCTGATTGTATTTCTGAAGAAATATGGCAGGGCTGTCGTAAATTTTCAACATGAACTGCATTTTTGTTGCCAATTTCCATATCCTTTAAAAAGTGCTGAAGCGTGCATTTGCTATTTATGTTTGCAGTAGACTGAGTACACTTTTACTATTTGTGGTTTTAGAAATTGGAAACAACCAAACAGTGGTGCTATGGTCTAAAAAAATAAATTTTAAACAGCTGCGGGACAGTATTTTTAGAATGGTAGGAGTACTTCTAAAGCAATATATCTGCCCCCTACCCCCTTTTAAAATGATTGAATATTGTCACAGATATAAAGTCAGATATCTATTGTGTATTATCTATGGTAGATTGGATAAATTAAACTAAAAGTATATTTTGATAGATGTGAAATATATTTTTAGCGTGCTAGTGTCAGCTCACTTTTCTAACCTGTAAATATTTGTTACTATATGCCAGCTACTGGCATATACACTTCATAGGCGTTGAATCTTCTCCTTCCTTGGGTAAGAATGATCATTATTCCCATCTTACAAATAAGAAAACTGATGTAAGTAACTTGCCCGGGATCAGAAAGTTTGTAACTACCGACCTCAGTGAGATTCAAACTAAAGACTCATGAATCCAATTGTTTTTCACCTTATGTTTGGGGCAGATACTATTAAAAGAGGAAAAGAAATAATATGTACCCTAGTTTTAACTTCAAGTATTTTTCTGCTGATGTTACTGAAATATGAACAAATATAAAAATCTAGATAGCAATTCTTCATTGCATTTAAATCTATTGAAACTACTAAGTCAAAAACAATCAGAAATGAAAAACAAATCGATCATATCACAATCAAAATAATAACCTTAATTTGATATGACAGACTTTTAACTCCTGAAAATAAATTCCCTTTCTTAATATGACTACTGTGTTCTAAAAGTTTGTTACATCTTCCCAGTGCTTTGCAATTCTTTTGACATTATGGCACAAGTGAAAAATGATAATATTCATAGGGCCACTGGATATAGAAGCACAAGGTTGTTCTTGACAGCAGACAATTCAGGGGTTCCTAAATGCCTCTGGTCCCACCAGTCAGGCATTCCATAGGCTGAGAGCATTAAAACCTACACACCTGTACCTAGTTGGTGGCTTTTGTTCCTAAGGGCATGGGTTGGAAAGCTCTGATCATTGCTCTCTTTTTCTGTAAGATAACAAACACAATTTCCTGTGACTTTTCTCTGTTCCAGTTATTATGAAACCATTGTATAATATATCATAGCATCACTTGGCCATTATTTTGTATTAAGCTAGCCTCATTTCACGTCCCTTCTTTCTTTTCCATTATCCTGCCACAAAAAGCCAATTTTTTGTGCCAATTCATTGTTTTTTATTGACATAAAAATTTAATTATACAAGAAATATTACAGAAAATTTGCAAACTCTCAAGAATTAGATTCACAGATTTCAACTGAAAAACATTACACTGCAATTTATAGGTCTTTTCACAGTAGTTAAAGCATTTTAGTTTTGCCTTTTATGATTTGGTATCCTAGAAACAGATAAATTTGTCTAAAGTATAGTAGTCAGCTTCTTTTGGAATAAAATTGCTAAGCATTCTGAGATTAGATGAATACTACTTAGGATGAGATTGGGTTTAAATTGTATTGATTTAAATGACTGTAAGAAAAATATCACAGCAGGTTCAGTTTAATTTTTTTTCTATTGCAATGACATTCTTTTTGTTGCATTATAACCGTAGTGTATTTTTTATTAGAATTAATGTATTTTTATTAACCTTGATGCCACTTTAGAGAACTTCTTTTGATTGTATACATATGTGTGTGTATTTCACTAAAATGTTTTGCAGCATGTGCTTATGAAGGCATTAGAAAATAAATCATTTTTACTTCAACCAATTTAGTCATAGAAGATTGAATGATAATTTTACTCTGCTCTTTTTTGGTAGAAAACAGTTATCACCAATACAACAAGCACTTGAATAGTATTCTTTAAACTTATGATTTCTGTATTTTGTTGTAAACAATAGGTTTAGTAAAACAAAATTTATATTTGTAGATATATAATAGAGGTGGTTTTTCTTCTTCCTCCACACCACAAACAACACTTTAAAGTATCATTTTGAGTTGATTTTTTTTTCTTCTCAACCAGATTCTATATAGCATGATTCTTGTGAAACCAGGGATACATGTGTTGTGTTTGAAATATAGTTAATAAAGATAAGATGATTTTCTTATTTGGATGATGGAAAAAATGTAAATTTTATTTTTTAAATGCATACCATAAAATGTAAAGTTTGACAGAATCCTGTTGGTTGTAAAAGTATGTCAGTTGTGAAATAACCACATAGACCGTGTAAAGGCCTGCTAATAATGATCAACAAAAAGTTGTCTTTAATTTCTAATGAATGAACCCACTGGAAAAGGAAGCTGAAGACCCAAGTGTATAACTGGACAGTTTAAATTTCTAATGTGGAACAGATATATACTCTGTTCAATGTGTGTTTAAACTAAGACACATTTTAAATAGATAAAATACTTAAAATTTCAAAAGCTGTATGTTAGTTTACAGAACTAATGTTAATTATCTGTATGAGGGCTCACTCTAAGAATTCTGTATTGCAATCTTTGGGATTTAATCCCTAATGTACGTTACAACCTGGTGTGACTCTACTGATTGAACTTTTCTAAGAAAGCTAACAAGAATACATTATTTTTATTTTTATTATTTGAGATGGAGTTTTGCTCTTGTTGCTCAGGCTGGAGTGCAATGACACGATCTCAGCTCACTGCAGACCCTGCCTCCCGGGTTCAAGCGATTCTCCTGCCTCAGCCTCCCAAGTAGCTGGGATTACAGGTGCCCGTCACCATGCCCAGCTAATTTTTTGAGGAATACATTATTTTACTCAACTTTGTTCAATGAAGGAGTATTTATTGAACACTGACTCTGCTTGGCCCTGGAGATTTAAAAGTGAATTTGATACAGCATCTTAATATTTAATTTGACATTACAGAAGCTTTTTCTTGACATAATCTTGAAATATTAAAATAGCTTTGATTTTAAAAAGTCAAAGATTCTTAATGAAAAACAATCCCTTTTAAAATTTGGAACTAAATTTTAAAGCTTATTTAGGACATTAAACTTTTCTGATCATGGCCTATTTATAAATAGTAGATTTTACATTAGGAACCAGTGTACACAAACTTATATATAAATGGATATAAGTGGGGTTTTTTTGGTGTACATGTGTTATTCTGAATCGAGAGTTTCAAAGAACATTTATTCCTACTTTACATACATACACTCTAATATTTATTTCTTAAAGCGTGGTGGTCATGGTCCCTTAACGAATCTTACTTAGTTTGAAAAACATTGTCAAAGAGAATTCTTTGGAACTCTATGGGTGCTGTTTCTGTTTTTGTCCTGGTTTCTACAGTAAGTAGCTTCATCAAATGTAGAAAATTTGGGCGGGCTGGTCATAACAAAACCTTTTTAGAAAATGGTTCAAAGAGCAAAAGAGTCGGATACATTTTCTTACAATTTTGCATTTCTCATATCTATAATACTAGAAGTCAGAGTTATTATTTTTGTGTCTTAAATCTTATGGAATTTTATATTTCTGATTTTCTTTATTTGTTGTAGCTAAATTCTCTGCAGTAGGGATCTGCTTTAGTGTGGTGTGATGAGTCATAATCAATGAGTTATTAAGTTCTCTGTGCCTTTTATTCTCAGAGTTAACCACTTTGCTTTGATTCGAAATATTAAGTAAGGAATCTTTGCTTTGTTATATGATAAAGGCTTATAAAGTGTGCAAAGTTGTTCTTTCATTAGATCTAAGATTAAGAACACTTTATTTAAATAGCTTATTAATACAATTTAAAGAGAAACACCAAAAATTACCTAATTATTCATCCTTGTTAGGCTGACTTATTTGGGTTATAAACATACTCTTTAAAAACATAAAATTAAAGCTGAAATAAATTAAAATGTATTTTTTTGAAGTAATCAAGTTTCATTTTCATCTGATCCCAAGTTAACCATTCTCATTTCAAAGAATATAATTCTTGTGCTTAATCAGATTTTTGCTTTTTCAAACAGTTTCGTTTTAATAAGTCAAAATGTTATATAAACAGAAGACATTGTATTTCCCTATAAACTGATTTTTTCCCCTTGCAAAATCTATATTACAGCCAGTTCCATAATGCCAGCATGGGAAACTTGACTTCTCCTTTCATCAGATGACTAAGAGAATTCAGTTAACTGCCTGTAAAAGATATTAGAAGTATACTGGGAATACCAACTCCTAGAAATCTAAATTGAAGGGATTTAGAGAATGGGAGTACTGGACTAACAGATACGAAAAACTTATTTCTGTGGCAGAGCTTTCAGTGAACTAATGTTGCCCTTTTCGACATAGCAGTTTCTCTGACATCAGTTTACTCAGTAAAGTAAGTGAATATGAGGAGACTGAAATAAAATGTTGAAGACTTGTATTGGGTATAAAGTTTGATTATATAAATTTAAGAAATGAGGTATATTAATATTTTTTAGTCTCATGACCTGAATTATTTAAGCCACAGACACTGGAAGTGCTGGGATAGTAAATAATATCTTCTCTGCTTTTGCTAGGGAGATGACATAAATACGTTGTTGTTGGTCTTAATGTGGAATTGGTGATTTGATAAACGTTTTTGTAAAATTTGAATGTAGCTAACTTTTTCTCTCTTAAAGTGCCCACATTTATCTTATTTTTGTAGACTGTATTTTTTAGAGCAGTTAATGTTTACAGAAGAATTGAGCTGAAAGTACAGAGTTCCTACCTGCCACCCTCCCTACAGTTTCAATTATATTTGTTGAGCCAATATTGATATGTTATTATTAACTAAAGTTCATAGTTTAGGATTCACTCTTGGTGTTTCACATTCTGTGGGTTTGGACAAATGTATAATGACATTTATCCACCATTATATTACTACACAGAATAGTTCCATTGCCTTAAAAATCCCGCGTGCTCCACCTATTCCTCCCTCCTTCCCTCTGAATTTCTGGCAAACACTGATCTTTTTATTGTCTACATAGTTCTGCCTTTTTCAGAATTTCATATAGTTGGAATCATATATGATGTAGCCTTTTCAGATTGACTTCTATTACTTGGCAGTGCACATCTAAGGTTCTTCCATGTCTTTTCATGGCTTGGTAGCTCATATCTTTTTATTGTTGCATAATTTTTCATTATATGGATATACCACAGTTTATCCATTTGCCTATTGAAGGACATCTTGGTTGCTTACTAGTTTTGGCAATTATAAATAAAGCCACTATAAACATTTGTGTGTAGGTTTATATGTGGACATAAGTTTTTTACTCAAACCTTTGAGTAAATACCAAGGTATTTGATTGCTGGATCATATAGTAAGAATATGTTTAGTTTTATAAGACACTATCAAATTATTTTCCAAAGTGGCAAATCATTTTACATTCCCACCAGCAGTGAATGAGAGTTCCTGTTGCTCCACACCTTTGTCAGCATATGGTATTGTTAGTGTTTTGGGTTTTAGCCATAGTTGTAACTCATTGTTGTCTTATTTGAAACATAATGACATATGTTGAGCATCTTTTCCTGTGCTTATTTGCTATGTGTGTATGTTCTTGGGTGAGGTGTCTGTTCAGATCTTCGGGCCCATGTTTGAGATTCTTATTTTCTTACTTTTGAATTTTAAGGGTTCTTTGTATATTTTGGTTACCAGTCCTTGATCAAATAAGTGTTTTACAAAGATGGTCTATGGCTTGTCTTTTTATTCTTTTAAAACATTTATTTTTAAAATCTTCCCTTATAAACTATCTACGTTTTCAAAATCTATTTTCATTCTACCTGATGGGTCTCCTCACAACTCAATTTAATAGTTTAAATGAGAATAACCCAACAAAGTCTTCCATCATTTTTTTTTCACATAAGTTTCAGCACAAAGAATTGGCCCGTATACAGAGTTTACATATGGAAAAACATTTGTAAAAATTAAATGTTAGGTTTTTGGTTTATCTTATTCTTGGTGTGTGTTGCTTTGGGAAGCTTTGCATTGAAACCACTGATTTCTTTGGGCCAATGAGAATTCCTAATCCATTTTAGTTTGCAGTTAAAATACTATTTCTCAAACTGTATTTCATGGAATTTGAATCTTTTTCAAGATATGTATAGATTTCTTTTTTAACCATAACATTTTTATTTCTTAGTCCCATTTTTTGGGAAATATTTCATGCTATATATTATCACTTGGAGAGTTGCAATGCATATTAAAGCTTTAACAAGTTTTATAGTAAAGAAACCTAATTCATTAGTTTAACGCAACAGTTGAAGTCTTTGACAATGGAATCTGTTCCTCTGGAACATATATTAAAGCTTCCAGAATATTGTTGTGCAGAACATTCATGAAATAAATGATGCCCTAGATCTGCATGCAGTGGGACATTCCCTTGGCCTAGTTCCAAAGGGAAGATACATTAAAAAGTTTAAATTTTGCTGTGCTTTTAAAGGGATTTTTCTGTGGTAACTTTTCAGAAACTGTTTCCAATCCTATGCTTATTAAAAGTGGCCAATTGTGTTACATATAACTTGGGACATCAAGGAACGTGGGGTTATTAATGGCTTTCCAATAAAAATAAAATCAATTGTGCTATTCCTCTGTAAAAAAGGGGTCTCAAAGGTAAGGCTCTTAGTTTGTTTCACAAATAAATTTTACTGGAAAGAGTGTTGTTTTCTTTGGTGGTGAGGACTTCCTCTTTGATTTTTCTAAGCTTTGACCAGTGAAAATGTCTTTGGGTGGTCTTTTGGCCTTGGGGATTGACACAGAAATCCTACTTTACCTTTTCAAATAAATAACGATTACAGTTCTCCTTATTCAGACCCCATCTTATGGTTTCCTCTATAGATTTGGTCAAATGAATAGGATTGGCTCATGAACTTCCTTGAGGGTTGGTTTTTTAATAAGGGAACCATGTTTCTCTGAAATTTTGGATTGATGAGAACATTAACATTTTTTATTAGTTGAACTGAAATGAACCTGAAATATATTCACATTAAAAATTAAATTTTTCATTTTAGAGACTATCTTAAAGGTTTTGTTTTATATTTAAAACTTTGAACCTTGTGATTTATAAACATGGTAAGGAGAAAAATAACACTAAGTGATACACTAATTATCTGAAACATTTTATTTTACTTACTAGGGTTTCTCACTCATAAAAGTTGCTTTTGCCCAATATAATTTTATTTGTTTGGCAAATAAGACAAATGATCTCTCACATTTTATTTTATTTTTTTTAAGTTCTTTCTAAGAAATGGCCAGTGGGTCGGATCTGGTGGCTCATGCCTGTAATCCCAGCACTTTGGGAGGCCAATGCAGGAGGTTCACTTGAGCCCGTGAGTTCAAGACCACCTTGGGCAACATAGACCTCATCTCTAGCAAAAAAACAAAACAAAACAAAAACAACAAAAAACCAGAAAGAAAAGTGCCAATGATATTGCCACCTTAAAGGTTTATTATACAATGAATACTTTTTTACCTATTTTAAAGAACAAAAAGTCTGCAATGACGTGAACTCAAACTACCTATAAAAATGAGTACCATCATTTAAGGGTGGTTAAGTGCTGAGGTACACAATGAGTACAGTAGAGGTGAGAACCAGCATTTGCTGAGAGTTTTTTTTTTTAAATCATGAAATGATGTTGAATTATGTTGAATGATTTTTCAGCATCAGTTTATATGATCATATAAATATCTTTAGTTTGTAGACATGGTGGATTACATTGATTGATTTACAAATGTTGTAACAGGCTTGCATGCCTGGAATAAATTCCACTGATTATTGTTAGACACAGTAGTCTCCCCTTATCTGTGCAGGATACATTCCAAGACCCCCAGTGGATGCATTAAACCACAAATAGTACCAAACCTGATTGCTATAAATTAGAACACATTTCTGTTCATGTCTTCCACAAATTTAATGCCTTTTCCACCTTCACTAAGCACTTATCATGCATTGTGGCCATAACTTGCAGTTTGAGGTGGGACAGCAAAACTAGCAAGAAAATCTTTTTCCTTTTTCCCGATTTCATGAATAGAAGATTCGTTCTTACTATACGTCTTAGCAATCTCAGCATAAGATTTCTTTCCTTTCCTTGTTAAATCAAGAAGTCTTACCTTTCCAATTTAAGAAACCACTTTATGGCATCTCTTTGGCAAATTGGAATTGCCAGCATCACTGCTGTTGCCCTTTGGCGTCATTATTAAATAATATAAGGATGACTTAAACACAACCGCTGTGATGCTGTGACAGTTGATCTGATAGAATTTAGAAGGCAGCAAAGTGACTAATGGGCAGGTAGCCTATAGAAGTGTGTACAGGCTTAACAAAGGGGTGATTCATGTCCTGGGTGGGCCAGAGTGAGATTTCATCATGCTACCCAGAATGGTATGCAATTTAAAACTTATGAATTGTTTATTTCTTGAATTTTCCATGTAATATTTTCTGACCACAGTTGACAGTAGATAACTGAAACCTCAGAAAGTGAAACTATGGTGAGGGGGAACTGCTGTAATTATTTTTCTATATTGCCAGACTTGATTTGCTAACATTTTGTTGATGATTTTGCATCTAAGTTCATGAGAAATATTGGTCTGTTATTTTCTGTTTTGTACTTCCCTTTGGTTTTGTTGTGCCTTGGTCTTTTTGTACTGTATTGTCTTGGTATAACAGTAATAATAATAGTTATAAAATCAGGTGTTTCCCCTCATCCTTTATTTCCTGGAACAGATTATATAAAATTGATGTGTTTGGGAAGAAAAGTGTCTTTTCCTCTCTCTTAGGTCCTCACATCTTAGGTTCATGGCTGAGGCCAGTATAAGAAAAGACAGATTAACAAGAGAAAAGATACATTTATATAATAGGAGTTTTACATGGCACACAGCCCTCGTAAGGGAAAGGAACCTGAAGAAAGAGGTAAATCTGTGTGTGGGTTGTCTTTTTTTTTTTTGAAACGGAGTTTTGCCCTTGTCGCCCAGGTTGGAGTGCAATGGCACAATCTTGGCTCATTGCAACTTCCACCTCCTGGGTTCAAGCGATTCTCCTGCCTTAGCCTCCTGAGTAGCTGAAATTACAAGCACCCGCCACCTGGTCCAGCTAATTTTTCTATTTTTAGTAGAGACGGTGTTTCGCCACGTTGGCCAGGCTGGTCCCGAGCTCCTGACCTCTGGTGATCCACCTGCCTCCGCCTCCCAGAGTGTTGGGATTACAGGCATGAGCCACTGCATCTGGCCATCTTTTTTTTTTTTTTTTTTTTTTTTTTTTAAAGGCGAAAAAGTATCACCATGTTGCCCAGGCTGGACTCCAGGGCTCAAGGTATCTACTGGCCGCAGCCTCCCAAGTAGTTGGGGCTACAGGGGTGCATACTCTGCGCTTGGCCTAAACCTGTGTACTTTTAGTGCTAGGTTTGATGAAGAAGTGGATAGTGTGTGTATGACTGGATTAAAAAGTATGACCTAATGGTAATAAACCGGAGGGAACATAGCAAGGTGTTATTCAGGTTCTTCTCTGTGACCCTAAATCATCAGAAATCAGGATGTTCCTTTCCTCTGAGTATAGGAAGGACACCTCTCAAATGAGGATCTTATGACTTGCTTCATGGGAATGTCAGAAAATCCTTTTTAGATTTTATGACCTGGGTCAGGGGAGAAGAGCTGGAGGAAGGTAAGAGTGGTGTACCTGCTTCTGAGATTTTCTCAAATTTTTCCAGCTTAAAATATTTTGGAGGAGTGTGTACTGAACCTTATTAGATGTTAATTCTACTTTAAATCTGGTAGAAGTGTGGTAGAATTTTCCTGTGAAACTATCTGAGCCTGGAGATTTTGTCTGTCATCTCCACTCTAACATTGAGTGCATCCAGCGAGTTCATTTGGGCTATTATATTTTCAGTTCTATAATTTCTATTTGGTTATTTTTTTAATTGTGTTTCTTTGCTGAGATTTTCCATTTTTTGAGAGAGATTTTTGAAGGTTTTTTGAAATACGTCTTTGATGGTTACTTTAAAATCCTGTCAGATAATTTAAACATTTGATTCATCTTAGTTTTGACATCTGTTGGTTGTTTTTTTCATTCATATTATGATTTCCTGGTTCTTGGGATGACAGTGATTTTTGGATATTATGAGGCTTTGAATGTTTTTTGTTGTTGTTGAAGTGTAACATGAGGGCTAGGTGAGTATATTCTCACCTTCCCACTGCCTGCCCTTTCCCCCAGTACCACTACAGCAAAGTGGGACACTGACTTACATTGCCTTTACAGATAGGATGTGGATGTTCACCTCCTCAGCCCACTGATGCCTTCTTGCGAAAGTGGTCTACCTCCCTTCCTGTTTGCCTCTGGTTTGAGTTTAACATTGGTCCCCTGCTGAACCCACTGCTACAGGAGTAGGAGGGGAAAGTGGAGTGCCCACCAGCTCTGCATTCCTTCACCTTTTTGGCTTCATTGGTACAAAGTGGGTTGGGACTCTGCTTCCCTCTGGGCTTTGCTGATCCTGATGGGTGGAGTGGAGAACAGGAGTGCTGAGTAGCCCTGCTTGACACTGCCTCTTCAGTCTGTCAGCATGAAATAAATATATAGAGACAAGTCTCCAAGCAAAGGTTTTATTTGGAAATAATATACAGGAATTGCAGTTCAGAACACAAAAACTGGGGTAGCCCCTAGGTGTGTCTGAAGAACAAAGGAAAAGTCTGGGGCTTTACTGGGGGAACAGAGGAAGCTTATGTAATTTGTTTTGCAAGTTCATTGGTGTTGGCAGTGTCTTACAGGGGCTGGTGAATTCTGATTGGTGAGTGACAGTTTCTAGGTAAAACTTGTAAGCTTAAAGTTATGGCAGGCTGTTGCGGTTTTGGACTGGGCTTGTGAGATAGTTCCTAGAATGTTTTTCCCTAAGACTCCTCCCACTTTATTTTTGTTGGGTATGACAAAAAAATCTCCTTTGCATAATCAGTTTTCACAAGTCTCTTTGCTTCTGGGTAGGTATGGAGACCCAGCTTCCATTGGGCATCAGTAACACCAAGGGTAGGAGAAAAGTAGAATACCAATTAGCCCCCACTTGTACAGTCTCTTTGTTCCTGTCTGGTAGTTCAGGCTCAACTCTTTCCTGCGTCCCACTAACAACAGACATAGTGGCGATTAGCTGTGCTTTGGATTTCCTTCTTAATAAAGTCTCCTTGCTGCTGGGTCAGGATGGAGGCTTAGCTTGCTGCTGCACCCTGTAGACACTAATCAGTTGGAGGAATGCGATCCACAGAGGGGAATGTAAAATCAGTTCCTCCTGCTTCTGCCCCAGTGAAAGTACCCTTAGCCTATCTGGTAGATGATGGAAAATTAGCCTGCCAAACTTCCTGATTGACTACTGTTGGGTAAGTTAGGCTACCTGCAAGGACGGAATAGGTTAGAGATTTTTGGAGTGGAAATTTAATGTACCATTTGGCCTGCTGAAAGTGGGTGGTAAAGCTGTTTTTCCATTGATGATTGGCTGATACTGCCAAAAATGCTTTTTGTTGTTTGCCCACCCTTTTTATGATCATTGCTTTGCTAGTTAGGAACAGGCTTTCCTTGGAGTTTTTTTTTTTTTTTTTTTTTTTTTTTTCCTCTGCCTGTTGGTGGTTCTACATCGGAGTCTTCTCTATCACCCTGTTTGGGATATATGGGAGGCAATAAGGAGATGCAGGGGACTCATTGCCATGTTATTTATCAAATAGTGACGTCCCTAGGCAGCCAGCCTTCTTTTTTTCTACCTTTCAGCGATGTCCTGTGCTTTTCTTGTTGTGTTGTGTTTTGGGTTTTTTAGTTGTAAGAGGAATGACCTGGGAGCTCTGGGGCTTTCCACGTTGATGCAACCAGAGAGCCTTCAAAATATTGTTTTTGTTCACATAGAAGCACTCAAAAATAAAATTAAATCTCATTATTATAGTGGAGTAATATTTGGTGAGAATTTTTTCCATGAAGATTTTCATCAATTTGGACATCGGGCTGTGATTCATTATTACCATTTCCCCTGTTAGAATAACAGGATTATTTTCCTATAAAAAAAGGAGTGCTTTGTCTTTTAATGTGGTAAAATATATATAACATAAAATTTATAATTTAGCCATTTTTAAGCATACACTTCAGAGGCGTTAATTACATTCACGATGTTGTGCAATCATCACACTGTTTCTAAAACTTAAAAAGATTTATGGACTTTTTTTTAAGAAGTTTTAAGTTTACAGAAAAATGTAAAGGAAGTATAGAGTGTTTCCATGTACTCTCTCCTTCCCCCACTTATTAACGTCTTGCATTAGTGTGATGTGTTTGTTAAAACTGATGAGCCAAATACATCCTGTATGTTCTGACAAATGTATGACATGTATGCACCATTACAGTATCATACAAAATAGTTTCACTGTGCTAAAAATTCTTTGTGTCTACCTGTTCATCCCTTCATCTTTCACTTCCTCATCCCCCACCAACCCCTAATAACCAATGATCTTTTTGCCATCTCCATCGTTTTGCTTTTTTCAGAATGTTGTATCAGAATCATACAGTAGGTATCCTTTTCAGATTGGCTTCTTTGACTCTTAGCAAGGTACGTTTAAGGTTCTTCTGTGTCTTTGTGGCTTAATAAGCTTTTTGTTACTGAATATTTTCCAAAGCACTCTCATTATACTTGATATGATTTGGATGTGTGTCCCCTCCAAATCTCGCTGAAATGTGATCCCCAGTGTTGGAGGCGGGGCCTAGTGGGAGTTGTTGATCATGGGATGGGATCCCTCCTGAATGGCTTGGTACCATCCACTTGGTGATAAGCGAGTTCTTACTCTGAGTTCACGCAAGAGCTGGTTGTTTAAAAGCTTGTGGGACCTTTTTCTTCTCTCTTTTGCTCCCTCTCTTGCCTTGTGATGTACCTGCTCCCACTTTACCTTCTGCTATGAGTAAATTTGTTTATATTTTCATTATAAATTATCTAGTCTCAGTTACTTATGTACATTACTTATGCATCGTGAAGACGGACTAACACAATAGCTAACAGAAACTCTGTATACATTCCGCAGTTACTTTCCATTCCTCTCTCCCCCCAGCTTTTGGTAACCACTAACTTACTTTGTCTCTATCAGTTTGCCTATTCTAGATACTTTATATAAGTGAAGTCATACAATATTTGTCTTTTTGTGTCTGGCTTATTTTACTTAGTACAGTGTCCTCAAGGTTCATTTATGTTGTAGCATTATCACTACTTCATTCTTTTTGTGGCTGAATAATATTGTATGCATATACCACATTTCGTTTATCCATTCACCTTTTGACACTTAGGTTGTTGCCACCTTTTGGCTATTTATTGTGAATAATGCTGCAGTGAACATTGATATACAAATACCCATGTATGTCTGCAGTTCTTTGCATATATAACTAGGAGTGGAATTGATGGATTTTATGGTAATTACATGTTTAACCTTTTGAGGATCCACCCAGCTGTTTTGACAGTGACTGGACCATTTTGTATTTCCACCAGCAATGTAATAGGATTCAAGTTCCTCCACAACAGGCCAACACTTGTTATTTTCCTTTTTGTTTAAATAGACATCCTGGTAGGTATGTAGTTGTATCTCATTGTGTTTCTGTGTGTATGGCTTTTTATGTTCAAAGTAACGATAAGTCATCCAAAAAAGAAATACAGCCTTCCATTCCTGTCCTGTGTAGATAAGAGACTTCATATTAAGCTTTCGTAGGTCAAATACCATATAGGAATTACAACTTAAAAATTGAAACCTTTTGCAGTGAACCTAAAACTGCTCTAAAAAAGTGTATTTAAAAAAGAAAGGCAGGCCAGGTGCGGTGGCTCACGCCTGTAATCCCAGCCTTTTGGGAGGCTGAGGCGGGCAGATCACCTGAGGTCAGAAGATTGTGATCAGCCTGGCCAGCGTGGTGAAACCCCATCTCTACTAAAAATGCAAAAATTAGCCAGGCGTGGGGGCAGGTGCCTGTAATCCCAGCTACCTGGAGGGCTTGAGGCATGAGAATCACTTGAACCTGGGAGGCGGAGGTTGCAGTGAGTCGAGATTGCGCCACTACACTCCAGCCTGGGGGTTACAGTGAGACTCTGTCTCTTAAAATAAATAACTAAAAAATAAAAATAAAAAAGGCAAACAAATGAGCTATTTCTCTATAAGCTCTATGGGACAGTAACAGCAGTTGTGGCTTCTTCAGAATACTCAACACTAAACGTTGGAATTTTGTTACAGGCATCAGCTCCTTCTATTATGAATAGCTTTTGAAGACATCAGCTCCAGCACCTTTGGTGCATAAAAATTTATTAAGGTAAAGTACAACAAAAAAGGAAACGTATTATGATTATGTTCAGAGAAAAAGGATGGGCTTACTCTCAACCACTGTGCCTTTGAGAATACAACTTGTATTTATTTTCAAAGCATAAATTTACTTAGCACTTTCAAAAGCAGTTTTATTAGACAAGGTATAGTTTTATTATTTATTTATTTATTTATTTATTTATTTATTATTATTATACTTTAAGTTTTAGGGTACATGTGCACAATGTGCAGGTTAGTTACATATGTATACATGTACCATGCTGGTGCGCTGCACCCACTAACTCGTCATCTAGCATTAGGTATATCTCCCAGTGCTATCCCTCTCCCCTCCCCCCACCCCACAACAGTCCCCAGAGTGTGATGTTCCCCTTCCTGTGTCCATGTGTTCTCATTGTTCAATTCCCACTTATGAGGGAGAATATGCGGTGTTTGGTTTTTTGTCCTTGCGATGGTTTACTGAGAATGATGATTTCCAATTTCATCCATGTCCCTACAAAGGACATGAACTCATCATTTTTTATGGCTGCATAGTATTCCATGGTGTATATGTGCCACATTTTCTTAATCCAGTCTATCATTGTTGGACATTTGGGTTGGTTCCAAATCTATGCTATTGTGAATAATGCCGCAATAAACATATGTGTGCATGTGTCTTTATAGCAGCATGATTTATAGTCCTTTGGGTATATACCCAGTAATGGGATGGCTGGGTCAAATGGTATTCCTAGTTCTAGATCCCTGAGGAATCGCCACACTGACTTCCACAATGGTTGAACTAGTTTACAGTCCCACCAACAGTGTAAAAGTGTTCCTATTTCTCCACATCCTCTCCAGCACGTGTTGTTTCCTGACTTTTTAATGATTGCCATTCTAACTGGTGTGAGATGGTATCTCATTGTGGTTTTGATTTGCATTTCTCTGATGGCCAGCGATGGTGAGCATTTTTTCATGTGTTTCTTGGCTGCATAAATGTCTTCTTTTGAGAAGTGTCTGTTCATATCCTTCACCCACTTTTTGATGGGGTTGTTTTTTTTCTTGTAAATTTGTTTGAGTTCATTGTAGATTCTGGATATTAGCCCTTTGTCAGATGAGTAGGTTGTGAAAATTTTCTCCCATTTTGTAGGTTGCCTGTTCACTCTGATGGTAGTTTCTTTTGCTGTGCAGAAGCTCTTTAGTTTAATTAGATCCCATTTGTCAATTTTGGCTTTGGTTGCCATTGCTTTTGGTGTTTTAGACATGAAGTCCTTGCCCATGCCTATGTCCTGAATGGTATTGCCTAGGTTTTCTTCCAGGGTTTTTATGGTTTTAGGTCTAACATTTAAGTCTTTAATCCATCTTGAATTAATTTTTGTATAAGGTGTAAGGAAGGGATCCAGTTTCAGCTTTCTACATATGGCTAGCCAATTTTCCCAGCACCGTTTATTAAATAGGGAATCCTTTCCCCATTGCTTGTTTTTCTCAGGTTTGTCAAAGATCAGATAGTTGTAGATATGCGGTGTTATTTCTGAGGGCTCTGTTCTGTTCCATTGATCTATATCTCTGTTTTGGTACCAGTACCATGCTGTTTTGGTTACTGTAGCCTTGTAGTATAGTTTGAAGTCAGGTAGCGTGATGCCTCCAGCTTTGTTCTTTTGGCTTAGGATTGACTTGGCGATGTGGGCTCTTTTTTGGTTCCATATGAACTTTAAAGTAGTTTTTTCCAATTCTGTGAAGAGAGTCATTGGTAGCTTGATGGGGATGGCATTGAATCTATAAATTACCTTGGGCAGTATGGCCATTTTCACGATATTGATTCTTCCTACCCATGAGCATGGAATGTTCTTCCATTTGTTTGTATCCTCTTTTATTTCCTTGAGCAGTGGTTTGTAGTTCTCCTTGAAGAGGTCCTTCACATCCCTTGTAAGTTGGATTCCTAGGTATTTTATTCTCTTTGAAGCAATTGCGAATGGGAGTTCACTCATGATTTGGCTCTCTGTTTGTCTGTTATTGGTGTATAAGAATGCTTGTGATTTTTGTACATTAATTTTGTATCCTGAGACTTTGCTGAAGTTGCTTATCAGCTTAAGGAGATTCTGGGCTGAGACAGTGGGGTTTTCTAGATATACAATCATGTCATCTGCAAACAGGGACAATTTGACTTCCTCTTTTCCTAATTGAATACCCTTTATTTCCTCCTGCCTAATTGCCCTGGACAGAACTTCCATCACTATGTTGAATAGGAGTGGTGAGAGAGGGCATCCCTGTCTTGTGCCAGTTTTCAAAGGGAATGCTTCCAGTTTTTGCCCATTCAGAATGATATTGGCTGTGGGTTTGTCATAGATAGCTCTTACTATTTTGAAATACGTCCCTAATTTATTGAGAGTTTTTAGCATGAAGCGTTGTTGAATTTTGTCAAAGGCCTTTTCTGCATCTATTGAGATAATCATGTGGTTTTTGTCTTTGGTTCCGTTGATATGCTGGATTACATTTATTGATTTGCGTATATTGAACCAGCCTTGCATCCCAGGGATGAAGCCCACTTGATCATGGTGGATAAGTTTTTTGATGTGCTGCTGGATTTGGTTTGCCAGTATTTTATTGAGGATTTTTGCATCAATGGTCATCAAGGATATTGGTCTAAAATTCTCCTATTTGGTTGTGTCTCTGCCCGGCTTTGGTATCAGGATGATGCTGGCCTCATAAAATGAGTTAGGGAGGATTCCCTCTTTTTCTATTGATTGGAATAGTTTCAGAAGGAATGGTACCAGTTCCTCCTTGTACCTCTGATAGAATTCGGCTGTGAATCCATCTGGTCCTGGACTCTTTTTGGTTGGTAAGCTATTGATTATTACACAATTTCAGCTCCTGTTATTGGTCTGTTCAGAGATTCAACTTCTTCCTGGTTTAGTCTTGGGAGAGTGTACGTGTCGAGGAATTTATCCATTTCTTCTAGATTTTCTAGTTTATTTGCGTAGAGGTGTTTGTAGTATTCTCTGATGGTAGTTTGTATTTCTGTGGGATCGGTGGTGATATCCCCTTTATCATTTTTTATTGCGTCTATTTGATTCTTCTCTCTTTTAATTGTGATGTTAGGGTGTCAATTTTGGATCTTTCCTGCTTTCTCTTGTGGGCATTTAGTGCTATAAATTTCCCTCTACACACTGCTTTGAATGTGTCCCAGAGATTCTGGTATGTTGTGTCTTTGTTCTCGTTGGTTTCAAAGAGCATCTTTATTTCTGCCTTCATTTCGTTATGTACCCAGTAGTCATTCAGGAGCAGGTTGTTCAGTTTCCATGTACTTGAGCGCTTTTGAGTGAGATTCTTAATCCTGAGTTCTAGTTTGATTGCACTGTGGTCTGAGAGACAGTTTGTTATAATTTCTGTTCTTTTACATTTGCTGAGGAGAGCTTTACTTCCAACTATGTGGTCAATTTTGGAACAGGTGTGGTGTGGTGCTGAAAAAAATGTATATTCTGTTGATTTGGGGTGGAGAGTTCTGTAGATGTCTATTAGGTCCGCTTGGTGCAGAGCTGAGTTCAATTCCTGGGTATCCTTGTTGACTGTCTGTCTCGTTGATCTGTCTAATGTTGACAGTGGGGTGTTAAAGTCTCCCATTATTAATGTGTGGGAGTCTAAGTCTCTTTGTAGGTCACTCAGGAGTTGCTTTAGGAATCTGGGTGGTCCTGTATTGGATGCATATATATTTAGGATAGTTAGCTCTTCTTGTTGAATTGATCCCTTTACCATTATGTAATGGCCTTGTCTCTTTTGATCTTTGTTGGTTTAAAGTCTGTTTTATCAGAGACTAGGATTGCAACCCCTGCCTTTTTTTGTTTTCCATTTGCTTGGTAGATCTTCCTCTATCCTTTTATTTGAGCCTATGTGTGTCTCTGCACATGAGATGGGTTTCCTAAATACAGCACACTGATGGGTCTTGACTCTTTATCCAATTTGCCAGTCTGTGTCTTCTAATTGGAGCATTTAATCCATTTAAATTTAAAGTTAATATTGTTATGTGTGAATTTGATCCTGTCATTATGATGTTAGCTGGTTATTTTGCTCGTTAGTTGATGCAGTTTCTTCCTAGTCCCCATGGTCTTTACATTTTGGCATGATTTTGCAGCAGCTGGTACCGGTTGTTCCTTTCCATGTTTAGCGCTTCCTTCAGGAGCTCTTTTAGGGCAGGCCTGGTGGTGACAAAATCTCTCAGCATTTGCTTGTCTGTAAAGGATTTTATTTCTCCTTCACTTATGAAGCTTACTTTGGCTGGATATGAAATTCTGGGTTGAAAATTCTTTTCTTTAAGAATGTTGAATATTGGCCCCCACTCTCTTCTGGCTTGTAGAGTTTCTGCTGAGAGATCAGCTGTTAGTCTGATGGGCTTCCCTTTGAGGCTAACCCGACCTTTCTCTGTGGCTGCCCTTAACATTTTTTCCTTCATTTCAACTTTGGTGAATCTGACAATTATGTGTCTTGGAGTTGCTCTTCTCGAGGAGTATCTTTGTGGTGTTCTGTGTATTTCCTGAATCTGAATGTTGGCCTGCCTTGCTAGATTGGGGAAGTTCTCCTGGATAATATCCTGCAGAGTGTTTTCCAACTTGGTTCCATTCTCCCCGTCACTTTCAAGTACACCAATCAGACGTAGATTTGGTCTTTTCACATAGTCCCATATTTCTTGGAGGCTTTACTCGTTTCTTTTTATTCTTTTTTCTCTAAACTTCCCTTCTCACTTCATTTCATTCATTTCATCTTCCATCACTGATACCCTTTCTTCCAGTTGATCGCATTGGCTCCTGAGGCTTCTGCATTCTTCACGAAGTTCTTGAGCCTTGGTTTTCAGCTCCATCAGCTCCTTTAAGCACTTCTCTGTATTGGTTATTCTAGTTATACATTCTTCTAAATTTTTTTCAAAGTTTTCAACTTCTTTGCCTTTGGTTTGAATGTCCGCCCGTAGCTCAGAGTAATTTGATCGTCTGAAGCCTTCTTCTCTCAGCTAGTCAAAGTCATTCTCCGTCCAGCTTTGTTCCGTTGCTGGTGAGGAACTGCGTTCCTTTGGAGGAGGAGAGGCACTCTGTTTTTTAGAGTTTCCAGTTTTTCTGCTCTGTTTTTTCCCCATCTTTGTGGTTTTATGTACTTTTGGTCTTTGATGATGCTGATGTACAGATGGGTTTTTGGTGTGGATGTCCCTTCTGTTTGTTAGTTTTCCTTCTAACAGACAGGACGCTCAGCTGCAGGTCTGTTGGAGTACCTGGCCTTGTGTCAGTCTGCCCCTGCTGGGGGTGCCTCCTAGTTAGGCTGCTCGGGGGTCAGGGGTCAGGGACCCACTTGAGGAGGCAGTCTGCCTGTTCTCAGATCTCCAGCTGGGTGCTGGGAGAACCACTGCTCTCTTCAAAGCTGTCAGACAGGGACATTTAAGTCTGCAGAGGTTACTGCTGTCTTTTTGTTTGTCTGTGCCCTGCCCCCAGAGGTGGAGCCTACAGAGGCAGGCAGGTCTCCTTGAGCTGTGGTGGGCTCCACCCAGTTCGAGCTTCCTGGCTGCTTTGTTTACCTAAGCAAGCCTGGGCAATGGCAGGCGCCCCTCCCCCAGCCTCGCTGCCGCCTTGCAGTTTGATCTCAGACTGCTGTGCTAGCAATCAGGGAGACTCCGTGGGCGTAGGACCCTCCGAGCCAGGTGTGAGATATAATCTCATGGTTCGCCGCTTTTTAAGCCGGTCTGAAAAGCGCAATATTCGGGTGGGAGTGACCCGATTTTCCAGGTGCGTCCGTCACCCCTTTCTTTGACTCGGAAAGGGAAGTTCTTGACCCCTCGCGCTTCCCAGGTGAGGCAATGCCTCGCCCTGCTTCGGCTCGCGCACGGTGCGCGCACCCACTGACCTGCGCCCACTGTCTGGCACTCCCTAGTGAGATGAACCCAGTACCTCAGATGGAAATGCAGAAATCACCCGTCTTCTGCGTCGCTCACGCTGGGAGCTGTAGACCAGAGCTGTTCCTATTCGGCCATCTTGGCTCCTCCCCCCAAGATATAGTTTTAAATACCAATCATGGACCAAGGTGAGCAATCAGATTGAGTCATTGCTTGGGAGATACAAAATAAATTCAGTTATATTGGAGATATCTGCTAGGAAGAAATTCCCTTCACCTTCTTCCCAAAGATTCTAAAGTAATTCAAAGGAAATCAGCCAGTCTAGCAATAACCTTGATGTCACATGAGAATAACTGGTATCTATAATGAGAAGCTTTGAATCATGGAGTTATCTGTTTCTCAGTATAAGCTTATTTTTAGTATAATTTATCCAAATTCTAAATAGGATTTCATAAAACTTTGGGTTCCATAATACGTAGCCTAAAAATTACCATTTTTTTTTAATATCACTTGAGTCTGCCTCAGGGCCTAGCACCATGGTATCGTATTCATGTAGGATGCCTTCAAAATCTGTTAGTTTATTTAATAAACTCATGAGTACTGCTGCTAGAGATAAGAAGATCGGTGAAAGACCCAAACCTCTTCCATTTAGGAGCTGATATGGCTAGGCTTTGTGTCCACACCCATGTCTCATCTTGAATTGTAATCCTCATAATCCCCACGTGTGAAGGGAGAGACCAGGTGGAGGTAATTGAATCATGGGGGCAGTTTCCCCCATGCTGTTCTCGTGATCCCCCTTTGCTCAGCACTTCTTCCTTCTGTCTTGTGAAGAAAGTGCCTTGCTTCCCCATCGCCTTTCACCGTGACTGTAAGTTTCCTGCGGCCTCCCCAGCCATGCTGAACTGTGAATCAGTTAAACCTCTTTCCTTTGTAAATTACTCAGTCTCGGGCAGTTTTTTGTAGCAGTGTGAGAACGGACTAATACAGCAGTTCAATCTAGTAATAAAAGATTATATGTGCACACACACACATCTGCAAACATATACGGTATATATATACAAACAAATAATTTTTATTAGATGTTAAGTGATATAGTAGGAAGTTCTATGTAAGTAAATAACAATCTAGTATTCAGCAAAAATGTGGACAAGGAAGTGACATTTAATTTTTTTAATTTTTTTTTTTTTTTTTTTTTTTTTTTTAGTGACGAGGGCTCACTATGTTGCCCAGGCTGGATTTTAACTCCTGGGCTCAAGTGATCCTCTCACCCTGACCTCCCGAGTAGCTGGGACTCCAGGCGTGATTTACCATGCCTGGTTTAGAAGTGACATTTTAGATGAATCATGTGTAAGGAGAAATTAATGAAGATACTTCAGATAGGTATTTCAAAGAATGGCTATTTTTATTTTTATTCTATACCTAATTTAGTCTAACAGAATTTCTGTATATATATGTGCAAAACTTTTGGAGAATATAATTTAGTTTCAGAACATCAGGAAGATGAGATATAAAACTTTTTTATAGATGTTGCTCTAAAATAGAGCATGTTACTACAGACTGTGTGTTCCTCTTTTAGAGTATTTTGTAAAGGTGCTGTTTTATAGCTCATAAAAGTGAAAGCTGTTTTAAGCAGTTAGCATTGTGCACCATTATGGCTGTTGATGTTCCTGTTGCCCAATTTTTCTCTTATTCACCTCACTTTATGCTCAATGATTCTTAACCTGCCGCATGGTCTGTATCTTAGATTTGGAGCATAGATTATAGATTTGAAAGAAAGAGGTCAGAATCTTTTATAATAATATACTTAAATACCCTTGTGTCATAAGAGAGGAACCAAACTCCAGAGATGTAAAAGATTAATTTCTTGTTTATTTAGAGAAAGGCGATACACTTCTGCTTTATCACTAGAATGTGTCTTTATGCCTGTTGACAAACCTGAGGATCACATCAATGGGTAATCTTGCCTATGATTACGTAGAACGTTAATGGGACAACCCATATTAAAACTGTTGACTCTTAACCACTGTAACCACTGTTCAGTACTTAGCCAAGAAAAGCTGCACATTGAAAAGTCTTTTTCAGGTTTCTTCACATTTTGATGTTGAAGCCTAGTTGCTGAAGTCAGCTAGATTGAAAGGTTAGAGTCAGGTGGATTCTATTTATCCCTGAATGAAAGAATTACTGGGTGAGATCACCAAGCAAACCATTGTGGCCACAAACAGATGCCCTATTTTCCAGTAACTCTTTGGGCAGCAGGGGCACAAAAGTAAAAAGGCAGAGGGCAGTGGTGTGAGTAGAACAATAAAGTAGGTATTGATACTGCAAGGTGAGCAGTACTGTAAAATTGTTTTGATTATACATGGTGGGGGCATCAGTGATGTCTTCCCCCAGAAGAGGACAGTTAAATTCAATTTTGCTATTGGCATGACTTAAAGAAGTGTTAATGCCTCTGCAGCATCTATCTCTTAGGCTTTTGAAGTATGTATGTGGCCTTTTCTGGCTCTATGCTGATAAGTTCTCCCCAACACCAAGATTCCAAGTCTCAGTTGACAGAGTATGGTTTACAGTTATTGGTTTAGAACCATTAGAAATAATCAAACTTCTGCATCTACTACAGGTGTCAGATGTCAGTGATAAAATCATTTAATGAAAAGTGGTTGGCTTTCTTAGGAAAAAGAGATCAGCTCTGGAATTTGGTAAACCTGATTTGATTTAAATCCTGCTCCTGTAGTGTGTGACCATGGATAAAGCAGGTAATCTCTGTGAAACACTAGTTTTGTAGATTAAATGAGATTATGTTTATGAAGCTCTTAGCACAGTGCCTGATATATACTCAGTACTGTGTTAACTGCTTTTATTAATAAAATGAGCTTGTGTTTGTAATTGCAAAAATGTAATGGTTACCACGTTACCTTTGATACTAAGTTTGTGCCTCAAATAGTGGGGAAAATGTTCTGTTTAAGTTTATGTAAGATTTATAATATTTCAAGTAGTAACCATAAATTTAAACCATGTGAAGAAACAAGAATTAACATTCTTATTTTGGTGATAGATATTAAAACAGTGTTTTTTTTAAGAAATCCACCAAGAATTTACCAGTAGAGTTCTTAAGTGTGTGATCAGGATGTTTAGTGTTTGATTATTTGTATGTACCTTCTCCAGGACTTGGAAATCTATACGCTTTGTTTGCGTCTTTATTTCATCACATATGGAAGCTGAGAAGTTTTTGATAAAGGACTTTTTGTCTCATTGATATTTTTCAGATTTTTATCTGTTGAAGGATAGCCAATATAATTCCTCAACTACGAATTTTTAAAAATATCTGGGCCGGGTGTGGTGGCTCACACTTGTAATCCCAGCACTTTGGGAGGCTGAGATGGGCGGATCACGAGGTCAGGAGTTCGAGACCAGCCTAGCCAACATGGTGAAACCGCATCTCCAATAAAAATACAAAAATTAGCTGGGCACGGTGGTGCGCACCTGTAGTCCCAGCTACTTGGGAGGCTGAGACAGGAGAATCACTTGAACCTGGGAGGCAGAGGTTGTAGCGAGCTGAGATCAAGCCACTGCACTCCAGCCTGGGCAACAGAGCAGACTCCATTTCAAAAAAAAAAAAAAAAATATATCTATCTTTAAGGATTTATTTTCAGACTTTTTTTTTCCTGTTTTCAGGCATATTGGGTTTCTATTTAATCATAAATCATCAACTGTGTTCCTATTTAATCATAAATCAAGCCGCATTCCCTGGATTCAAAGAGTTTACGCTCTGAGATGGTCAGGATTGTTAGAGATAAATAGAGGATAATGTAAGGATAATATTTTATAGACTATGAAGATAAAATAGGGCTGGGCACAGTGGCTCATGCCTGTAATCCCAGCACTTTGGGAGGCCGAGGGGGGCGGATCATGAGGTCCAGAGATCGAGACCATTCTGGCCAACATGGTGAAACCCCATCTCTACTAAAAGTACAAAAATTAGCTGGGCGTGGTAGCGTGAGCCTATAGTCCCAGCTACTCTGGAGGCTGAGGGAGGAGAATCGCTTGAACCCAGGAGATGGAAGTTGCAGTGAGCTGAGATCGCGCCACTGCACTCCAGCCTGGCGACAGAGTGAGACTCTGTCTCAAAAAGAAAAAAAAAAAAAGATAAATAAATGACCATATTCCATTGGAATGCCATCACTTTTTAAAAAGTGAGTGGAGGCCAGGTGTGGTGGCTCACGCATGTAATCCCAGCACTTTGGGAGGCCGAGGCAGCCTGATCACGAGGTCAGGAGTTCAAGACCAGCCAGGCCACCATGGTGAAACCCTGTCTGTACTTAAAATACAAAAATTAGCTGGGCGTGGTGTTGCATGCCTTTAGTCCCAGCTACTTAGGAGGCTGAGGCAGGAGAATCGCTTGAACCTGGGTGGCAGAGGTTGCAGTGAGCCGAGATCACACCACTGCACTCCAGCCTGGGTGACAGAGCAAGAGTCTGTCAAAAAAAAAAAAAAAAAAAAAAAAGCAAGTGGAATTTTTGTTAATGCCTTACCAGAAGGGAATGATTTCAAATAGTCGTCTGCATTTTATGACAGCTAGGTGTTGATATTACATAAGATCATAATCTTACTTTTATCAGTCTTGAAGTGACTCACTGTTCAATTTGGGGACACTGGTTTGAAAGGTCCTCTTCAGTTATAAGGCATGAAAATACCATGGTGGTTTTGGGTTTTGATTAAAAATAGCATGTACTGATTTCTGTGTAGGTGTACTTACCATATTTGTTTATATTTATTCAGTGTTGGTATTGCCTTTATTTCTAGCAAATATTTCTTAAGAGTATTTTTGCCTTGTTTATGTTGTAAAACACAGAAACAACAAAACTGAATGTACAAATTTATGCACAATTTATAATGTTAAATAAGGTATTCATTTTAGAAAATAATATGACAGATTGCTTTTTTCTTTGATTTTATGTATCTTCTGATAAATTAGTGCCCTGAGATCAAATAAAAATTTGTTTTCATCATCTTAATGCTCATGCTCAAAACTAATATAGATACAAAAAATGAATACATTTCAGAAATTTGGACAGTTAGTAGAAATTAAAATACACCAGTAGCTAACATGCTTATAACATTTTGCTATTTATAGAACCAGTATGTCCTTTTGATTCCACTGCCAATATGATAAGGGAATGTTACTGTCTCAGAGAGCTTACTTGACTTGCCTGTATCATAGCATTTTGATATCACTAAGACGTTTGTTTGGCTCTAGATTCCATGTTCTTTCTATATTCCTCAAGGAAGTGTCTTGATTTTAAAATTATTGTCATGAATATTGGGCTTATGATATCACAGAATTAAGTTATATGACATTCCATTGCATTTTGGAAAAGAAAACAGAGAGAAATTATGCTAGCATTCTTATGTTAATAGTTAGAAATGACAGCTGTGGAGAAACGTTAGGACCTATGGAAGTAAAAGTAATTGTAGGATCCAAGTTAAGTAAAAGCCAATTGCCATATTCACATTCTGAACACAAATTCAAGGAACTCTACCAGATTCAGAATTTTAAATAAAAAGAAAAAGAAAAAAAGAAAATGAACCTAAACACCCTTGGTAGTCATTTTTATTTCAGTGATGATAAACTAACACACCTTTTAAAGATTATGATAAACTACACAGATGGGCTTTAATTCCCTTAAACAGAATTTCGCTGAACTGATTTCAGCTACAGGGGATTTGCGGATGTATTCAACAGTCAATGAACATAAACATTTTATTTGGCTGGAGAGGGCAGAGAGGTTTTTCTGTAGAAAGGAGTGTGGGGATATGCTCTTTATTTGTAGACTGAGGAAAATTTCATGTTACTGTTTGTTTTAATCCAGAAAAAATTGAGGAAACACAAAGTACTGCTCAAAGTTTTTAATTGTCTTTAATTCAGCAAGACTCATTTGCAGCCAGTGTAGAACAATGCCTATAGAATTATTCAGAAATGATTTTTTCTTGTTCTGTCAGCCCTAGGAACGATAATAACATCTCTGTAACTATTACAAATATTGATAGTTTGCACTTTTAAGAGGTAAATTTTCTTACCTAGAAGTCTACGAAGAGTTCTTTTTTAAATCATAGCCTGTCCTAAATCAAAGTGAGGCAACTATTAACTTTCTGTGTTGAAAGAGAGAAGTGGGAAGTATGAAGGCAAGCTCCAGGAGTCTGACTTAATGTGTGACCATTCCCACCCCCTGGGGCTGTGCCCTGTGGATCTATTTTGAGCTGCCAGACTCAAAAGTAAATAATTTTATTTAGCATCTTCTTTATATACTGGTTTGAACCTTAACTTTGTAAGTTAAAAAAATGACATTGCAAGCAGTTTATCCTCTTAACTGATTTTATATTCATATACTTTGACTATTGTCCTTGAAATCATAGGATGAATCTTAGAGATTTTAAACATATTACTGTTCTGCCTAGAAAATAATAAAACTACATTTTACAGAAAAAAGCTCTTAGATTTATTAACGTTGCTCATCAAGGAGCTATTGCAGAATAATCTGAAGAGCTTTTCCACAAATTTCTCCAGATAATTTGATTGGATATTTTTATACAAAATGCTTTTAAAAGACTCTAAACTCTGATATTAAATTGGAAGCAAGTTTACAATAGGACCTGAACATATAAAAACATTTTTTTTATGTTCAAGCAATATTTTGGATAGTTCTTACAATAAACATAATAAATGCTTTTTTAATGAATAATTCTGATTTGGAATAATGTAGCATCTAGTGCTGCATACAGTTGGATCATAGCAAATGATTATTTTGTCTGGGAGCCTTTTTTACAATTTTAAGTATAAATTTAATATTCCTCATAATTTAGAATAATTTTAATAATTTAGAATGATTTTTATTTCCCCAGAAGAATTGGTTTGCATTATGTGTAACAGCAGCAGAGTTGTTGAATCTGAAAATAAGAATGCATTTGAGTAGTAAAAAATCAGCCATGGAGTTTATGTGAGACCAAATTATACCACTAATTTTGGCTTAATATTTTCCCTCATCTGTAAATGAATGAGTTGGGCTAGATTTCAGCTCTAAAATTTTATGAATGTTTTTGTAGTTATAAAGAAGAATATGTGGACTCTAATTGTATGCTCCTTTATCACCCTTTTTAAAATTCTCTGATCCATTACAATCAGACTTCATACTCATCACTACATTAAAATCAGTCATTCATTCAAAGTTCAACAGTGCCACTGGAATTAACGAGTCCAGTTGTGTTTCTTCAGCACCAGATCAGCAGAATCTGATCAGTTTTTGACAACTTCCTGGCTGATTTTTTGAAAAAATTTAAGTCTCTTTATGACATTGAATGGCATTGAAGGCCCTTAACAGTTTAAGCTAAGCTTTCTCTTTTGCTCTTAGCTCTGGTAGCAAAACGCTTTTCTTTCCCATACTATGCCAGGTGCGTGTATACTTACCTCCCATTGCTCACAGTGTTCACTTTACCTGGAAACAACCAGAATCCAACTTTCTCTGGCCCAGATTTACCTGAGCTTCATGGAATTAGAGATTTAGGCTCAGGGTTTATAAGTAATTTAAAAACAGATGCAGCCAGGATTTTACCTTAGGTCTTACTGATTTACTGTGTGATCCCCAAATATCTGAGACAGGTCTCAGTCATTTTAGAAAGTGTATTTTGCCAGGGTTAAGGATGTACCTGTGACATAGCCTCAGGAGGTCCTGAGAACATGTGCCCAAGGTGGTCGGGATACAGCTTACTTTTATACATTTTGGGGAGACATGAGTGCCAATGTGACACTCAAGGAAATGCTCATTGGACCATTTTGGGTTTTGCATTTTTGGATTAGGGATGCTGAACCAGTGTAATGCAAATATTCCAAAATTCGAGAAAATTTGAAATCCTAAACACTTCCGATCCCAAGCATTTTGGATAACAGATATTTAGCCCGTTACTGTATCCTAGCATAAATTGTGAGATTCCTAGAAAGCAGTAGTGCCCTGAAGAACACAGGTAAACAGTTTTCCAAACAAACTAAAAGGAAAAGAGCATAATTGATTCTTTGGTGAGAGGTACACTTTCATATGATGTAAGAAGTGAACTTTGCCAGGCGCGGTGGCTCACACCTGTAATCCCAGCACTTTGGGAGGCCGAGGTGGGTGGATCACCTGAGGTCGGAAGTTCGAGACCAGCCTGACCAACATAGAGAAACCCCGTCTCTACTAAAAATACAAAATTAGCCAGACATGGTAGCACATTCCCATAATCCCAGCTACTCGGGAGGTTGAGGCAGGAGAATCACTTGAACCTGAGAGGCGGAGGTTGCAGTGAGCCAAGATAGAGCCATTACACTCCAGCCTGGGCAGCTAGAGTGAAACTCTGTCTAAAAAAAAAAAATAAATGAAAATAAAGAAGTGAACT
Source organism: Homo sapiens (assembly GCF_000001405.40). Lineage (NCBI taxonomy): Eukaryota > Metazoa > Chordata > Mammalia > Primates > Hominidae > Homo > Homo sapiens. The sequence continues at coordinate 45,167,793 of NC_000006.12, read as the reverse complement.
TCTTTTGCCAGTATCGGAGTCAAAACTTGAGTGAAGATATTGCTGTGTTTCATCAAAGTTAAGTAAATATTTCTCTCAATGTTTTTCATCCTCTAAATTTTCCTTATTCCAGCTAGAAAAAAAAAAACAGCCAAAATCACAAGTGTCTTGTGTCCTAGAAGTTTTCATTGAGTGAAATTCCTAAGATAAAAAATGTTGAGTTTGATCAAAAGATACAGATGATCAAAACATTAATTATGAAGCAGAAAACATAACACATAAGCAAAGACAGAAAAAGGTTGAGAAAAATTGGCCTTCAATTGGCCTTACTACCAAAAATTACTTCAAAAAGGTTTCTTAATATGACTTCATCTTAATCTCTCACATAGGGATTAGAATTCTAGCAACTTCACAGGAAAGATAAGTGCTTAGTTATCATTTAGTAAGCCCATTCAGAGCAGTGGAGCCAGGTGTAAAGTTCCAAGAGAAATTCCAGGAGACCATCAGACTTTGGTATACTTGGAAAGCATTCTTCCGGTTGCTATCACTTCTTTTCCTCTTTGTTCTTGCCATGCATTAGGTTAAAGTGAGAGGAAACCAATGACTTTGGCTAGCTTTTATAGTACCTACACTTCTGTCCATTAAGCCCTTAGCCCATTTGAGGAATCCTACCCAGGAGCACTCTTATATTACAAGATTGTGTCTTTTCAGAGATCTTAATGTGCTCCTGGCAATTCAAAGTTAAGGCTTTTTATTAAAAAATTATTTGATTACTTTATTGGGTGTATATGTATAAGAGTGGAATTGGAATTGCTTGGTCATGTAGTGTATGTTTACTGTTTAAAAAACTGCCAAAGTGTTTTCCAAAGTGGGGTACAACTTTACTTCCCTGCAAGCAATGCATGAGAGTTCTAGTTACTCATATCTTCGTCAACACTTGCTCTTGTCAGTCTTTTAACTTTTAGCCATTCTAGTGGGTATGTAATGGTGTGTAAGTGTTGTTTTAATTTGCATTCCCTAATGACTAATCATGTTGGACATCTTTTCATGTCCCTCTTAGCCATTCAGATATCTTCATTTTTGAAGTGTTTATTCAAATCCTAAACTCAGTTTTTATTTTTGGGGATTTTGCTTTTTGTTTTATCCTTTTACTGAGTCGTGATATTACTCTTCTCTTTTCTCTACTTTTTCTCCCTCCTTTTCTCTCCCCTCTTTTTTTTTTTTTTTTTTTGGATGGAGTCTTGCTCTGTCGCCCAGGCTGGAGTGCAGTGGCCCAATCTCTGCTCACTGCAAGCTCTGCCTCCTGGGTTCACGCCATTCTCCTGCCTCAGCCTCCCGAGTAGCTGGGACTATAGCCACCTGCCACTATGCCTAATTTTTTGTATTTTTTAGTAGAGACGGGGTTTCACTGTGTTAGCCAGGATGGTCTTAATCTCCTGACCTCGTGATCCTCCCGCCTTGGCCTCCTAAAGTGCTAGGATTACAGGTGTGAGCCATCGCACCTGGCCCTCTCCCTGCTTTTTGAGACAGAGTCTCACTATGTCACCCAGGCTGAAGTACAGCAGTGCAATCACGCTCACTGCAGCCATAAGCTCCCAGATGCAAGCCATCTTGTCACCTCAGCTTCTTAAGTAGCTGGGACCACAAGCGTGTGCCACCACCTCCAGCTAATTTTTAAATTTTTTGTAGAGATGACATCTCCCTGTGTTACCTTGGCTGGTCTTGAATTCCTGGGCTCAAGTGATTCTCCTGCCTTGGCTTCCCAAAGTGCTAGGATTGCAGGCGTGAGCCACTGTGCCTGGCCTACATTTCATTATTTAGTCTAGATTTATTTATTTAGTCTAGATACACGTCTTTTATCAGGTATGTGTTTTACATATATTTTCCTCCAATATGCATCTTATTTCTTCTCTTTCTGGGATTACAGTTTTACCTATGTTAGATCATTTAGTATTTTCTCACAGCTCTTGTGTTCTCTGTTCCCTTTCTTTCAGTCTTTTTTTTCCCCTTTGTTTATCGGTTTAGATCACTTTTGTTCACTTGTCTTTATGTTTTTGGATTCTTCCTTTAGCTATGTCCTTACCGTTAATAAGGTCATCTAATGAATTTATCTCTGATATTCTGTTTTTTATTCTTAGCGCTTTCATTTGATATTTTTTGTATGTTTTGTTTCTCATTTGCAATCCTTCTTCTCTGCATATTGGGCCTTTTTCCACTAGGACCTTTAACATATTAATACTAGTTAATTTAAAGCATTTATACAATATTTCCAACATCTGGATTATCTCTGATACTAGATTTGTTGATAACTTTATCTTTTGGTAATGGTTGTATTTTTGCGTTTCATAATTTTTTATTTGGAAATGCTGGATAATGCTTTTAAATGAACAGTATAGATTGTGCTAAAGAGTGTTTACTCCTGGAAATAGGCACATTTCTTCTGCTAACTGAGTGGTAGAGTCAATCAGTAGTTGAGCTATTTTGGATTTTGGTGTTGCTACATTCATTTTTAGTACACCAGGCTTCAGTCTTCTCCAGTAGAAAATAATGTTACCTTGTGCTTAGTATGGGCTCTCTGGTACTGGTGGTTTTTCTCAGTGTTCCAGCTCTTTTAGGATAGCTTTCATCAGTGCCTGTAGGGTTGCACCACAGACAGGGAATTTCTCTCTGTGCTCTTGCTCTTCCCCTAGCAGTAAACTGCTGTTCCTTGTTATTGGATGTGAGCCTTGCAGTGGGGACAGAATGGAAATTTCTTAGTTCTCAACCTTAATCTTAGGTGGGCCCTGCATACATGTGCCTTGGGGGTGTGACCTTCTCTGTGTATGTGCCTTACCCTCCTATGCAATCAAACTTTGCCTTGTATCTTTGGGGTCTTGGGCTTTAGATGACTTCTGCTAAAGTCTTGACCCAAAGTTTCATGCTTCTTCTCTGGTGGCTTAAACTTTTGTTTGGTATGAGAGAACAGTTATTGTGGATCTCTACATCCTGAAGTAGAAGCAGAACTTCCGAAAAATTTTACTATACTTTTTAAAATATGAAAAAAGTGGGATGAATTTTTATGACAAAATATAAGTTCACAAAGAAATACCTATTTATAGCAAGCTGCTTTGTGAAACACTCCTCAGACTTTCTGGTATACATGGTTGTCTTCTCTGACCTTAGGGGAACTTTTGTGGAAACTTTGAGAAGTACTGAGGCTTAGGCCAAGCAAAAAACAAAGGCGGAAAAACCCACCTTAAAACACTGGTGAGTCATCAGTGAGGCAGACACTTGTAGGTTGACTAACGAAGCACTCATTCCCTAACACCTCTCCTGTCTACCTGTATAAAGGAGACTGGAAAAGCTAAATACAGTCAATTTTTGTAATTCTTGGTAGTTAGATTCTGTAAAGTCACCATGATGACTGAATTAGCAAATTCTCAACTATTGCTCCTAAGGAAAATATGAACAAACACACATACACCCACACATTTCATGTAGGCTATATAATCTTAATCCTGAAAACTACTCATCCTGGTAGAGTCTCTCTTTATTTAACAAAAGAGAAACTGAGGTTCAGAGTGTTAACTGACTTTTTGATGCCCCATGAATAGGTCCCAGATTTGGGATTCAAACTCGTTCAGCTGGTTCTAGAGCTGGAGCTACTTGAACTACACTGCACTGCCCCCCACAGCTCTGTCCTCTGGTGGGCATCTCTGTGTGAGAGCTGAAACAAGAAGGCAGAGTGTCTCCCTGTTAGACCTTAGCTGGGAATATGTGTATCAGCTACTCAGATTTTTCACTGCTCTACATGTTTGTTAATGATCATGAAAACACAGCAAGTACTGATTTTGGGGTTACAAGTAAATTTTGGTGAGTAGGCTGATTCACAAATACGGGATTGCAAATAATAAGGATCAACTATTTACTTTTTAAATCTCCCTAATAATTAGGGGTAGGTATGTGACAGAGTTCTTCTGGTTAAAGGTAAGTAATTAAATGCATGCTGAGGACCTCTTGCTTTTTTTTTTTTTTTATAAAAGTGACAAGTGGTGGTGCATCACCCTTTTCTTTCTGATTTAATGTTGATTTGAGTTGAAAAGTATGGCAGTGATCCTCTGACAACAAGGTAACAAGTATAAACATGAAAAGCAGGGCTGTAAGGTAAAAAGATAGTGGTCCTTGGTTATAGCAATGAGCAGCTAAACCCATCCTAGCAACCACCTACTGACAGTCATTTTAATTGAGAAAAATAACTACCTACATATTTAAGCTGCTGTTGGTTAAGCTTACTGTTATTTGGAAAAGAATGATTTCCAATTGACATAGCCAATAATCCAGCTTTTACGTAAGTTTTTTTAAAAATAGAAAGTTAATGTATTTACTGGCAGTTGATTATGCTCACTACTTTACATATGTAATACTTATGTACTATATTAGATAGAAGATTATTTTAACTGGCTGTATTCTTGGCCAGATTTAGGTAACAGTAAATTACCTAAATGCTAAGTTAAGTGCGGTATTGTAGTGCATTTCTTTTGATAATCACAATTAACAATGCAATTAGCAGTGAAATGAATTGTACCAACTTGAGCTTTGTCTTTCATGACATTATTACTTTGAGTCATTAGTAATGCAATGCAAAGCTTTTTAAGTTGTTTCCAGTTATCTGCAGTTCACCTAGAAAGTCTGGAAATACAGAAACTAGTGCTCAAGAATTCCATATTGCTCACTAATGTTTTAGATATGTAATCTCCCCACTTCTCTTGCAATATATATGTTGTTCTGTAATTTCATAGGCCAGCAAAAGATCTTTGAACATCAGTTGTTCTTGTGCTCTATCAAAACAAGAAAATAATTGTCACTTCACACCCTACAGATCTCCAGGGATGCAGACAGTCTTTGGAATATACTCTAGTCTTTAACTTCTTGAGTGATCAAATAATCTTATATTTAAGTGAAGTTTCTCCTTATATTTGAAGTCATTTTCCCCCATTTGATCTTCATTGATTATAGACAGTTCATTATTCTTATCATGAAAATAATTTATATATTATCTATCACTATGAACAAGCATCGTTACTCTTAGAAAAGAATGAGCATTTTAAGGGACTTGAAGTCTCTTCTTGGCTGTCTCCCTTGAACTACCTGGAGAAGACATCTCATAGCGTTGTAAACACTTTAAGGTTAGGTACCGCCTCTTACCTTTATATCCTCAGCTGTTAGCACATGGCCTTAAATAGGGAGTTTTATACCCATTTGTTGAGTCTAATTATCTTTAATTTGTATATAATGTTTTGGTTTTTGTTTTAGAGTTGAGGTTTTGCACTGTTGCCCAGGCTGGAATGCAGTGGCATGATCTTGGCTCACTGGAGCCTCAAACCTCTGGGCTTAAGTATTCCTCCTGCCTCAGTCTCCTGAGTAGCTGGGACTATAGGTGCACACCACCCCAGCTGGCTAAGAGTTTTTATTTTTGTAGAGAAGGGATCTTGCTATGTTGCCCAGGCCTGCCTCAAACTCCTGCCCTCAAGCAATCCTCCCTGCCTTGTCCTACTGAGTCACTGGGATTACAAGCACTACACCTGGCTCTTTCTTCTTCTTCTTCTTCTTTTTTTAATGAGTCTCATTAATTTGTAGCAAGTCATATAACACTGAATTAATCTGGCAATTATATGATCATTGGTAAATCTATGGGGCAAAGACCTGCCTGTCAGGTTGGGGAATGTGAAAAATATCCATACCCTTGAAAGCAAACTGTGGCATTACCTTTGTCAGTTCCATGTTTTTGTTTTTGTTTTTTTTTAAACATGTTCTGAAGAGTTATACACATTCCTATGTATTTGTTGGAATGCTGTGGTTGTCATTGTCTTTATTTAGTACGTGTTACATTTAAGACACTGCCTAAGATACAAAACAACAGGCATCATCCTTCATCTCCTGGTTTTACTGTTTTGTTGAGTGATAAAGACATTTGAATTAAATAGTACAGAAATAGTGTGTAAAATAGTGTTTAAATTAAGCCATATAAAATAAAATGTCTACTTGTGTGATGCTGAAAAAATTCGAGAGAAGAATAATATAGTAGGTCTTTATTAATCAAATGTTTATTGGGTGTCAGTTGTGATTAAAGCACCAAGACAGGCTTTGTGTGTGTGTTGAGTGGTCAGCAGCTTTACGGTATGGAGGGAGGGTCAAAGTCAAATAAGACACTATTCATGCCTTCAAGGAGCTCTGACTTCATGTACAGTGGCCTTTAGCAGTAATGGTACTTCCAAAAGTGCTTTTGAAAAAAATGCAGTTTATGAGAGTCTCACACAATTTGTTGTAGAGAAGAGAAAATGCAATAAGAGTTCAGAGAGTAGAGATATTTTTCTAGTGTCCATACTCTCAAGAGACTTCTGTTATAGAAAAGTATTGCCCTACGTAGAGATCAGATCTCCTGAGGTAGGTGCAGTCAATTGAAAGTTTATAATGTGGCTGTGAACTATTCTTTTGGGGCTCAGGAGTCACCTTTATAGTCAGGCCCAGGTAATGCTTCCTTCTGGACACAAGAGTTCATCAGATAAACATTACTGTGTTAGTCTGTTCTTGTGTTGCTATAAAGAAATACCTGAGACTGGGTAATTTATAAGAAAAGAGGTTTAATGGACTCACAGTTCTACAGGCTGTACAGGAAGCATGGTGCTGGCATCTGCTTCTGGGGAAACCTCAGAAAGCTTACAAATCATGGCAGAAGGTAAAGGGGGAGCAGGTGTCTCATGGAATGAGCAGAAGCAAGAGAGAGTGTTGGGGGAACACACTTAAACAACCAGAGCTCCTGAGAATGAACTCACTATTTCAAGGACAGCACTAAGCCATGAGGGATCCGCCCCCATGACCCAAACACCTCCCACTAGGCCCACACTCCAACACTGCAGATTTTATCTCAACATGAAATTTGGAGGGAACATTCAAACTTATCAATTACCTGTTTCAGAGGCAGGAAAATTTTGTGGTGTAGTTAAAGGATTTTATAGGGGGAGATTCATATCAAGACCTAGAATGGAAACTTTGGGTATCCATATTTTTTCTTGTATAACAAATTTTTGTATTGCCTACATATTGTATTTCTTTTGTGTCTATGAGTAGTTTTACTGTGTTCATTAATTTTTTTCCTTTGTACTTTACTTTTTTACTCTACCTTCCTCACTTAAATTTACAAATTTTATGGATTTTTTTTTTGTTTCAATTCAGTATGCATTTCAGGCCTTTTGGAAACTCACCGTAATTCACTTATATATAAAAAATGTTTTTCCCAGCTAAAACAATATTTTTAGTTTCAGGTTTTGCTATGCTTGCAGAATCTGTGTGTGTCGTGCTCATTCATTTCTATGGAAAATCTCTTTATATCTTGACTGTGGATGTAGTACTTACGTCTTTGGTCATCTAATTTTAGACTGATTTTCAAGAAAACATTTGGTCATGCATTTATTTTGTCCTCTACATTGAAGCACTACTGTTATACGACTACTGTGAATACTTGCTGTAGATCTTTTTGTAAGTCCCTTTTAATATTCCAGAAACTTTAACTGCCTTGTTTGAAGACCTGCCTCATATTAACAATTTTTCAAAATAAACAACATTTTAGTGAGTTTGTATTTCTTTGACAAGAACTTGAATGTGAGTCTTAGCCTGCCAAATGGCTATTTAAGAGAAACATTTCGGTATCCTTGTTAATGACCTTGGCTTTAACCATTTGAGAGGTACATGCTATGCTTTATATTAGTTCTTCTGGTACCTACTTTGCAATACTATTTTAAAGTTCTATTTTATTTCTCTGATGACTGTACCATAAATTAATTATTTGAACCCAGATTTTTGTTAGTTTATAACTCGCATTAATTTTTGGGATTGTGGACTATGTTGTGTTATTTGGGTATATGTAGGTGTGGGTGTGTTTTAACTGTGACTTCTGGTCTTCAAGAAAAAAGCTCAGACCAATAATTGTTTTTGAAAAATTCCTGACATAACTGAACTGTAATTTATTAATATTTTACTTTTACATTTTGGAAACAAAATAAAGAGCAAGAACAACCAACAAACCAAAAAAGTAATAAGGAGAAGCTAACTAAACGTGGATCTTGTTGTAGTAGCTAAACAAAGAAAGGAATTTGAACACTTTAAACATGAGAAATTTATGATAGAGTTGTGTAGCAAGTACACATTTATAATTTATTTAAAACAGGATCTCTGACTGTTCAGAAACTATGTAGATGAATTGTGAGTTATGGGTGAATCTACATGGTTCTTGCTGGCCTCCATGACTGAAGAAAGCTTGATGTTTAGATATTGGGTGAGGCTATTGATGGCTCTAGATCCAAGGATGACAACCTGTCTCTCCGTAAACCCTTTCTCTGGGATGACTATTTTGATCTGTGCCTGAGATAACTGATCATGCTAATTGATTTTGAAGCCTAGAGGCCTAATTAGGCAGCCAATTAAGTAATTTCGAATAGTGACTTCATGATAAGTAATTTGAGCCAGTTACGTTCAGGTGTGCCCAGTAACAATCTTTCACCTCTGTAGAGGTGGAATCAATGTCATTGAATCCCATATTGCATCATTGGAAAATGGGTCTGCTGCATTGACAGTAAGTTAAGTACAGCTTGATCAAATCTGGTCAGTTCAATAGGATATTGTGCTTGAAGAGCAGAGGCTTGACAACCTACGAAGAAAGGTGACTGGAGAACTGAACATCTTGGTCATCCCCTTCAGTGGGGAGGAGAGAATGGGAATGTAGGGACTGGATTCTAACACAACTGCATAGGTCATCCTGACATACTACATTATGGATTTTAGAATGCAGCAGTGATGAACACTCAGTCAAATTGAAATGTGTCTTCCTTGCCATTGGATTTGAGTCCTTTTGCTCTGATTTTTTTGATCTTGTAACCACACTTTCTGATGAGATAGCCCCACTGACCAGCAAGGACCACCTACCTCAGGGTGACTAGTAGTAGTGGAGTGTCTTGTTTTCCCATTACCTACATATTCTTGGTAACAGATGCTATAGAATGTGTTCATATCAGGATATGACCTCTGGTTCTGCACCATCATAGTATAAAATAGGTGAGTGAGTAGGGTGGGCAATAGGAATATTTCTGGAAGCCATTCCTATACTCTGACAGCTAGCGATAACCATACAAGGAAGTGGCTGGGTATGTCTCACCCCAAATCAAAGGTATCCCCAAGTCATCCCTTCCTTAGCAGGATTCCAAAAATGTCTGATCTAGAAGAGTGTTATCCTGTGTAGAGTTCAGATGTTTTGAGGTTGGTGGAGTCAACCCAGAACTTAGAACGTGGCTGTGAACTAGTGTTCCTTCTTCTAGGGCCCAAGATTTACTTTTATTGCCAGTCGTAGGTATGCTTCCTTCTGGACACTACAGTTTATCAAGTTGAACATTACCCTATTTCAGTTGCAGTGAGCCGAGATAGTGCCACTACATTCCAGCTTGGGTGACATAGTGAGACTCCATCTCAAAAAAAAAAAAAAAAAAATATATATATATATATATATATATGTATATTTATATATATAAAATATAGGCATTATCTATCTATCTATCTATCTATCTATCTATCTATCTATCTATCTCTATGGTTTCTACCCAGACCAATTAAATGATTGTAGATCAGAGTCAGGGAAGAAGTGACTCTGTTAGGGGTTGAATTTATAAAATAATTATATAATATATATTAGTATATAAATATATTAATTATAAATTATAATAATTTATAAATAAATTATAAATGTGATTCTTTTTTAAATCCCCTAGAGCATGGATGGGTCATGTTGAGGAGTTATAATTACGTATTATTAATAATTACTATAATTACAGAAATTATAAGTTTAGATATATAGTTTTTAGAATGCTGATCATGATCTATAACGATTCTCATCCTTGGCTACACATTAAAATTACCTAAAAAGCTTTTTAAAAATATAATGCTGGCCGGGTGCGGTGGCTCACTCCTGTAATCCCAGCACTTGGGAGGCCGAGGCAGGCGGATCACGAGGTCAGGAGTTTGAGACCAGCCTTACCAACATGGTGAAACCCTGTCTCTACTAAAAATACAAAAATTAGCCGGGCATGGTGGTGCGCGCCTGTAATCCCAGCTGCTCAGGAGGCTGAGGCAGGAGAATAGCTTCAACCCGGGAGCTGGAGGTTGCAGTGAGCTGAGATAGTGCCACTGCACTCCAGCCTGGGTGACACAGTGAGACTCCATCTCAAAAAGAAATACATATGTATATATATATTTATATATATAAAACATAGGCATCATATATATACATATATGTATGTGGTTTCTACCCAGACCAATTAAATCAGAATCTCTTGGGGTTGGAGTTCTTGGCATTGGTACGTCTTTCAAATCTGTAGGTGAGTCTAATGTGCAGCCAAGTTGAGAATGACTGGTCTTGTCATACATTATAAATGTATGATCTGATGATACATTATAAATGAAATGTTAAATAATATATTGATTTTTGGAGGTTGGTTCTTAAATACTGTTTTTAAAAAGAATGTTTCAAAATATAAAAATTGATAACCATTTTTCTTAATCATATGTTGCTTGTTAAGCCTCTCCAATTATTATGAGATTATTGAAACTCTTTTCTACGATGTTGTATATAAACATAGTCCATGAAGTTGAATACATTTGTGAAGTTAAAAAAAGGATGGGAAGATTTCACCAGTGTTTTAACAGAAATAAATAATATTTTTGCCAGATGATTGCATTTTCATGGAAAATTATTGGAAGTTGCATTCCTTTAACTTATTAATGTTCTCTGATCAAATCAACAGATCAAGTATAGGTGGTAGTTTCTGTTAAGTTCTTTACACATGTGTCTTGATTTCAACTAGATTATCCAAGTCTCACTTTTTTTTCACTAAAACCATAAAAATTATGGTACTAAATCATGGAATTACTTCATTAAATGTCTATGTGTCAACAAATATTTCACACTAGCTTTGGAAGTTATTGTAAAAAGTGTTCTGATAAAAAAATCAAAAACTTCATCATTCTAAAATATATATATATATTAAGAGAAAACCAAGGGTTTTAAAAATATAGAATGGGGACATTTTAAAAAACTCATTTCTTGTTATACTCATAAACTTATTTATGTTTCTTTGGGTTAACAGATGAATTCTGCAAAGCTGACACTGATTTAACATTTTTATAAACAAAGATTCCAGAAATTTATTGAAATTATATTAATTATATTAGTATTAGAACAGAAAATATATATTATTATATTAGTATCAGAACAGAAAAGGGAAAGAAAAGGGAGCTAGCATTTTGAAATTTATGTTAGTCATTGAGCCTATGCCTTTAAATGTGACAGCAAAGGTTATCGTAAGAAGTGTTTGCATTGTATCTTTTGACCACTCTAGAACTCAGGAAGGATGCAACAGTTTTGTTAGTTAAAAAACACTATACAAATGTTGAGGATATCTGCATGACCTTAGGAGACTGAAAGCATTTTTGTCATCCTGTGATAAGAGTAAAACCAGGTGGCTGTATTCTGTGGCTTAGGATGTGGGTTTCTTTGTTTCTGATAGTCTCAGACACTGAGAGAAACAAGTTACATATGCAAAATGAGCTTATGCTCATGCTTAAAATGTTTTTAAGCATCGTGTAGCTTGGTAGCATAATTATTGGCCATAGAATCTTCCATTGGCTGTTTTTTTGTGACAAGCTATTTTCTTTTTTCTTCTTCTTTTTTAAATCCCCTAGAACATAGATGGGTCATGTTGAGAAATTATAAACATATTATTTACTCTAAGAGGTAATGAGTTTGGCTTTATTGTCCTTGAATTTGAACGTTAGATGAATTATTTGCTGTAAGGTATAGTTCAAAAATATAAATTTGCCCATTTTTGGGTAGATTGGCCTATCATTTATATATAAGTGAACTTTTACTGGTTTCTTCAACAGAATGCTTCATAGTAGCTTCAAGTTAGCTCCATTGCCCTAATATGTGGGGGTTTTCCTGAGTACAGTGACCCTGGAATCTCAGTCTTGCCCCTTAGTCCTTTTCCCCTTATTTATCTATAATTATGTAACAGTGAAAAGGAGGCGTAGCATGACTAACTCCATTTTTGTTCCTAACTCCCCATCCTTCATGCTCTCTTTTAGGTTAGCTGCTTTTGCTTATCTTTGTACATAGGCCAAGCTAACTATGGGAGGAATTTAGCTTATAGTTTAAAGCAAGGATGATAATAGTCCCTTCCTTGAAACTAACTCCTGAGGAGATAAGGAGGGTTTACACAGAAGTAACAATGTAGTGTTAAAAGATTTGTTGAAGCATTGTGACCTGACCAAGGACAAAGAAGTTTCAGTCTTCTTTGACCGTCACTGCTGCCCACATCAGCCCCTTCCCTCATCTCCCTTTCCCCCACATAAAAGGAGCCTAAAATTCATATTAACTTAAGATGGTTCTTTAGGACACTAGTTCACCATCTTCTTGGTATGCTGGCTCTCCAAATAGAAGTCACTTTCCTTGCCTCTTGACATCTTGGCTGTCATGTGGCAAGTGGTAAGAGCTTTGAACTTCGTTACAATTCATTGTAAAACAACATTCTCAATTAATTGGTTATGAAGCAAAGTCTACTTAATATTTTATGAGAATATTTATGGTTCAACATATATATTTGAAATAGGAAGTTAGAGCTATCTTAATCACACATTCTAATGAGCCCAGTAAGATGCATTTTTTGTTTCACACTAATTTTGTTGTGCCATTTTTTTCAAACCTAACTTTTTTCCTTCTAAGATGAACAGAGTTTCACTCCAAATTGCAGATCAAACACTACCTTCTCCACGGAAGTCATGTACTGACTGTCCATATTATCAGGCACGTAGGTACAGAGGCCAAGGGAGAGCTTCCCCTTTGCCCTCTGAAGGTTCTCTGAAAATGAACTGACAAAAGGCAGATTAATAGGGGAAAGGGCATACACGTTTATTTAACAGGTATAACACAGGGGAATTGCAAGAGAATGATTACCCAATAACCCAATGAGGTTTAGATGCTACATATTCTTCCTCATTGGGGATAGGGTTGATGGGTGCAGGGCAGGATGTAGGAGTAAATGATTTTTAGGGGATATGAATGAGCCTGAAGAACAATGGCCTGGGACTAAGTTCCTCTGAACTGGAGTCAAGGAGCAGGAAGGTGAGAAGCACAACTTCACTGTGAACAAAAGTTGTCCTATTATGCACATAAATTCCCTCAGGTAATCTCTAGAAGCTGCTCTCACAATAGATGAAAAGTCTATGTGAGCATGGTGACTACTCACTGAAGTTTTCTCTCTTCTCTAGTGGTTAATTGGTCTTGATTATTTGATGAGATTCTTGGGAGGAGGTCTGTTATTTTCTGAGCCACAACACTGGCATAAGATACCTTTCTTAGCCTTGATGCCATTCTTGGAAGTTTTCTTCTTCTTCTTTTTTTTAATTGTTCAGTCATTTCTTCATTGAACAGACATTGACTAAGCATCATCCTCCAATTGTTTCGTTTCAAACACTTCCTAGAATCCTTCCTATATAGTAGGTGTGAAGTAAATAATATGTGAATTAATTGACTATATGGATTTCAAGCTACTTGTGTTTTAAGCTAAGTAGGCAAAACCAAAAGTATTGATTGACCTTTGGGATTTTCTTTATTTGAAATTAGTTCTAACATAGGAGGACTAAGCGCTTTTTTTTTTTTTTTTCTTGAGACAGAGTCTTGCTCTGTTGCCCAGGCTGTAGTGCAGTGGCGTGATCTCAGCTCACTGGAACCTCCGCCTCCCGGGTTCAAGCGATTCTCCTGCCTCAGCCTCCCGAGTAGCTGGGTCTACAGGCATGCACTAGCACGCCTGGCTAATTTTTTTGCATTTTTAGTAGAGACAGGGTTTCACCATGTTGGTTAGGCTGGTTTCGAACTCCTGACCTTAACTGATCCACCCGCCTCAGCCTCCCAAAGTGCTGGGATTACAGGCGTGAGCCACCGTGCCCGGCCTAAGCTCTGATTTTTTATCTTGCCCAAATTCCAACCTACAGGCATGTGCCACCACTACTGGCTACTTTTGTATTTTTGGTAGAGGCAGGGTTTCACCATGTTGGCCAGGCTGGTCTCGAACTCCTGACCTCAAGTGATCCATCAGCCTCGGGCTCCCTAAGTGTTGGGATTACAGGTGTGGGCCACTGTGCCCAGCCAACATTATCTTTTGACCTATCTTTGTTAACACAAATATGCACATTTTTCATTTAATTTTTAATAATGTATTATAGTTCCTATGCAGGTTGAGTCATCAGTTTCTTTTCCTTGTTGCCTTATTAATTTTACTTTATTATTGAGAGTTGTTTCACAAACATGAGACATATATTCTGATATCTACTTGTTGTTCCTATTAAGTGATTAATTATTGTTGTCCCTATTAAGGGACTAATTTATTCAACTAACATTATTGTGTGCCTATCATGCCTAAGGCATTGTTCTGGCCACTAGGGCTACACTAGTGAAGAAGATGAAGGTTCTGTCTTCATAAAGCTTACATTCTAATGGCAGAAGTAGACAACAAACAGATACATGATATTATGTCTGATAGTGGTAAGTCCTAGGAAGAAAAATAAAGCAGGATAAGGGGATGGAATATGATAGAAGCTGATATTTTCAATATGATGACCAAGAAAGGCCAATCTGAAAGGTGATATTTGAGCTAAGATCTGAATGCCATTATGCCAGAATGCCCTAGATACTGCTATATTGCTCTTCCTGTGTGAGAGAATAGCAAATGTAAAGATGTTTAGGGAGGAATGTATTTGGTGTGTTTGAGGAACATCACAAAGGCTATTTGGTAAGGGTAGAAGGTATATATAGATGAGGGCAAAGAAGCCAGACCTTGTAGGGCATGATCAGGAGTTGTGATTTTATTTAAATGTATATATATTTTTTTACTTAAAGGATTTTGATTAGGAGAGCATATGATTAAATTTAAAAGGATTACTCTAGGAGCTGGGTGTGGTGGCTCATGCCTGTAATCCCAGCACTTTGGGAGGCTGAGACGAGTGGATCACTTGAGGTCAGGAGTTTGAGACCAGCCTGGCCAACATGGTGAAAACCCGTCTCTCCGAAAAATAACAAAAATTAGCCGGGCGTGGTGTTGCACACCTGTAGTCTAGTTACTCGGGAGGCTGAGGCACGAGAATCACTTGAACCCGGGAGGCACAGGTTGCAGTGAGCTGAGATAGGACTACTGCACTCTAGCCTGGGCAAGAGAATGAGACTGTGTCTCAAAAATAAAAATAAAAGGATTCCTCTAGCTGCTTTGTGGAGGAAACACATCAGGTGGGACAGAGGTGAAAGCAGACAACCAGATAGACGTCTACTAGAACTGCCCAGGCTAGAGATGATAGCAGCTTCGCTTAAGGCATTAGCAGTTGGAGATGTGAAAATTGATTGCATTGTGGAAATAAATATTCTAAAGGTAGCTCGCAAGATTTGCTAATAGATCTGATGTGGTGCACAAGAAAAAGCAAAATGTTGGAGATGATTTTAAGGCCTTTGGGCTTAAGAATTGGGAATGGTGGTGCCAATGAGATAGTGAGGAACTACTTTTGGAGAAGAAAATTAAGATTTTCTTCTTAATTTTGGGTGTGTTCTGTTTATGATACCAAGTTAGCAGTGGGATCAGAGAGTCCAGAATTCTGGGGAAAAGTTAGCATAGAAGTTTGGGAATCGGCTTATAGATGGTATTTAAAGATTTGGGACTAGATGAGGTCACCTAGAAAGTATATGTAGATATAGAAGAGAAGTTGATCTGAGAATTGAGCCCTCAGGAACAAGTTAATGTTACAAGAACAGAAAGAGAACCAACCAAAGAAACTGAGAAGATGCTGCTGTTGAGATAGAAGAAAACCAGTAGAGCATGGTGTCCCAGCAACCAAATGAAGAAGGATTTCAGAAAGGAAAGACTGAACTGTTTTAATGCTAAGGGCCTTTATCACTGGGCTAACTTAGCTAGCCTATTGGTAGACAATACTTGCCTAGAAAAGAGAAACTTGATATAAATTGATGTTAATTTTAAAAATACTTTGATTTAGAAAACAGTTACAATTATGAATTAGAATTACATTTTTACGTCATAATTAATTACCTGTAAGATTTAATGCCCAGTGTTGGAGGAAGGTTAAACACTTTTAACTTGTTTTAAAGTGAGTACAGTTAACTTTCTGTTTCTAAGGGCCTGATTTAAGCATTTCTTTGCCCAGCTTCACTCCATTATAATCTAGTCTTTGTGTGATAGTCTTAAATGGCTACATATTTCTAAGAATATCAGTTTGATATGAGCAATCTTAATTACAGATAATCTGAAATACTTTTGTCAATATGAGTGCTATATATGGTGGTATATGGGCTTTCAATCTTTTTGAAACTTGCTTAACAGAGGATATTTGAAAATAGATTTAGAATAGTGTTTGTAGAAATTAGCCAATTAGAATAGTTTTTTCCCAACACTGAATTAAAAATACTAGATGAAAAAATAAAGCTTTTTATAAGTACTAAAATTTATTAAGAGTTTAGTTTGAACTCATTTAGTTTACTATCTGCATACCCACTTTTCTCTTTTCAAAATTTTTCAAAAATTTTGTCCTGTAAATAGCCATAAAGGCTATAGTTGGAGAAATATGTATGAAACATCTTTTTCTTTGGATTTCAAGAAGTTAACTTTTTTGTTTTCTGGTTATTTCTCTCATTGAATGCTTTGAAAGCAGTATAAAGATGGCTGGGTGCGGTGGCTCACGCCTGTAATCCCAGCACTTTGGGAGGCCGAGGCAGGTGGATCACGAGGTCAGGAGTTCGAGACCAGCCTGCCCAGGGTGGTGAAACCTGTCTCTACTAAAAATACAAAAAACTAGCCGGGCATGGTGGCGCACGCCTGTAGTCCCAGCTACTTGGGAAGCTGAGGCAGGAAAATTGCTTGAACATGGCAGGCGGAGGTTGCAGTGAGCCGAGATTGTGCCACTGCACTCCAGCCTGGGCGACAGAGTGAGACTCCATCTTAAAAAAAAAAAAAAAAAAAACGCAGAATAAAGATTATAAGTAGAAGTAGAAGTTGGTCTGAGAATCGAGCCTTCAGGCACAAGGTAATGTTTCAAGAACAGAAAGAGAACCAACCAAAGAAATGGAGAAAATGCTGCCACTGAGATAGAAGAAAACTATAAGGCATGGTGTCCCATGCTGAGTTTACTTTATATTCAATATTGATTCTGAATTTAGTTTATATTCAATATTGAATGTTTAGAGAAAAATATCTCATTTTGTGTTGTCTCTCTACTCAGCTGTGTTTTAGTAGACTCTTTAAGTATTTATATATTTGTGTATTTCGTATGATAGCTCTAGAAGAACAGAAATTTCCAACAATGGTCATTTTTTCATCAGACATTTCCATGTATGTTTGACTGATGTCAGTTAAGACTTGACAAAAATTTCCCAAGTAATATTTTTAGGGACCCATATGTTAAGCTATATCTGAATGCTACTATTTTTAGTAAAAAAAGGAACAAATAAAACTTTGAACTTTTAGAATTTAAAATGTATAATTTTCTTATATCCTAATTGGTTCTTTTGATTTATGAGTAGCTCCTGGAATCATGAGTAAAAAAAATAAGCTTCATTAAAGAAATCATGATTATTTTAGAATAACAGTTCTCAACCTTAGTTGTACATATTTGTAACCATTCTGAGGAGCTCTTAAAAAAAACATTGATGCTGGGGCCCCAATTTCAAATATTCAGATTCAATTTACCTGATATGTAGCCTGGACCTTTTTTAAAAAAATTGTTCAGGTGATTTTAACATTCAGCCAGTGTTAGAACCACTGTGCTGAAGCTGTCACTCACTTGATCTTAGCCAAAAGGCCAAGAAGTGATGCTGAAGCCATCACTCAGTATCGCTGAATAAGGATGGGAAATTTTACTTAGATATGCTAATATTTTAGCTATTTAATACTAAACATAGAGATATTTGGAATTTTTTTTAAAGTTTTTTTGTCCAGATTGTTAACATTTTTTAGACTTTGCTTAGCACTGACCAGATAACATCTACCTTAGTATATTCTTACTTTGATTCCTGGTTTATACTACATTTAAAGACATTGATGTGAGTTCAAGTGTGTCTACCTAAATATGGATTTTATGTGATTTCAGCTTTTCTTCTACTTAAGCATTGGAGAGATAATTTTTAAATGGTTTTTGCAACTGACAAATTTATTTTCTCTCCAATGATTTGGCAGTGATGATATTTCGTAAAGTAAATCAACTAATGGAAAAGTTGTAAAGTCTTGAGTAGTTCCAGTAGGGGATTCCATTTCCATTATTAACTTGCTACTGTAGACTGTACATAGTGGAACCTGAATTTAAAAGTGTTATGCAGAGTTTTTAACCTAAATTATTAAACCTTATTCTGTCATTTTTTTGGTTATGATTTTCCTTTCAACTGTAGTAGGTCATAGATAGCTACAAGTTGGCATTTATGAGAAATAATTGGAGTGAAAATTGACAGTGACAGTTCATTTCCACTTTGGACAGTATTTATAATTTGTAACTTATGATGGGGTTATTCTTATGTATAGGCAATGTTTGTTCATACCAATGCATATTTGTCACAGGTATGTGTTATAATATTTTTCAAGTTACAACTACTGTATATTAATATGTTTAGTAATCCCAACAGTTCACACAAAAGAGAATTGGAAATTTAAGATGTCCAAAAACATATTGTGTACTAAAAGTTTGGGATGATACATAAATAAAGATGGGAAAACACTGTAACTTACAAGCCTGGGCACTGAAATCAGCAAACTTGAATATAACTCCACTACTTAGAGTCAGTCCTGCTAAAATGCAACATATTTGCTCCTACAAGTCAGCATGCATTTCAGAATTACACAATGAAAACCACAGGACTTACGGGAAAATGGGGTTATGGCACAATACTCAAAAACTCAGTAACACATTTAAAAAATATCATAAGTGTTAAATGGTTAATAAATAAATACTGCAATATATTTGGCACTTTATATTGAAAAAGACCTGAATTCCCTCGTGGAAGCAGAAGAGGTTGTAGCTTGTGAGTTGTGAAGTGATGGAAAGAGGATTATCTGAAGTCAGAAGAAAAGTTGTAGTACTAGATCTGAATAGGTATCAGTCACAACTCACATGGTGAACTGAGATAGCTGGTTAATGTCTGAGCGTGTGCTTTTGGTGTCCTCCTGTATGACTTGGTTCAGTTTTCTGTAGTCACCTCATGTTTCTTATGGATGAAGTCACTCATAAGCAAAATGAAATCTGAGTTATGCTCAAATTGTTCCCTAATGTATCAGTTGGATTGGGACACATTTGCATTTCAGAATAAGTATTATAGCAGAACTGATTGTACCATCTAGTTAGCTTTGCACATTACTTAACTCTCAGAGCCTTGATTTTCTCTTGTGTAACATAGGGATAGTAGTATTGACCTCATAGGAGTTTGAGGAGGACTAAATGAATGTATACATACAAGTTTAAAATAGAATATGGTATATGTTTGTTAAAAAGGAAGGAATTTTCTATAACTCCTATTTAGAAATCATCCCATCTGGAGAAATTAAAAATGTATGTTTTTGTGATTTTTATTTCTTCAGTTAGACATAGATGTTACATATATAGATTTAGTGTATTGTAGATAATTTAAATCTATGTCTATAATTCAGTTAGTTGCTACCAGCAGTGATGCTTTGCTTTACCTGTGGGTACGTGATAAAAATACATGATAGAAAGTTAGCATGTTCTTATTGCTTAATTTTTTCTGTAATCATCAATTTATTTATTAAAATAGTACAGTTATTTAACTGCTAGCTAACTGACATTACTTATTTCATCATCTTTCTTCTTTCTCTTACATTCATTGTCTTAATCTTTCATCTTCATTATTACCATAATATAATCAAATTCCTCTGTCCTCTGCCCCTTTCCTGTTTCTAGCACTAAGATTTGCCTTTATCTTCCCCCAGTTCATTCATCCTCCATACCACTGCCAAAGTGACAGGGATCAGGCTGTTTCCTTGCTAGAATTTTCTCCTCACCTCCCAGCCACCTCTTCCTATGACACCAGGCACTGAAGCCATCCTAGATGATCTAATTCTTGTCTGTGCTGTTGGAAATGTCTGGATCATATTTGTCTGGTCAGGTCCCTTATACCCTTCCTTTATATATATCTCTCCTACAACAACAATTACACTGTATAATAATATTTTTCACATTTATGGCCTCGCTGAAGTCTAAGTTCTTTGTGTTCAGAGATTTTGTATTATTGTCTCTTGGGTCTAGCATATACTAGTTGTCCAGTTAGTATTAGGGAAATGAATGAAGGAAGGAAGGAACAATGAAGAAAAGGTAGGTCAAAATGTTTAAAAATTGAACACCTAGGTTCAAGTTAATGAATTAGTTCAGCTTTTATCATTCAGTGTTTAATTTCATATTTCTTTTTCTTTTTTTCTAAAACGAGGACAACGTATTTTAAATATCTCGACAATATAATGTAGTAGTCAGGAGAACAGTCTGTGAAGCTAGACTGAAGACTCCTTGGTTAGATTTCTCGCTCACCTACTTATTCATTTGATGAAATTCGGCAATTTACTAAACCTCTCAGTGCCTCAGTTTCTTTACCTGGTAAATGAGAATAATAATAGTATTTGTTTCATCAACTTATTATAATGAGTAAATAAACTGTTACTGGTAAAGTGTCTAGAATTTTAGGTGGCATATGGTAAATAATAGATGTTACCTATTCTTGTTGTTCTCAATTATTATGAACTAATGCCCTGCTATTAAGTTGCAAGGACTTTTTTCCTATAACTTGCTGTTAAGTTTCAAGGACTTTTTTCCTACCATTGCTCTGGAGCATCTTTGCTTATACCATTCTCTCCTACTTACTTATGATGTGCTGCTTCTTCTCAATTGAATAAAGAAAATCTTACCACTTACCAGATTCAGGTGTGAGTTAGTGATGAAAGGAAATCAAGGCTAATCTACTTCACCCAATTTTGATGCTTTATAAGGCCAACCACCTTTTGTAGTGATTATTAGGCATTGATTGTATTTATATTGTTGCTACATGTATTATGCACTTAATATGTTTAGCTATTAAAGATGAGTAAGAAACAAAATATCTATTTTATTTTTATTTCAATAGTTTGTGGGGAACAGGTGGTTTTTGGTTACATGGATAAGTTCTTTAGTGGTGATTTCTGAGATTCTGGTGCACCGTCACCCATGCAGCATATGCTGTACCCAGTGTATACTCTTTTATCCCTTACCCGCCTCCATCCCTTCTTCCTGAGTCCCCAAAGTCCATTATATCATTCTTGTGCCTTTGTGTCCTCATAGTATAGCTCCCACTTATAAGTGAGAACATATGATATTTGGGTTTCCATTTATATATTCCATTTAGTATATACATATATTTTCTTTATCCACTCATTGATTGATGGGCATTTAGGCCGGTTCCATATTTTTGCAGTTGCGAATCGTGCTGCTATAAACATGCGTGTGCAAGCATCTTTTTCATTTAATTACTTATTTTCCTCTGGGTAGATACCCAGGAGTGGGATGCTGGATCAAATGATGGTGCTACTTGTAGTTCTTTAAGGAATCTCCACACTGTTTTCCATAGTGGTTGTACTAGTTTATGTTCCCACCAGCAGTGTAAAAGTGTTCCCTTTATACCACATCCACTCCAACATCTATTATTTTTTGATTTTTTAAATTATGGCCATTCTTACAGGAGTAAGGTGGTATCTCATTATGGTTTTGATTTGCATTTCCCTGATCATTAGTGATGTTGAGCATTTTTTCATATGTTCGTTGGCCATTTGTACATCTTCGTTTGGGAATTGTCTATTCATGTCTTTTGCCCACTTTTTGATGGGATTGTTTGCTTTTTTTGTTGCTGATTTTTGTGAGTTCATTGTAGATTCTCGATATTAGTCCTTTGTTGGATACATAGTTTGTGACTATTTTCTTCTACTCTGTGGGTTGTTTACTCTGCTGATTATTTCTTTTGCTGTACAGAAACTTTTTGGTTTAATTAAGTCCCATCTATTTATCTTTATTTTTGTTGCATTTGCTTTTGGGTTTTTGGTCATTAACTCTTTCCCTAAGCCAATGTCTAGAAGACTTTGTCTAATGTTATTTTCTGGAATCCTTATGTTTTCAGGTCTTAGATTTAAGTCTTTGATCCATCTTGAGTTGATTTTTGTATAAGGTGAAAGATGAAGATCCAGCTTCAGTCTTCTACATGTAGCTTGCCAGTTATCCCAGCACCATTTGTTGAATAGGGTGTCCTTTCCTCACTTTATGTTTTTGTTTGTATTGTCGAAGATCAGTTGGCTCTAAATATTTGGCTTTATTTCTGAGTTCTCTGTTCTGTTCTATTGCTCTATGTGCCTATTTTTATAGCAGTACCATGTTGTTTCGGTAACTATAGCTTTGTAGTATAATTTGAAGTCAGGTAATATGATGCCTCTAGATTTGTTCTTTTTGCTTAGTCTTTTTTTGGCTATGTAGGATCTTTATTGGTCCCCTATGAATTTTAGGATTGTTTTTTCTAGATCTGTGAAAAATGATGTTGGTATTTTGATGAGAATTGCATTGAATTTGTAGATTGCTTTTGGCAGTATGCTCATGTTCACAATATGAATTCTCCCCATCCATGAGCATGGGATGTGTTTCTATTTGTGTCATTGGTGATTTATTTCAGCAGTGTTTTGTAGTTTTCCTTCTAGAGATCTTTCACCTCCTTGGTTAGGTATATTCCTAAGTATTTTATTTATTTTGCAGCTGTTGTCAAAGTATTTGAGTTCTTGATTTGATTCTCAGCTTCGTCGTTGTTAGTGTATAGCAGTGCTACTGCTTTGTGTACATTCGTTTTGTATCCTGAAACTACTGAATTCATTTATCAAATGAATTCATTTATCAAATCTAGGAGCTTTTTGGATGAGTCTTTAGGGTTTTCTAGGTATATGATCATATTATCAGTGAATGGTGAGAGTTTGACTTCCTCTTTACCAATTCAGATGCCCCTTATTTCTTTCGTTTTTGTCTGATTGCTCTGGCTAGGACTTCCAGCACTATGTTGACTAGGAGTGGTCAAAGTGGGCATCCTTGTCTTGTTCCATTTCTCGGGATAATTCTTTCCAATTTTCCCTGTTCAGTATAATATTGGCTGTACATTTGTCATAGATGGGTTTTATTTCCTTGAAGTGTGTCACCTCTATGTCAGTTTTGCTGAGGGTTTTCATCATAAAGGGATGCTGGACTTGTCAAATGTGTTTACTGCATTTGTTGAGATGATCATATGACTGTTGTTTTAAATTCTGTTTATGTGATATATCACATTTATTGAAACCCACTTGATCGTGATATATTATCTTTTTTATATGCTGTTGGATTCAGTTAGCTAGTATTTTGTTAAGGATCTTTGCATCTACGTCCATCAGGAACATGTTCTTTAGTTCACTTTTCTTGTTATGTCCTTTTCTGGTTTTGGTATTAGGGTGATACAGGCTTCAGATAATTATTTAAGGAGGATTTCTTCTTTTTCTATCTTTTGGAATAGTTTCACTAAGTGGCGTCAGTTCTTCTTTGAATGGCTGATAGAATTCAGCTGTGAATCCATCTGCTCCTGGACTTATTTTTTGTTGGCAATTTTTTTATTACTGTTTTAATCTCACTGCTTGTTATTTGTCTGTTCAGAGTTTCTGTTTCTTCCTGATTCAATCTGGGACAGTTGTAAATTTCTAGAAATTTTTCCGTCTCTCTAGATTTTCTAGTTCGTGTATATAAAGGTGTTCATAGTAACCTTGAATGATCTTTTGTATTTCTGTGGTATCAGTTGTAATATCACCCATTTTGTTTCTAATTGAGCTTATTTGGATCTTCTCTCTTCTTTTCTTGGTTAATCTTTTACTGGTGTATCTATTTTGTTTATCTTTTCAAAGAACCAGCTTTATGTTTCACTTTATTTTGCATTTTTTTGTTTCAATTTCATTTAGTTCTGCTCTGATCTTTGTTATTTATTTTCTTCTGCTGGCTTTGGGTTTGGTTTGTTCTTGTTTCTCCAGTTCCTTGAGGTGTGACCTTAGATTGTCTATTTGTGCTCTTTCAGACTATTTGATGTAGGCATTTAATACTATGAACTTTCCTCTTAGCACTACTTTTGCTGTATCCCAGATTTTGATGAGTTTTGTCACTGTTATTCAGTTCAAAGAATTTTTAATTTTTTTATCTTGATTTCATTTTTGACCCAAAGATCATTCAAAAGCAGATTATTTAATTTCTATATATTTGTATTGTTTCAAAGGTTCCTTTTGGAGTTAATTTCTAGTTTTATTCCACTGTAGTCTGAGAGGATACTTGATATACTTTTGATTTTGTTGTATTTATTGAGACTTGTTTTGTGGCCTATCATATGGTCTCTCTTGCAGAACGTTCCATGTGCTGATGAAAAGAATGTATATTCTGCAGTTGTTGGGTAGAATTTTCTGTAAATATGTTGGTTCCATTCTAAGGTGTAGTTTAAGTTCGTTGTTTCTATGTCGATTTGCTGTCTTGATGACCTGTCTAGTGCTGTCAGTGGAGTATTGAAGTCCCCCACTATTATTGTGTTGCTGTCTATCTCATTTCTTAGGTCTAGTAGTAATTGTTTTATAAACTTGGGAGCTCCAGTGTTAGGTCCATATATATTTAGAATTGTGTTATTTTCTTGTTGGACTTACTCTTTTATTATGTAATGTCCCTCTTTGTCTTTTTTTTTAATTGTCGTTGCTTTAAAATCTGTTTTGTCTGATACAAGAATAGCTATTCCTGCTCGCTTTTAGTTTCCATTTGCGTGAAATATCTTTCCACTCCTTTACCTTATGTGAGTCCTTATGTGTTAGTGAGTCTCTTGAAGACAGTAGATACTTGGTTAGTGGATTTTTATGCATTCTGCCATTCTGCTTTTTTTTTTTTTTTTTTTTTTTTTTTTGAGACGGAGTTTAGCTCTTCTTGCCCAGGCTGGAGTGCAATGGCACAATCTCTGCTCACTGCAACTTCCGCCTCCCAGGATCAAGCGATTCTCCTGCTTCAGCCTCCTGAGTAGCTCAGATTACAGGCATGCACCACCACACCCGACTAATTTTGTATTTTTAGTAGAGACGGGGTTTCTCCATGTTGGTTAGGTTGGTCTCAAACTCCTGACCTCAGGTGATCTGCCCACCTCAGCCTCCCAAAGTGCTGGAATTACAGACGTGAGCCACCGCTCCTGGCAATTCTGCATATTTTAAGTGGAGCATTTAGGCCCTTTATATTCAATGTTAGTATTGAGATGTGATGTACTGTTGTAGTTATCATGGTAGTTGTTACCTAAATACCTTGTTTTTCTTTTCATTGTGTTATTTTATAGGCTCTGTGAGATTCATGCTTTAAGGAGGTTCTTTTTTGGTGTATTGCAAGGTTTTGTTTCAAGATTTAGAACTTCTTTTAGCATTTCTTGTAGTGCTGGCTTGGTAGTAATGTATTCTCTCAGCATTTGTTTGCCTGAAAAAGACTTTATCTTTCTCTCGTTTATGAAGCTTAGTTTTCCTGGATACAAAATGCTTGGCTGATAATTACTTTGTTTCAAGAGGCTAAAGATAGGACCTCAGTCTTTTCTGGCTTGTAAGGTTTCTGGTGAGAAATCTGCTGTTAATCTTACAGGGGAAATTTCCCTTATAGGTTACCTGATGCTTTTGTCTCACAGATCTTAAGATTCTTTCCTTTGTCTTGACTTTAGATAACCTGATGACTATGTGCTTAGGCAATGATCTTTTTGTGATGAATTTCCCATGTGTTCTTTGAGTTTATTGTATTTGAATGTCTAGATCTCTAGCTAGACTAGCGAAGTTTTCCTCAAATAAGTTTTCCACACTTTAGATTTCTCTTCTTCCTCAGGAACACCAATTCATCTGTGAATCCATCTGCTCCTGGACTTGTTTTTGTTGGCAATTTTTTATTACTGTTTTAATCTCACGACTTGTTATTACATAATCTCAAATTTCTTGGAGGCTGTCTGCACTTAAAATTTTTTTTGTCTTTGTCTTTTGGGTTAATTTAAAGCCTTGTCTTCATGCTCTGAAGTTCTTTCTTCTACTTGTTCTAGTCTATTTTTGAAACTTTCTAGTAGATTTTGTGTTTCTCTAAGTGTGTCTTTCATTTCCAGAAGTCTTCATTTTAATGATTTTTTTTCTTTTCTGTACCTATTTCTCTGGATCATTTTTCATCTATATGCTGTACTTTTAAAAAAAACTTATTTAAGTTGCTTTTCACCTTTCTTTGGTGTCTCCTTGAGTAGCTTAATAATCAACCTTCTGAATTCTTTTCTTTTTTTTTTTTTTTTTTTTTTTTTGAGATGGAGTCTTGCTCTGTCTCCCAGGCTGGAGTGCAGTGGCACAACCCAGCTCACTGCAACCTTCGCCTCCCGGGTTCAAGTGATTCTCCTGTCTCAGCCTCCTGAGTAGCTGGGATTACAGGCATGTGCCACAACACCTGGCTAATTTTTATAATTTTAGTAGAGATGGAGTTCTACCATGTTGGCCAGGCTGGTCTCAATCTCCTGACCTCAGGTGATCCACCCGCCTTGGCCTCCTAAAGTGCTGGGATTACAGGCATGAGCCACTGTACCCGGCCTCTTCTGAATTCTTTATGTGGCAATGCAGAGATTTCTTCTTGGTTTAGATCCATTGCTGGTGAACATTATGATCTTATAGAATGCTGTTTTGTCATATTACCAGAATTACTTTTCTGGACTCTTTCAGTGGAAAAGCTTGGAACTCAAGGCGTGCTGTTCACATTCTTTTGTCCCACTTGGTGACCCCTTGATGTTGTGCTCTCCCCTTTTTCCTAGGAATGGGGCTTCCTGAGAGTCAGACTGTAGCGACTGTTACTGCTCTTCTGGGTCTAGCCACCCAGTGGGGCTACCAGGCTCTGGGCTGGTGCTGGGGAATGTCTGCAGAGAGTTCTGTGATGTTATCCGTCTTCAGGTCTCCCAGCCATGGGTACCAGCAACCTGCTGTGCTGGAGGTGGCAGGGGAGTGATTTACACTATGTGAGAGTCCTTGGTTATAGATATGTTTAGTGCACTGGCTTTTTTGAATGCTGATTATGCTAGCAATGAAGTTGTTCTGTGGACAGACTCAGGACCTTTGGTTAGGCAGGGTATTGCAGACGGTGAAATTAGCTGTTGTTTTCTCATTCTTGGGAGCAGGGTTATTCTGTCATGAGTTGATGTAATTGCCTGAGTTGGGTGGTGCTTTGAAGAAAGTGCCAGCTGTAGCAGTAGTAGGGGGATCTAAGCTTGCTCTAAGTTGGCCAAGGTAAATATGCTAAGTATTCTGGCTTCTCAGGTGATGGGGCCATAAAGCTCCCAAAAGTTACATCTCTTGTGTTTGGCTACTGGTGTGGGTAAAGAAATACCATCAGGTAGGGGCGTGCTTAGGTGGGTCTGGCCTCGGACTCTTGTTGGTTGGAGCTTGCCATGGCCGCTGTGGAGGATGGGGAGGGGGTGGTTTGCAGGCCAGTGGGGTTATTTTCCATAGGGGATTAGGGCTGCTTCTGCTGTATCATATAGTTCACCAGTGAAGTGGGGGATAATCAGTAGTGAAAGGCCTCACCCAGCTCCCATGAAGTTCCGGAGGCTGGTCTTGTTCCCATAGTACCCCGCTCAGACCTTGCCCCAGTCTGATAAAGCAAGCATGGCTTTCAGGCCTCAACCCTCCCTGTCTGCCCACATTGTTGGCAGCAGCTCCTGTGCTTGTGTCTGTAGCAGTTCCCGTTTGCCCCCTGAATTCTGCTGAGGTAAATTTGTGCCCAGTCAAAATTATTACAAATTTCAGTGGGAAGCTTCGTTCACCCTGTGACCGCCTCCCTAAGTACGCTGTCTGCTTTCCCTAAGGGCCCCTGTGAGATATATGAAGGTGGGCTTCCCTGTGCTCATGTTATAGACTGGGAGTGCCTGCAAGACTCTTCCTGCTGCTTCTTCTGCTTTTATATTTCGTGTGGCTCCCTAATACATTTCAGCTTTACGTAAGGTAAATCCTTCTCCTGTTACCTGGAGTTTCACATTCTTCAGTGGGGATATGTGTTCAGAGGCAGGTTTTCCCCCTCTCACACTTTGGGAACTCACAGTTTTTCTCCTGTCTCGTGGAATCTGCAGCAGTGTGCCATTTGTTTCAAAGGATCTGTGAATTCTTTCAGTTTTTCTGGTATGTTGCTGCAGTGCTTCTTGGAGCAAAAGCTCATGGTGTGAGTCTCCATGTGCTGTTCTGTCTATCCAAGTGGGAGCTGCTTGTTAGCCCTGTCTCCTCTCTGCCATCTTCCCCTACCTCTGTCAAGAAAATATATTTTTTAAACAGAATGTGACCTGATGCGTCACCAGAATTTTTAGCACACAATAATTGTTTGTAAAATATAATAGAGGTTGTTTTATGAAATTAGAAAAATTTTCATTTTGTTTTTATTGCCAATTATATTTTTAAGTATCATTTACCTGAGTATCTTTTTAAGTCATAAAACTTTAGCTTTGATTTTAATTTATGAAAATAATATAAAAATAGTGACCTTCATAGGAAGGATAGGCTGCAGATTTAATGACAGTGTGACTTAAAAGGGGGGTAGACTTTTAATAGGCACTGCATTTATATGCTTGAGGTAGCTAGGAATTTTTTTCTTCTACAATTTAAGATGACAGCAGTGCCACCAAACATGTCAGTCACTAGGGGATTTGATGCTATTCTCTGACACTAGACTTGAAGTCAGTGTTGCAGTAATAATACAAGTGCATTATTGTCATTATCATTTACTTAGCTTTTTTCAGATTTATTGAGGTATAATTTAAATAGTGTAAAATTCACTGTCATAAGTGTTGAATGATTTTTAGTAAATTTATAGAGTTGTGTAACCATAACTGTGATTCAGTTGTAAAACATTACTCACCTCCCCCTAAAATTCTTTTGATCCTATTTGTACCCAGTCTCTATTCTTATAACTACTCCTCTTGATTGGCTTTCTGTCTTCATATATTTGCCTCTTCTGGGCATTTCATATAAATGAAATCACACACACACAGACACACACACACACAGAGTATTTTCCATCTGGCCTCTTTTATATTGCATAATGTTTTTGAGGGACATTCATGTTGTATCAGTATTTCCTTGAGTTTTGCTGCTAAAAAATATTCCATTGTATGGACGTGCCATATTTTTTTTATCGCATTCACCAGTTGATGGACATTTGAGTATTGTTTGCTTTTCTGCCTTATGAGTAATGTAGCTGTGAAAATCTGCATTCAAATCTTTGGACATATGTTCTCTGTTCTCTTGGATGGATTGCTGGGAGTGGAATTGCTAGGAGTGGGTTATATGAGAAGTTCGTGTTTAACATATTAAGAAAATGTCCAACTGTTCTCCAAAATAGCTATATCATTTTACATTCTCAGTAGCAATATATGAGGATTTTGATTTTTCCACATCCTCCCTAGCACTTCTTATTATCTTTTTGATTATTGTCATCCTAGTTGGTATGAAATATATCTCATTGTGTGTTTGATTTGCATGTTCTTAATGACTAATACTGTTGAGCATCTTTTTATTATTTTATTGTCCATTTGTATATCTTCTTTGGAGAAACATGTATTCAAATCTTACAATTTAAAAATTGGGTTATCTTCTTATTGAGCTTTATGTGTTCTTTTTATATTCTGAGTACAAGTCCTTCAGATATATGATATTCAAGTAATTTCTCCCTCTTTTTGGCATGTCCTTTCATTAGCTTAATATTGTTTTTTTGAAATGAAAAAGTTTTTCATTTTAATTAAGTTCAATTTGTCAATTTTGTCACTTATTGCAGGTGCTTTATAAGTTGGGTGTTTAGTATATTTGCATGTAATATGATTATTGTCATGGTTGAATTTATAACTGCCTTTTTTGCTGTTTATTCTCAATCTTATATCTTTATTTCTTGGTTTCTACTTTATTGCCTTTCTGTTAAATAAATATTTTTTAGTTTACAATTTATATTTCTCTGTTCATTCATTATTATTATTTCTTTGTGGTTCTAGGAATTAAAATTTGCAACTTTGTTATAATCTGCTGCAGAATAATACCTTAATTGTGGTAAAATATTGAAATATTATTCTAATATATATTCTCCTTCTCTTTTTTGTTCTGTTATGGTCATATAGATTACATTGGTATATGTTGGTATACATAGACATATGGTATATTTAAACCTGGTGTACGTTGTTGTAATTGTTGCTTTTTATAATATGTCTTTAAAAGAAACTAAGGGAAGAAATGTGAAAAAGTGTCTTTAGAGAGTCTTTTATGTTTACCCCCATATTTAACTTTTTGAGTGTTCTTCTTTTTTTCTTTTTGCTTGATTGATTTGAGTTATCACATAATGTCATTTCCTTT
Organism: Homo sapiens; assembly: GCF_000001405.40. Classification (NCBI taxonomy): domain Eukaryota; kingdom Metazoa; phylum Chordata; class Mammalia; order Primates; family Hominidae; genus Homo; species Homo sapiens. Next base: position 45,137,272 of record NC_000006.12, on the reverse strand, counting down.
CAAAATGAAGGACTTGTCTTAGTATTTCTTACAAGGTAGGTCCTCTAGCAACACATTCTCTCAGGCTTTTTCTTTTCTTTTAATCTGTGAATGTCTTTGTTTCTCCTTTATTTTTAAAAAATAGTTTTGCTGGATTTAGGATTCTTAGTTGACATTTCTTTTAGCCCTTCTAACATATTCCATTGCTTCTTGTCTTCACTTTTTAAAAAATGAGAAATCAGCTGTTAATCCAGTTGTAATTCCCTTGTATGGAATGAGTCACTTATCTTATGCTTCTGTCAATAATCTCTCTTTTGGCATGAGTCTCTTTGAATTTATCTTATCTGGAGTTTGCTGAGACTGGATGTGTAGATTAATGTTTTTCATTACATTTGGAATTTTTTGGCCATATTTCTGTAAATATTTTTGTCCTCTTTTTTTCTTCTCCTTCTGAGACTCTGTTATATGCACATTGGTACACTTGTGTGTCCAGAACACTTATGTTCTGTGAGGGTATGTCATTTCTTTTTTACTCATTTTGTCCTCTTCAGAATTGATACTTTCTATACATCTGTGTTCAAGTTCACTGATTATTTTGACAGCTCAGTTCTGCTATTGAGCCCCTCTAGTGAATTATTCATTTCAGTTACTGTACTTTTCAACTCCAGAATTTCTGTTTTTTTTTTTAAATAATGTCTCTGTTGATATTCCATTTAGTGGATTATTGTTGTTATACTTTCCTTTAGTTTTTTTAAACTTGAATTTCTTTAGCTCTTTGAAATATTTATAATGACTGCTTGACTTGTATTTCGATTGACTCCCTTTTTCCCAGGTCAATAAGTTGCTTTCTTGTTTGTTATATCTTATAATTTTTTGTTTGAACACTGGACTAAGATAGTATTTTGTAGCAAGCAATTACAGTTTTTTACTTTTTTCTTCCTTTGGGGTTATTGTTATTGTTGATTTTTGTTTGTGTGTTTGGTAATTGTCTAGACTAAGTCTGTCACCCAAACATGTAGCCACTGATGTCTCTGTTTTATTTTTTAAATTGTTTTATTTTAGGCTTGACTTTCTGGGTTTTTCTTCTGTTTCTTACAGCCTTGTGTTTAGTCAGTTCAGAGATTGTGCTCAAATAGTTTGAATCAATGCTTCTTCTTTCTGCTTATGGATCTGTGTTTGATCATGGAGGGTACATTCATTGTTCAGGCTGTTAAGTTTTTCATGGCTCTTATTTTCCATTGGATTCACTGGTGTGTCTTCTGTGAGTGAGCTCACTTCTGTTGGCTAAGGAAGTATGGGTGGCTGATAACTCACTTTGATCTCTGCTGTGTATATTATCAACCTCAGTCAATGCAGGATAATTAGCGATCACATTGATCCCCATATGGATGAATCACCTCCCAGAATTACCTGCTAAATCCCTGGCTTGTCTGCCTGTCTGAGTTCAGGCCATTATATCAAAGTATCATGGACTGGATGGCTTTTTAATAACAGAATGCAATTTCTCATAGTTCCGGAAGTTAGAAGTATGAGATCAGGGTGCCAGCATTGTTGTTTCTGGTGAAGGCCCTCTTGGATTACAGACTGCCAAAGTTTGGTATAACCTCACATGGTGGAATGGGCAAAAACTGTGGTTTCTTTTATAAGGGCACTGCTATGGTTTTAGTATGTGTAAAGACTATCCTTGTTATAAATTAGCAAAGGACTTAGCTAAGTTGTGTCCATGCCCTAGGGCTTCATAAGAGGCGGAATTTAAGAGTGATGAACTAGGTATGTGGTGGAATAAATTTCTATGCAAAATATTGAAGGTGCTACATGGCCTTTTAACCACATATAGTAAGATGTGAGAAGAGATAAATAATTTAATTTATAATTGAAAGAGAAATAGAACCTAAAAATCTGGAAAATTTGCAGCCAGGCCATGTAAAGAGTGAAAAAGGCATCTTTAGGAGAGTAAACCAAGGGTGTGTCCAAGCAACTGTTTGCTAAAGAGATTACTGTATATAGAAGGGAGCCAGTTACTATTCGTTAAAACAATGGGAAGATGACCCCAAAGGCCTTTTAGAGACCTTTGAGGCAAGCTAAGACTCTGAGGGCAAAGTTTCTAGCAAGGTGCCAGGGAGACTTCAGCCTTCACTGCCCTGTGCTGCCTTGGCACTCTACTCATCTGTTTGTGGTTTATTGTTTCTTGTCCACCTCAGCCATGGCTCAAGCAGGCTCAAGTGCTGATTATGCCACTACTCCTGAAGGTACAACCTGTAAACTTTGCTAATTCTGCAGGTGCACAGAATGCAAGACATTTGGGGCCAAGGTGATCCTTAACCCGATTGCAGTGGATGTTGTGGACACCCTGGAGGTCCCAGAAAAAACCTGCTGTAGGGGTAGAGCTGCCACAGAGAGTCTCCACCAAGGCAGTGCGTAGTGGAGCCATGGGAACAAGGCCACTGATGATAGTCCCCATAGGGTAATTCCTAGTGAAGGCTTCTTAGTGGGGCTGCCTTTGAGAATCCAGAGCTGTCGAGCTACCAGCATGCAAATCCATCCTGGCAGAACTAAGACTTAATGTTGTTTTCCTTGTTGGGTTTTAGACCTATGTGAGACTACTTACTGCTTTCTTCTTTCCTGTCTCTCTCTTTGGAAATGAGAATGTCTGTCCTATGCCTTCACCCTCATTTTATTTTTGCAGTACTTGTTGTTTTCATAGGCTCACAGCTGGAGAGGAATTTGCCTCAGTATGTATCATGCCTTGAGTCTCACCCATATCTGACTGAGATGAGGCTTTGGACTTTTGAGTTGCTGCTGGAATGAGTTAAGACTTTGGGGCTATTGGGATGGAATGAATGTGTTTTGCATTGTGAGAAGGACTTGAATTTTGAAGGCTAGTGGCAGAATGCTGTGATTTGAATGTATCCCTAAAAGTTCATGTGTTAGAGACTTCTTTCCCAATGCAACAGTATTGCGAGGTTGAGCCTAATAAGAGGTGATCAGTTCATGAGGGCTTTGTCTCCCTGAATGGATTAATGTTGTTATTGGAGTGGATTAGTTACCATGAGAGTGTTATAATAGTGAGTTCGGCCCTCGCTTGTTTCCTTGCACTCTCTTGCCCTTTCACCTTTTGCCATAGGATGATGCAGCAAGAAAACCCTTACCAGATGCCAATCACTTGACCTTGGGCTTCCCAACCTCCAAAACCATAAGAAATAAATCTCTGTTCTTTATAAATTACTCATTCTCAGATATTCTTTTATAGTAACATGAAGTCAACAAAGACAGGAACAAACTTTATTAATGAGATTACCTCCCAAAGGCCCCACCTCTTAATAACATCACATTGGGGGTTTGTAATTCAACAAAAGAATTTTGCAGGGATCCAAATCTTCAGTTTAATGCACTGCTAATCTGTTCCTTGCCAAAAGAAGGCTCACTACTTCAGGCGAGTGGAGGTGCTGGCACTCCCTGTTCATGTGCCACTAATATTGCCACTTTAACTGACAATACTAAATCAAGTTTTCTCCTCTTTAGCAACATGAGCAGAATTTTTAGTTATCACCTCCTGCTTTCTCCTGATTGAACTACCATATAAATAGATCTGGAGGGTTGTCAGATGTTCCGGAAAAAATATCCACAGAGTCATGCTGTTTTACCCAAAATTCAGTAGTTCCATGAATAATCACATCTCAGATTTTTGTAAGCCTATGGTTGGTTTTCTGAGTGCTGAAATAGTTGTTGTTGTTTTTCAGTTTTGTCAAGCTTTATATTTTTGGGGAAATGGCAGAAGATTTGTTGTCCTCCCATCAAGCAGGACTGGATCAATCTTAGCATTTTAACTAAGTATCTGGTATGGTTTATTTTCAGTTCTACAATGATTATAATGTAAAAGATAATCAGAAGTTCAGTTTTGCTTGGCTATTCTCTCCCACATCAGAATATTCTGTATTTGAAAGAACAGTTCTGCTGGGGAAGGAAAGAGCTTCATTAATTCATATTTCAAAACACTTTTTGAAGATAAGACTGCAGGAAACTAAGTATGTTGGTTGGAGATCTGAACGTGTAATATGGAGTATTAGCAAGAAGAAAAGAACTTTGTGTGGAGTCAGTTTTTTCCCACAAGTTTAGAACTTTGATACTGCCTTCTCAATTTGTGTGCTAAGCAGTCTAAGCAATTAAGTAGAATTGGGCAAGAAATAAGCATGTCAAGGTCATAACTGTTAATTTTGTCTGTGTGTATGTTTACTCTTAAAAGATTACTCTCCTTCTTTATCCCTTTATTATTCAAGTAGTGTCTATTCATGGGAGGCAATATTTGTACTGGTAAGAGTTCAGGATGTGTACTCAGACAGACCTAGATTCAAACACTTACTACTTTTGTCCTGTTGGATAAATCATGTGACTTCTGTCTTAGTTTCCTTTTTTGTAAAGGGGGTGATAATAATACCATTTTATGTACTTGTATGAGGATTGAATTAGATCATTTCTGTTATTGTTAGTGTTCTATTTCTAGACCAACACTAATCTGGACAACAAGTGTTGAATCATTTTGCAAAGTAAGGAAATTTTTTTAAGAATAGAATCACTTCCTAAATTTAATAAATTCAGATGGGTTATTTTCCATTGGGTTCTTCTAAAGCATAGTGCACTGGCATATTGGAAGAATCATCAATAAAAAATAGTGACATGATAATCTGCCAAGTCTTTTGTAGAAATATCACTAAAATTGCAATCAAAATATAACACACTGTAAGAGAATTTAATATTTAAAATGTGTTGGTTTCAGGAAAGGTCTAGTGGTCAAAGATAAATGTAAGATAGCAGAAAGAGATTTGCTCTTCTATCCTGTCATTTATTTTGTTGGACGGCTGTTGAAATAGGTTATCAAGCAGTAGGGAAAATGTTTAAAAGTAGGTTTAAAGTAATCTTTTGTAGCAAATTTTAAAGGGAATAGGGAACTGTAAAAGGTCTTAGAAGTTAGCTTATTTTATGTACCAGGGTTGATGGGAAGTTTACAAACAGTCTGACAAAGCAACACTTCCTCTCTCTCAGTTTGGACAGCTTCCAGAGAATGCAGAGATTTAATTTTATAGGAATTCTGGAATTGCCAGTGCCAGGAGCAGGAAAATATAGTAGTCCTCCTCTTATTTGCAGTTTAGCTTTCTGCAGTTTCAGTTACCTGCTGTCAACTATGGTCCAAAAATATTAAATAGAAAATTCCAGAAATAATTCTTAAATAATGTACTGTTCTGAATATTGTTATCATTGTTCTATTATATTATTAGTTGTTAATATCTTACTGTGCTCAATTTATAAATTGAACTTTATTATGGGTATTTATAGGAAAAACAATGTATGTTTAGGATTCCGTACTACCCAGTTTCAGGCATCCATGGAGTGTGGGGGATCTCAAAACGTATTTCCCATGAATGAAGGGGGGCTATTGTAAACCCACCATTGTTCCAACCAGCCTGAATATTTGGGGACTGTAGTTACAATGAAATAATACTTAAGCTATAATTCACCTGTTTTTCTCTATTCATGTTGCTTTTTGGGAATAATATTTATTTTTGATGCTTAGCTATATTACAGTAGTTAAAAGTAAAGAGTTAACATGTTAGATTTTCTTCTTTTTTCATATTTATACATATTCCGTCAATCTGAATATCTTTTTATATGTGATGCAAGGTAGAGGGCTTTGGCTTATATGGTAACAGTTTGACTTTAATGGCTTCCTTTATCAAAACTGGCACATAAGCTGTTAATATGTATGTTAGAAACCCATCTATACTTGAGGTACAGTGGTTACATATAGGCTTGGAAATAAACATAAGCTGTTAATATGTATGTTAGAAACCCATCTATACTTGAGGTACAGTGGTTACATATAGGCTTGGAAATAAATATTAAGTTATGCCGTATCCTGGATAAGATGTGTAAATTGAGAGTGAATAGATTTTTAATTTGTTGTAGACTGTGATTGTGAATCATGCATGAATGAATTAGGCAGAACACTGAGGAAAAAATCTCATGAGATTTTTCTTTCTGCTGCCTTATTTTGCCGTATCTGGAAGGATGAGACTACAGGTTTAAATTATAATACTTTAGAACATAAAGCAACCTATAATTTAGCCCAGTATTCCATATTTACATCTGAGGAAACTGAGCTCCTTGCAGGGCGAGTGATCTAATCAGGATCATGGAGAGGATAGCAACAGCACTGAGAGAAGATACCTCAGATCCTTGAGTCCTAGTCCTCTGCTCCTGCTTGCTACTTAAAAGTGTTCTTGGCTGGGCGTGGTGGCTCACACCTGTAGTCCCAGCACTTTGGGAGACCGAGGCTGGCAAATCACCTGAGGTCGGGAGTTCGAGACCAGCCTGACCAACATGCAGAAACCCCGTCTCTACTAAAAATACAAAATTAGCTGGGCGTGGTGGCACATGCCTGTAATCCCAGCTACTTGGGAGGCTGAGGCAGGAGAATTGCTTGAACCTGGAAGGCGGAGGTTGCGGTGAGCCGAGATCATGCCATTGCCCTCCAGCCTGGGCAACAAGAGTAAAACTCCATCTGAAAAAAAAAAAAAAAAAAAAAAGTGGTTTTTTTTTTTGTTTTTTTTTTTTACCTTTGTCTTTTTCCTGTAAGGTATGCTTTCACCAGTGTGACTCTTTAAAGTTCAAAAGATAAAGGATACCCGTAAATTACTTCATACGATGAGAATTTACAGTAAAAATGCAGTAGGAAGTACAGACACATGGACCTACCATCCCAGCAGCTACAGAGCTAGGCCTCAAAAAGGATGGAATAAACTCGTATACAAATGTTCATAGCAGCATTGCTCATAGTAACTGAAAAGAGGAAAACAATCCAAAGGTCCATCAGCTGAATTTTATTATAAGTAAAATGTGGTATATTCATACAGTGGAATATCATTTAGACATAAAAAGGGATGATGTAGTGATAACATGTTACAACATGGATGACCCGTAAAAACATTATGTTAAGTAAAAGAGAAAAGATACAAAGGCCACATATTGTATAATTCGATTATTAAATATCCAGAATATGCAAATTCATAGAGACAGAAAGTTGCCTGAGGCAGGGAAGATGCTGAGAGAGGGGGTGAGAATGGGGAATAACTGCTAATGGGTAGAGAGTTTCTTTTTGGGTTGATGAAATATTTCAAAATTAGATTAATGTGATGGTTTCACAACTCTGTGAATGTCCAGAAACCTACTAAACTGTACACTTTAAATGGGTGAATTTTATGGTATGTTTATATCTCAGTGAAAGTGTTAAAAATAATCTTTAGAATATTTTGATCACTTAGCTGTCTTGTGCCAGTTCGCAAGTGGCTTTTACCAATCATTACGCCAGTCTTAACACTGCCTTTTTTGTGTGTGTTTTGACTCATTTCTATTTATTTCTCCTTATTTTTCTCCTGCAGTCTTCCTCTCCATCCTTTCCTAAGTTCTTCATTCAGAATTCCCCCAAAATTCCCCCAAAAGAGAATATCCAATTGATTGATTGATGGATTTTTTTAAAAAAATCCATAAGTAGTATACGTCTTCGCTTTCTGGCATACGATATTGATTTCTGTGGTAGATTTTCATGATAAAAAGTTTATTTTTAAATTTATTAAAATAGTAATAAATATTGACGTACAAAAATCAGTAGCTGCCTAACTAGTACAAAAAAACAGCACAAGTTGTGAAGGTAGTAATCAAATGACTGACATTTAGTTCATACGGGTATCTAGGACGGTGAACTTTCAATAAATGATCTTTAGCAGTCTAATTCTCCTTATCATAAACATGAAATTATTGCTTAAATATCTACACAAGGAAACCAAGAATTTGAAGTGTGAGACCACATAACTAGAAATTTGTTGTGCGAGGACTTGATTCCAGATCTTCAATATCCTATACTAAGCCTTTTTCATTAATGGGCACCATTGTCCAGACTGCCAAATGAAAACTTCTTTATCCACCAAAGATCCTGTGTAGAACATACATCAGTAGTGAGTAAATAGTTGTCTTTTACATAGCACTTTTCATAACAATGCAAAGAGAATGAATTTGAAAGGCTTTGTACAGTGTAATAGCAGGTCAGAGTCTGAGTAGAGGGCAATTCAGATGAGCCCTATTAATGGTTTTCTGCTCTATAAAACTTGATACAGCAACTACAGTAAACCACATTCAAGTTATTTATGTATGGGAAATATTCATCTTTTTCTTTTTTAAAAGCTTTTGCTTATTGGACAAGTTAATAATAAATTTGTCATGAATACATAGTTAATGTGACAAAGAATCTTTTAATAGAGGCCAGGCGTGGTGGCCCATGCCTGTAATCCCAGCACTTTGGGAGGCCGAGGCAGGCGGATCACTTGAGGTCAGGAGTTTGAGACCAGCCTGGCCAACATGGTGAAACGCTGTCTCTACTCAAAATACAAAAATTAGTCAGGTGTGGTGGCACATGCGTGTAATCCCAGCCATTCAGGAGGCTGAGACAGGAGAATCGTTTGAACCCAGGAGGTAGAGGTTGCAGTGAGCCAAGATTGTGCCACTGCACTCCAGTCTGGGTGACAGAAGGAGACTCTGTCTCAAAAAAAAAAAGAATCTTTTAATAGAAAAAAATACTTTTCATTCTATAGACTGGACTCTTGTGGATAATTGTGTGTGTATATATATGTGTGTGTATGTGTGTATATATATATATGTGTATGTGTGTGTGTGTGTGTGTGTGTGTGTATATATATATATATATATATATATTTTTTTTTTTTTTTTTTTTTTTTTTTTTTTGAGACAGAGTCTTGCTCTGTTGCCAGGCTGGAGCGCAGTGGTGCAATCTCGGCTCACTGCAACCTGCACCTCCTGGGTTCAAGCGATTCCCCTGCCTCAGCCTCCTGAGTAGCTGAGACTACAGGCACATGCCACCATGCCTGGCTAGTTTTTTGTATTTTAGTAGAGACGGGGTTTCACCATGTTGGCCAGGATGGTCTCAATCTCCTGACCTCGTGATCTGCCTGCCTCTGCCTCCCAAAGTGCTGGGATTACAGGCGTGAGCCACTGAACCTGGCTGATAATTATATTTTCTAAGACAGTTTACTTTAGCTTGTGAGCTATTTTTGTGACTTTTTCATTAAGAAAACTGCCTTGATTCTCTTGTACATTGCAAAGCCCAGTCATAAGGATTGGGCAAGCTGATAGGGCTATATTAATATCAGACAAAGTAAGCGTCAGAATAACAAGCATTATCGGTAATAAAGAGGGGTATAATGATAAAAGTCTGTCAAGAAGAAACAGTAGTCCTAAATATTTGTGCACCTAATAAGAGAGCTTCAAAATACAGGAAGCAAAGCTGACAAAATAGGAGAAATTTTAAAAATTCACCCTATGATAGTAAACACAACCTATCAGAATTTATTAGATGAATCTAAAGCTGTGCCTACAGAGAAATTTATAGCTCTAAATGCTTATGTTAGAACAGAAAGAAAAATGTTGAAAATCAGTATTTCCTCTACCTTAAGAAGATAAAAAAAGTGAAAATTGAATCCAAAGTAAATATAAAAGGAAATAGTAAACATAAGAGTAGAAATCAGCGAGATAGAAAACAGACAATAGAGAAAAGTCTTTGAAAATAGAAGTCTCTGAGAACATCAAAAAACAGATAAACTCCTAGCTACATGAAGAAAAAAACATAAATTATGAGTGTGTGTTTGAGAATGCTAACTCTGGATTTAGAGTCTTTGTTTGAATCATGAAAGGTAATTTTACCATATTTGTGACCTTAGACAAATTATTTAATCTCTTAGTGCATCATTTTTCTTATCTGTGAAGAAGAGGTAATAATACCTACCTCATAGTATTGTTGTGGAGTTTAAATGATTTAATGATGTCAGGTGCCTGGGAAGTGTATGATGTCACTGTATGATGACAGTGTATGAGGACAGTGTTCATAGTTGTTATTTTTATTATTATTTATTTATTTTGAGACGGATTCTCACTCAGTCTCCTAGGCTGGAGTTTGGTGGCACGATCTCAGCTCACTGCAACCTCCACCTCCCAGGTTCAAGCAACCCTCCTGCCTCAGCCTCCTGAGTAGCTAGGATTACAGACACACGCCACTGCACCCAGCTAATTTTTGTGTTTTTAGTGGAGACGGGGTTTCACCATGTTGGTCAGGCTGGTCTCGAACTCCTGACCTCATGATCTGCCCGTCTTGGCCTCACAAAGTGCTGGGATTACAGGCGTCAGCCACTGTGCCCAGCCCATAGTTATTTTTTATTATTAATAATATTGGTTTTGGAGGGAAAACAGCATTATTCAAGTCAGGTACACAGTGGAAGTCAGAATTTTCAGAACTCATGATCTCTTGTATCAATATAATTTTTTTTAGGCAAGCTTTTTCCATTTTTTCTCCTCGCATCGTCTCTTCCCCCTTTTTAAAAAATGAACTAAATTGCAGAGATATTTAAACTTTAGAAATTATTATGGAATCCTTCAAAACACTTTGAAGTCAGTACAGAAAAGATATACAGTACCTATTTTATCCTGATTTCCCTCAGTGGTTTTTAGTGTGTATCTTTTATTCTAAATTCCAGGCTTCTCCCTTAGAGGATAGGCATAGTCAGTGTCCTTAATCCTTACATCGCTAACACTGTTCTTCATATCTTTTGGGGGAACCCTTAATTATCAATCCCAGAACATTCTGTAAATCTTCATTAGGAAATTCCTTCTGAACTTTTGCTGAAAAGTAGTTACTGTGCACTGTGTGTATAGCAGCTGTTTGCCTAAGTTAAAAAAAAATTGACCGTTTTAATTTGTTTTAAAAATATCCACTGGCACTGGTTCTCATTACAGATGTGTGGTTGTAACATTTCATTTTTTAAATGTGTATCCATCTTTTTTCAGTTCTAAAGGAGTCCAAAGAAACCATCTAAAACCTTAAAAATAACCACTAAACCTACAATGTTTTTGGGTTTTAAAAATTCTCAAGGGAGGACATTTTTTATCTTGGACTTAAGCTTCATACAGGGTGGCCCATTTAAAAGAGGCCCTGTACACAGCCACATTATTAAATGGGAACTGTTTTAAATGGGCCACCCTGTAAATCAGAGGTTTTTTTCCAATGGGTATTTACTTCTTTGCACACTTCTGAGTTTAGTGCAAGTTTTCAGTTACTGTGCTTGATAGGCAGCCCTGAAATTTAAATTTGGGCATCCAGGTGACATTGAAATGCACAAATCTGAGTTCAGAGACATGCAGAAGCTTGTTGGTTCATATTTTAAGAGATCATGTTTGGGTCTCAGAAAATTTGGGCAACATTCTATGTGAATCTCCTTTTTCAAAACTTCTGAAAAAAAATGGATGGGATACGAATAACTGAAAATGGAAACTTTTAGTGTAAAGAGTAATACAATTTTGGACTTTCTTTTATTGGAAGTCTTTTAAAACCAGAAAGATTTTTTTTTTTTTGGTAATAGTTTAAGGTCAATAGTTCTTTATATTTTTAATGCAGTATTTCAAACACATACTATTGTGTTCAGTTACCTGAAAAATAAATCACTGCTAGAAATGAGAGTTTACTGAAGCCATAATCTGATCCAGGTTTTGCTGAAGCCCACCTCAAAATTTGTAGGACACAGAGCAAGAGTGTAAGTGGAGACCCATGTACCATATTATCATCATAACTATCCCTGAAATCACAAATCAAAACAGGAAGAGATGCAAGAAAGTGGATACGTTGCACTATTGAAAATGGTACTTTAGAATGCAAGAATCTTTTGCATCCATACTCTATGAGAGGAAGATTTAAGACCCCATGCATTTCTACCACTTAATTTTCCCCATTCCACAGTAGTGTGCATTTGCCATCAATAGTAATACAACCCAAAAACCAAACAAAATTTGGTTCAAAGTATTGTAGAAAAAAAATGTTTGGTAGTCATATCATGCATAGAAAGTCAATTTAATTTTAACATGACAATTATAATTCATGGTTTATTTTGGACTTAAAATTTTGTTCATTAAATGATGACATGTTATTTGATTACTATAGTGATAGAATTACAAAGTGAAAAACACGCCTAATACGTTGATAAGTTTGTGTATTTGTTTCCTAGGGCTTCTATAACAAAGTACCAAAAACTGGGTGACTTAAAGCAACAGAAACTTACTGCCCATAGTTGAGGTTGTTAGACATCCACAATCAAGTGTCTTGTTCTCTGAAGGCTCTAGAGGAGAATCCTTCCTTGTCTCTCCTAGCTTTACGTGTTTGCCAGCAATCCTTGGTGTTTCGTGGCTTTTAGATTCATCACTCCAGTCACATTACTGTCTTCTTCCTCCGTCTTCATATTGCCTTCCCTCTGTGTGTGTCTGTCTCTGTGCAAATTTCCACTTTTTGTAAGGATACCAGTCCTATTCGTCTAGAGCCTACCCTAATGACCTTGTTTTAACTTCATTATCTCTGTAAAGACCCTATTTCTAAATAAGGTCATATTCTGAGGTACTAGGGGTTAGGATTTTTATACATTGTTTTTGGAAGGACACAATTCAACCTATAACAGTTTTTTTATTATTATTTTAAACATGAATATTCAATATTTTAAAAATTGGTAAGCTGTACAGTTTAAAAATAGTATAATTTTTCTTTCTTTTTTTTTTTTTGAGATGGAGTCTCTGTTAGCCTGGAGTGCAGTGCTGCAATCTCAGCTTGCTGCAACCTCCGCGTCCCGGGTTCAAGGGATTCTCCTGCCTCAGCCTTCCAAGCAGCTGGGATTACAGGCATGCACCACCATGCCCAGCTAATTTTTGTATTTTTAGTAGAGGGGGGGGTTTCACCATATTGGCCAGGCTGGTCTTGAACGCCTGACCTCAAGTAATTCACCTGCCTCGGCCTCCCAAAGTGCTGGGATTACAGGCCTGAGCCCACTGTGCTCAGCCAGTACAATTTTTCAACTGTACTTTTACAATTTAAATAAGAACATGAAGTTGATTGCTTGTTTTCCATATATTTTGACAAATTAGTGTTTTTTTTTAACAGTGGAACAGTTTTCTTGCAGTTACTAAATAATATAATAGCTACAGTAAATGAGTTATCATCATCCTTACATTAACTCAAGCTCTTACTCAAATACTTCTTTAAAAGAAGTTCTTGATTATTTGAATATATTTTCCTTTCTCTCCTCTCTGAACAGTGGCAATTATGGTCAGCTACTAGTCACTCTTAATTCATATTATTTGATACTGGTGTTTGATTATACCAGGGATTGGCAAACTGTGGCTTGAAGGCGAAATCAACATAGCTCCCTGTTTTTGTTCAGCAGCCTGTGTAACCACGAATATTTTTTACATTTTTAAATGGTTGGGGAAAAAAACAAAAGATGAGTAGTATTTCATGAGATGTAGCACTTACATGAGATGAAATTATGTGAGATGCAGAATTCAGATTGCAGTGACCATTCATAAGTTTTAGTGCAGCATAGCTATACACATTCATTCATCTATGGACTGTCATTGGTGACTTTGGTATTGTGATGGCCATTGTGCAAAAGAGACCTTATAGCCCACAAAGTTGAAGATATTTACTGTCTGACCTTTTCCAGAAAATATTTGCTGACCCTTGGATTACACCTATAGTTTTTTCCCCAACCTGTTACACTTCACCACACAGGTTAAAATAGATTATATATATATAATCTTTGTTTTATTTTTTGTAATAGTACAAATTTTTAATTGTACTTTAAAAAAATTGTACAATTTAGTGGCTGAGTGCAGTGGCTCACAGCTATAATCCCAGCACTATGGGAGGCCTAGGTGGGAGGATCACTTGAGACCAGAGGGTGGAGGCTTCAGTGAGCCATGATCACACCACTGCACTCCAGTCTGGGTGACAAAGCGAGACCCTATCTGGGGAAAAAAAAAAAAAAGAAATAAATGATACAATTTAAAATTCACACTTAAAAAAATTGATGATTTTTGTATTGTCATAGTAGAATTTTAATTAAATTAGACTGACTGAAAGAGAGTTTCATGTGTGCTTATTTGTATCTCATTTACCAGTGTGGTATGTACTAATTTTGGAGTTCACAAGGACTTGGTGTTTACATTTGCATTCCTCAGCCTTCAGGAGAGGACTTTCATCTTGGTTGATGTTCAGTGAATATTGTTAAAGTGAATTAAGTTTATATGTAAATTAAGATGGTTATGTATATATGTGGTAGAATTTTAAATCAGAAAACCCAATAAAGAAAATAGGACTATATTTATTTAGTATTCCACTTAAGTGTCAGCTTTTGGACCTAGCTTCCATTAAGTAATAGGGTATTAGAATATTTACCTGTTGTAAAGAAATTTACCCCAGGTTCTCAAACATGTTAATGATGAAGCTGAAAATAGAACATGTAGACTCTAAATGTCCACCTTTCATTTTCAGTGTACAATCCAAAATGAAAGAGTCTAGCAATTTGTGGATGATTATTCTTGTTCATGGGGTCTGCAAGCACAGTTTTCAGTATGATATAAACTTAGAAAATAGACATGAAGTGCCTCTCGTTTAATTTGATATATCTTCTAATATGAATTCTCTTCAACAATACTCCCAAAATTTTTTTTTAATTAGAAACAAAATGTCATGGAAGTAGGAGCAATTCTGTCTTCTATTTTTGGTGTTTTAATGGTGTATATGGTGATTTATCCTTAAAGGTTAACTTTGTTATGAAGTCATTGGAATAAAGTTAGTTACCAAAATAAAATTAATGATGGTGGGTTTAGTATTCTTTCAAAGTCTGTTGTTTTGTTTTGCTAGCAAATAGCTTAAAGAGACATTTTAAACATCAATATTTTATTTAAAAACCTTTTTTCTTAATCCTTAGGTACTGTGAAATTATTCCTAAGTTTTTGAGAAAGTGTATTAGGGTTTTATTAGGGTTTTAACTATATAAAGTATGTGTGATTTTAAGAAAATTTAAGTAGTTATACTGAATTGAATCAATATTTTTTTGTTATGGATTATTCTTATAACATGTACTAAAAGTGCTACAGACAGCCTTGTTACTTTTCCACTCCCTTGCCAAACCCTTGCTCCCAACCCCAACCCCATATCTGGAATAGATTATTGTAGGCTCTAGCATTTTACAGCGTAATAAAGGTGACACCTGTGTGAAAATATAGTTATGGTAAATAGATTAATTTTGCATTTTCTTTTTTAAAGTTAATATATGTAGAAAATACAATTTGTTCATTTTTAATTTTTCTTTTTTTTTTGTTTTTAAATGAAAGATATCTTTCACTTAACTTTCTTTACTCAGAGTTTTAAAGAACACATCTGGCTAGGTGCGGTGGCTCACGCCTGTAATCCCAGCACTTTGGGAGGCTGAGGCGGGTGGATCATGAGGTCAGGAGTTTGAGACCAGCCTGGCCAACATGGTGAAACCCCGTCTCTACTAAAAAAACACAAAAATTAGCTGGGCGTGGTGGCGGGTGCCTGTAATCCCAGCTACTCAGGAGACTGAGGCAGGAGAATTGTTTGAAGCTGGGAGGCGGAGATTGCAGTGAGCCAAGATCACGCCACCGCACTCCAGCCTAGGCAACAAGAGCGAATCTTCGTCTCAAAAACAAAAACAAAAACAAAAAAACCCAAAAAAAATCTATAAGTAGAAATGAGTTATGTGAGTTTAGTGAAGAATTGAATACTGCATTATGAACAGGTTAATTTAAAATGTTAAATATTGTTTTGAGTCATTCAACTGTGAAAGATATACTTAGATAATCCACCCCCCCCCCCACATAATTTCATAGGGTTTTGAAATCTTTGGAATGTGGGGGAAAGGGAAACTCCTGCAACTGAGAAAACCCAGATTTAGTAATCTAATATTCTAATTCCTTGTCAATACTCAGGAAGTCAAATTGTTTACATTTGTTTGAATCCTGGAAACCTCTGGTCCCCAGGACATACAGAGCATCACAATTTCCTTCTTTCCTCTCAGAGTTGCCCAAGCATTCTCTCTCTAGAAAAAAATGGGACGTTCTCCAAGGGCTTTGAGATAGGAAATTTGTTCACCATAAGAGAAGCTCTAATTTTTACTCCTATAGGATCTAGAGGTTATGGAAATCAGAGATCCTGGTTGTGGAGAGTTTCTGGGCCAAGATTTTTGTGGAATTTTTCTGTTTATCAAACTCTCTGGAAACAGTATATGAATGGTATTGGTGTCTTTATGCTGCAAGGAATATTTCCCTCTGAATATAATAATAATTACATACCTAGATAATCAACCTGTTCCAAAGTATCAATTTTAATCTCTGTGTAATATTTGTATTATAATCTATTAATAGTATGATGAAGTTAACCTATACTTATTATTGTTCTAATATTATTGTTCTAATATTGTTCAAATTTTAGCCTTGGGAAATTTTTGCATTGTTTAGTACAATTATTCCTGAACTTTATCTCAGAACCTGAGAAATTTCTATGTGATTTATGCATAAAGACACTATGGAGTTCCCCAGGTTTGTAGCTTTAATATTTACCCTTAATTCTTGAAACCTAAAAGCAAGATAAATTTCATGTGGCAAACAGCTATTTGCATGAATAGAGGAAGCCAGTTATTTGCTTTTGACTTGGAAGAATTTGTTCAGCCTTTTAATAGATTCCTTTTTTTGGTTATTGATATAGACATCATTTGTTGTTCAACTTCTTTAGTTTTCCTCTTAATCTTCTGAATTCAACTATTGTGGCATTTATATATTGGTTTGCATTTCTGCATGTACCACACTGGTTGTCAAAAAGTTATTTCCAATTTTATCAAAGTATCATCATCATCCTACTCCAGTCACCCTAACTTGGATATATGCTTATATAGTCTTTTTTTTTTTTTTTTTTTTTTTTAGACAAGGTCTCACACTGTTACCCAGACTGGATTTAAACTCTTGTGCTCAAGTGACCCTCCCTCCTCGACCTCCCAAAATCCTGGGATTATAAACAGAAGCCACCATGCCTAGCCTATATAGTCTTTTCACTTTTAAAATTTTCTTTATTGTGGTGGAAACTGAAATAAATTACTTCCGAAGTCTCTTCAGTTTCTATGAAAGACAATATTATAGAGCAGTTAGAGGGTTTTTGTTTGTTTGTTTTTTGTTTTTTTTAGTTTGCAGTCAGACTGATGGGATTTGGAATCTCGTTTCTGCCACTTATTAACTATGTTACTTGGGTAATTTAGTTAACCTCTTCAAGTCTTGAAGTAGCAATAGTAATAGTACTTACCTTTTAGAGTCATTTTGACATTTGAATCAGTTCAGTGGTGTCTAGCAAACAGTAAATCCTCAGTATGTATTATGGATATAATCGACTCATTGTCATTTTGTCATAACTATCATTATTAAACAGATTCTAAATTGTATATATTTTCAGACTCATTTTTTTCCTTTTCTTTTTTAAAAGTATTTGCTGCCTTTAAAAAAAATAAATCATTAATCTGGTTCCTTTTTGAATATTTTTTACTTGGCCCCAAATGCATACCAAGTTTAATGAAATTTCAAACATTTTTCCTTCTACATGTGAAAATCTTAAGTTTTCTAGGAATACACCCTTTGATTCTCTGCCCTGGCATCTTTTACTGCATAACCTAATTCCACTCTTTATTTGGTCCAAAGTGCTGCAATTATTGACTCTTTCCTGTTAACATTATGCCCACAAATCACATGAATTTGTGGCCATCTGTGCTCATCCAACAGGCAGCTATATACATATAATAAGCATATATTAAAGCCTATATGCTTAAGGTTTTAATCTGCTCTAACAGTATCTAGTTTGTGTGCCCACTGAACTTTCACAACATAGGGAAGGCTCCTTGTGGTCTGAGATAATAGTGGAATCAGTTGGGAGGTGAATCCGTCCTCATACCTTCTCTTCCCTAGACATACATTGAGTGCCCACATACAACTGGCATCTTCTTAGGTGCTCAGAATACAAATTTAAATAACAGGTGATTATTTTCCTCTAAATGCATAGGGGAGAATAGAGACAAATTAGTTCATGTAAAAGTATGACTATGTAACTACATAACTATACAACTATGTAACTATACTATGAGGAGGTTGTGAAGAGTGCTATGGAAGCATCTAGGAGTGGGATTTGTTATTTATTGCCACAATAATGCTGCATAACAAAACATTGTGAAACCTCAGCATTTATGATTATATGTCTATGACAGTAGATTAGACAACCCCACCAATCTCAGCTGTGCTCTGTTATCTATCTGAGGGTCAGCTGACTGCCAGCTGATCTATGATAACTCAACTACGATAACTGGGGTGACTGAGCTCTGCTTCATGTATCTCTAATTTTCCAGCAGATTAGCCTTGTCATACTTTCATGGCAGTGGCAGAGTGCAAGAGTGCAAGTTGAAATGCTTAAGCACTTCTTAGCCTCTGCTGCTAATAATATCCCATTGGCCAAAGAACATAACAGGGTTGAGCTCAGGGTTATAGTGCAGGGCTACTTAAAGTTACTTGGCAATGGGAATGAATATAATATGAGGTGAAAGGTGAGTTAGGGCAATCAGTGCAATATGCCTTAGAGCAGCAAATGAGTATTATGGAAAATTTCCCAAGGGTCGTACCCCTCGAACTAAGTTTGGAAGGCATTGGCTGAATGGAAGAAGAAACAAAGACTTATTTGACAGAGAAAATATCATGTACAAAAGTGAGAAGACCTGAAACCTATTGTGTGGTCAGCTGTCCATAGGGAGTTTGATATTTTAGGAACAAATGGTGCATGGCTAGAAATAAGGGTGGAACCAGAGAGAAGCCAGATGTCAAAGACTTTTATATAATAAACAGAGGAGTTTGAAAGTTGTAGGATTCTGTGAAGGCTCTAAGCTAGGGTCTTAATTACTGTTTTATTGATATTAACTATTATAAATAATTAATTGCCTGGTATTGCCTATTAATATTTTTATTTGCTACCACAGAGCTTGTACCTATGAAGATCTTAATCGTGTACAGGGTGGTAGTAGGTAGATACAGAGATGTATGTTTTCACTAATATTTTCAGTATACTTAAAGACTTTATATGTTCATTGTAAGCTTCTACAAGTACATACTGATCTTTTCATAGTAAAATTTAAAGGTTAATATGAGTTTCAGTGTTAATAGTGTATATAAATATCTATAAAGGGTTATTATTTATGCATGCCAAATTTTTAAGTTATAGACTTTATACTAAAGTAAAAGATCATTTAATGTATGCTATGTGTTTATTCTCAGTAGAGTTGTGTCTTAATGTCTTTCTCATGTCATCACTTTTTTATCCATGTTCTAGAGAACAAACTGAAAACACATTTCTTCTGGGCATACTAAATTTCATTTTTATTTGAGGAATACAGTATTGTTGAGACTAGAGATGAACTTTTTCTTAATGTTCTTAAAAGTGACTGATCACTATAAGACAATTGTCTTATATACTTCCTGATTCAAGCGAAAGCCCTTTGTGAAGAAACTAATGGAATATATTATGTAGTACAACTGGAATATATTATGTGTTCTCCTACTGGCAGTCACAGATATTTACACAATTAATTTTCAAGTTGCATTATTTCCATATTTTTTAATTTATAGTTTTATTCATATTCTGAGAGCAAAGCCATTGTTTTTGGTGACAAATTAGATTATGTACAATAGTGGTATTAATTATTGCCAGGTGGTTTTTCTAGAATGCTTTGTAAGGAAGTGTAATAAAGTTGTAATTTTGGCATGAGTTTGCTTCATTTTTTAAAATGTTGGGTGAAGGAGATTCTAGTCATTATACCCTGATGAACTTGACATCAATCTCAAGAAAAATTTTGGAATCTATAATTATTAGGAACTTGCATGAGCTCACAATTGATATCAGTATAAAATAATTTTACTTTCATTAAGGTAATGTCACAGTTTTAGAGTAAAAATTTAAATGAGATGTTTGATGTCATCTGTGCTGATGTTCTGCTGGATGAGATGGAGAGTTATATTTCAGACAAAGACAGCTTGAAACCTGGATCAACTCTTCCCAGCCCACAAAGTGTTGATTATTGGATCTGTTGTTTCAAGGATATCTCTTTGCTACAGGGCTTTATAATTGGCCTATGACTTGTTCAACACTTAGAGGTTTGCATTCCTTTGGTTTGTTTACTAAAAGTTTTATAACTTTTTTTTTAATGAAAACTTGGGTAGGACCTAAATATATAAATCAAATAAATGCCAAACTACTCTGATTCAAGTGAGAATTGAAAGTGGTAGTAGTTTTGGAAAGTCTTTTCAAAGATATGCTATTTACATTGAGACCAAAATGATAAGAAATAGGAAGTCTTTAACCTTGAAGAAGCCTAGAGAGGATGTATGGTTTCTTCAAGTAGATTAGTGGTTGTCTTTGGCTGAGGATGGGAAATAGGACTGACTGTAAATGGGCATGAGACATTGTTTTGGAATGATGGAAATGTTCTGAAACTAGATTGTGGTGATGATGGTAAAACCCTGTAAATTTACTAAAAGTTATTGAATTGTACACTTTTAAACAACTGGATTTTATGGTATGTAAATGATATCTCAATAAAGCTGTTTAAAACAGATGCTGTTTAGCAAAAACAAAACAAAACCAGACCTTTAAAGTAAGCTTTCTTCATACTTTTGAAGACCTGTCATGTAAAAGGATTTGTCATTTCATCAGTTCCAGGGGACAAAGCTAATCCCAGCATATGGAAATTAATTTTTAAAAACCCAGAATTTCACTTACTGGAACAAATATCTCTCCAAGATGCAGAGGGACAGGCATAGTGATAGTGTGTTGCAGGGTCTTTAAGAGGTTTAAATGACATATATAAATATACCTGGCACTTAATACATGCTTACTGTTTAAAGAAAAATTAATACAGATAAAGATACAAGTGTATGTGTGTATAATTTTTAAGAGAGAGAGAGAAACGTGCGCAGTTGTGCTAAAATGTTAATAATTGGTGATTCTAGGTGAAGGATTTACAGGTGTTCATTCCACTGTTATTTCAGCTTTTCTGTTGGTTAGGAATCTTTCAAAATAAAATGTGAGAAGAAGGAGAGGAAGGGAGGCTAGGCTGACTAGTTTGTGAGGGCAAACTTCCTTAAATGCTGTGAAAAATAACGAGCCTGTCATTCAGTATCTGAAATAAAAACAGAAAACTTGATTTATTTCTTCTTATCATAAAGGAGAGATACATGCCGGTCAAGCACAGTTTGTTAGCAAGGAAGGCTGCTGATCTTTTGGGTTTTCAGGAAGCATTGAGTTCAGGGATTGGTCGTGTTCTGGAGTTGACATAATCTATAATAAGAGAGATGAGAATGTTGTTGATTGGTTGGCACTCAAGGGTGTGTTTACTGGAATGAGTCTGTTCCTGGTTCTGGTGGCTGTTTATTGCCATGGCTACAGAAAATCAGTCATGTCTTTAAGTTTGTGGGAACTTTGAAAATTCTCAGCTAGTATAATATTCAGTGCCTGACATGATGTAGACCCAGTATTCAATAAATATTCGTTGAATGTAAGTGCATTTTTAAAAAGCTCACAATGTTTGCCATTATCACCACCATCATCATGTCATTGTTAGAAACTGAAGAACTTGGCTTTGGAGTTCTAAAATCTTAGGTTGCATTTTATTTGGAATCCTCTCACTAAAGTCCTTAAGTTATTTTGGAAGTTGTTTTGTTTGTTTGTTTAAATCAGTGTTTCCTAATTTTTTTTCAATGCTATGTAACTCCATGGGCTTAGAAAAGGATTATATACACAGTAAATACGTTTAAAATCAAGAGTTTCTTTTCTTCAGAACCTCTCAGAGTGTTTAGTATGGTAACATGTATTGCAAATCTAGAAAAGAATAAAATATGTCATTTTCCAAGCTCATTTAACTACAAAATACTTTTTCTTCTGGACACTGTCAATCTGAAAAATGTTGTTGCAGTATGCCATATTTATATCCATTTTATATTGATAATTTTCTAAAGATCTGATGGTACAAAATTCTCTTATCTCTGTGACTATCTCATACCAAGTAATCTTGACGCTTACTGTTGCTGACTCCCCGGGTAAATGTCTTAACTTTCTTGACTCTCTCTGATTCCATGTTTATGTAACATGGGAGAAACTTTCCTGTTTGCATGCTTTACAGTTTGCTTTAAATGATAGGTGAGAAAAGTCCTCTATGACTATGAGGTGTTATTGTGATTACAGTGTATCTGTTTTCAATGTTATAGGAAGTTAGTTTTTTGACTAAATTTCAGTCAATCTAAGATAGTAAAGTCCATTAAATGTTTTGGAGGCTTAATAGATGTTCATTTAGCGTGTTGTTGTACAATGAGTTCTGGATGAGGTAAAAGTCCTAGTTTTACTTCTAACTGGACTTATGACCTTGAGATGGCTATTTAACCTCTTGGGCTTTCATTTTTCATCTGTTTAAAACTGAATGAAAGGACTACGTAATCTTTTAGATTATTTTTTGACCTAACATTCAATGATTGCTATATAGATCTTTCCTGTTCCTCAAATAGGGACGGTTTATAATAATTTGCTTTATGCTGCTATCTATTAAGAGTTTGAAGATGGGAATATTTGCTTCTTAGAAATGTAGGATATATGAGGAAAAATGCCCTGTAAATTGTTAGAAGAAATTCATAAAGATATTCTGCTAGTTTTGTAAACTTTCTCAGATGCACATTTTCATGCACTGTAGATGAGTTTTATTTTATGAGCTTTCTTATAAATATTTATGGATGAGCTTTCTTATGTAAATCTTGATTTTTAAAAAAATTTTCTGATTTATATATTTTTTCTATTTAAAGCTATTTCTTTCACACATCAGATCTTAATAAATACATGTTTTAATATTTCACACTGCCCATTGCATACATTTCGTGATTCTGTTCTAAGTTTTTTTCTCTCATCTTTCTAACATACAAATTATTTATTTAGTAATTCATTAGTTATATTGTTTATTGTCCTTTCCTCATCGGAATGTAAACTTGACTCATTTTTTTGTCTGTTTTGTTCACTGATATGTTCCAAGGAACCAGAACAGTGCCTGGCACATACCAGGCAATCAGTCAATATTTGTTGATTGAGTGATTAATACTTGTAGGTATTATGTGTTTACCTTTTCAAAATTTTATACTGTTTTATCTTTTATTTTAAACATATATGTATATTAGTATATTTGTATTTTTTTACGTCAGCATTATTTATTTTATATCATAAATAATTTAATTTTGCTTTTTATATATCTTCACATATTTATATTTATTTCATGGTGTTTTGTAAAATTCTAAAAGTTTTCTCAAAGTTCAGTTAAATTATATGAATGTTTACTATCAGAAGGGGAATGGGGAAATGGTTGTTGAGAAATCAAGCAAGCAATGAGAAAAATCATCACTGCTAGGAAATCTGTTGTCTTAGATGTTTATTTGATTTTTTTTTTTTTTTTTTTTGATGGAGTCTTGCTCTGTCGCCCAGGCTGGAGTGCAATGGCTCAATCTCGGCTCACCGCAACCTCTGCCTCCCAGGCTCAGGCGACTCTCCTGCCTCAACCTCCCAAGTAGCTGGGGTTACAGGCATGCGCCACCATGCCATGCCTAGCTAATTTTGTATTTTTAGTAGAGATGGGGTTTCACCATGTTGGCCAGTCTGGTCTGGAACTCCTGACCTCAGGTGATCTACCCACCTTGGCCTCCCAAAGTGCTGGGGTTGAGCCACCACGCCCAGCCTTATTTGATATTTTGATTTACCTATCACTTGGGGTTTCTTAGAGCTATTGTTAATAAAATTCATTTCTTCCTTTGAAAACAGGTGGGTAAAATCATAGATTTGTGAAAGAGCTGTTAAAATTTGAAGAGCAAGGCTAATTTGTAGTGTTTATAACTTTCCAATTGCATTAAATGACTGATCACGGCCAAACTTCTGCACTTTTATTCCCCACTTTGGATAGTGGACAAATCAGTGTCAACAGATATTGGGTAAGAATGACATAAACAACAGTATGATGTCTGTGTTCACATACATCATCTAGTACTAGTTTAGCTGACTAAAGTGTATGGTAGGGCTGTAGCCTGGTATTCACTCTAATTCCATTTAGGAGAAATTCTTGGGTATTATAGTAATACCTAGTCTATAAAAGTGTAATCAAAAAATGCTTTGAACGGAAAAAAAAAAAACCTTTCTTTTGGGGACAGCAAGTTACCCAGAGCCTTCTTAAACCAAGCAATAGTCACACAGTGTCCATTCTAAAGTAATGTCAATTACCTGGGGTAGGAAAACATCCAAAAAAACCAGAACTAATTAAAAAAAAAAAAAAAAGTGACTAGCTCCCAAGACCACAGCAATTACTTAACCAGAGTATCCAGAATGATTTAACCACATTAGAGTCTGTAGCCAGTGGGAAGTATTGAAAGCAACTCAGCATCCAAGAAGATGTACACATGGCAGTAAAGAAACATCTCTTTATCCTTTCTTTATGTTTGGTTTCTAGATGCTTTATGAGTAGATCTGCTTGTAGGCCTTGTATGCTTGGTGACTGGCCCAGCAGGCTGTCCACAGATCATCACCAAACTTATCCCCTTTGCTTCTTTTTCAGAATCTCTTTAATTAAAACTTAATCAGCCCTTCCCCTCTGTTAGAAACTTAATCAGCACTTCCCCTCTAAATCAGCCCTTCTCCTCTGTTAGAAACTTAATCAGTCCTTCCCCTCTGTTAGAAACTTAATCAGTCCTTCCCCTCTATTCTTAATCAGGGCTTGGAAATTTAAAAACAAGTATTTTAGACTCAAAGTTAGGCCTGTTAAATTCTTTTAATTGAAAAAGAATAATGTAAAATTCCGTGATAATATGTTCAACACCCCCCACCTTTTTTTTTAAATTTAAGGAACAATGACATGTTTCTTAGAAATTATTTCCACATATAAGGCCAGGGATAAACTATAGCTTTCTTTTCCTTCCTCTAATTATTTTTATTTATTTATTTCGTTCTGTTACTCATTTTTAACATGTTTTTCTTTTTCTTAATTTCATGATTTTCCCACAGTTTACTCTGTGCAATTTGATTTTCTCATAACAGTGTTGCCCCATTCTTGAAGACAGTCTTTAAGATTTACGAATTATAGTTGAATCAGATATATTTGATTCAAAATAAAGTTTCTGAAAAGGTTTCTTTAAAATTATCTAATCTAGTCCCCTCCTTTTACTGCTGAGAAACTGAGGTGCCAGGAGAAGTTACCTGCTCATTGCAGTACTTCTTAATAGCATAGTGGGAACTAGAACCAGATCCTCTAACTTCCAGGATATTTTCATGGTTACTGACTTTTCCTACTTTGTAGCTGACGGCCAGAATATAGTATGACTTCTAGCAGCATTATTGTAATCTTTTTAGTTGGATACAAGCCCTGTGAACTTCATCCATTTTTCTGAGCTCAAATCTCTGGCTGGTCATTTAGTTTGGTGCTATTTCTTTCCCTGAGTGGGGGTGGGGGGGCCGTGACTACAGTGAGATGTCAGCTGGGCACCTACTCATCCACTGACTCTCATGAACTTCATCCTCAACATCAGAGAATAGAAAAGCATTATCTTCAGATGAAGGAATAAATTTCCCATATGCTATTTGTTTCTGTTTTGAGACTTTAGAACTGAAATAATAAGGGTAATTGTTTGAAAGGAAAAATACAAGTTTTATTTATTGTTAATTCATTCCCTTAACAAATGAAACTGTTTTCTTGCTTGTTTTTTTTGCGGGGGGGAGGGAGGGGGGAATGTATGCCATGACCTTCTAGTACTAATTAGACTGATTTACTTGGTAGGGAACACTTTGGAAAACCCCTCAATCCCAGGCAAACTAGGGTGATTGGTCATGCTGATAACAATAATGTATATATGTTAGTGAATGCAAAAAGATTTTCTAACACCAATAAATAAAATATATTTTTAAAAATACCATTTTGGCTGGGGGCAGTGGATCAAGCCTATAATCATAGCACTTTGGGAGGCTGAGGTGGGCAGATCACGAGGTCAGGAGTTCGAGACCAGCCTGGCCAACATGGTGAAACCCTGTCTCTACTAAAAATACAAAAACTAGCTGGGCATGGTGGCGGGCGCCTGTAATCCCAGCTACTCAGGAGGCTGAGGCAGGACAGTTGCTTGAAGCCGGGAGGTGGAGGTTGCAGTGAGCGAAGGTCGCGCCACTGCACTCCAGCCTGGGTGACAGAGTGAGACTCTGTCTCAAAAAAAAAAAAAAAAAGTATCGTTTGTTTTATTTCTTACCTCCTTTGATATTTCTCTTTTGTGTTTATTTTATGCTGTTTTGTTATTATATTAATTTGTATAACTTGAAAAGAAATACACACACACATATGTACACACATTACATATACTTTCTCAAAAAGTATTTATTTTCCCCTTACAGTTTATGCCATTAAAAGAGTTTGGAGTTGACTGCCTTTCACAGCTGGGGATATGTAGATGTGAGGAGAATAGGTCAATTGATACATCATCAAATACATGCATTTACATAGGGTCCAGAGGTTAGCAAAAGATTTTAGCAAATGAAATGATGCTTTAGAATTTATAGAGAGATTAAAAGAGTATTGCTATATTTGGGTAGCATCTTGGCATAGATTACTAACCAAAGATGTCACATGTGGATTCAACATAAGATAGTAAAGCTCCTTCATTTTTAAGAAATCTTTCTCCTTTTTTTTTTTTAAAAAAAGCTGATGTTAGAAAGCACTGAAAAGGGGTTCTGTTGTTTTTTGAGAGCAAAATGACTAGACGTTTATTGTATATTTTAATAGATGTCTATTTGAAGGATCTCCCCTAATTTTAGATAGTATTGGGCTATACATAGCGCAAAAATGTTAAAAGTGTTAGTCATAAATTCTGCTGTCTTTTTAAAACAGTATCCAATGGTTTTGTTCAGCATTCATCCTCCTGGATCCCAGTATAAGTATACAGAATAAAAAGTTTAACTTCATCTCATGAATGCCCTTGTTTGTTTCATACTTTCACTGTGCACCTGTCAAGCGGATTGCAGAGTCAGTTGCCCTAGGTTGAAGTGAGACATTTCATCCCAGGATTGAATAAAGCCAATACTGTTTGCATGAGAAGATAGGGTGTAAGTTGCTCCGCCCCAATCATTATTAAGTTGCTCTGGCCTTAGTTATAATCATGGCTGTCAGAGTCACAGTCCTTCCTAAAATGGAGGGTTGTGTGTTATAGCAACGAGACTGCTGCAGGAGACCAGGAGAGGGGCAGCCTTTTCAGAAGGTTTCCTGAAAGACCTTTAGTGGACGGTAGTCAGGCAGTACTGGTATTGTCACAGGCATCAAGACAGTATGTAAATGAATAGGGTATCAGAATCTATTGATTAGGACAAGACCCAGGATAAGTCAGTCAAGACATCAGAGCACTGGGAGATAGGTCTTCAAAGGGGAAAAAAATCAAAATAGTTGTATAAGTATCAATTACTTGTCTGTCTTTAAGTGGCTTACAAGTAGTACATACATTGCAGAGCAAAAAAGGAAGTGACTGTGGCCAGGTACAGCAGTTTTCATTTCTGTTTTCCAAAAACGACTAGAACAATATCTAGTTTTCTGTGTATGAGGGGAAAAATGACAGAAGTTATTTATAAAAGCTGTTGGAGAAAAACTGAAGTACCAATAACCCTGAAAATTAAAATAATATACTCATCAAATGATACACCTGATACCAGTCATTGTAACTAATTTAGGTACTTACTTTACAGTGTATGCTCATGAAAACTGTTTTTAGTACAAAGATCTAACTTTCTCATAAAAGCTTAGGCAATTTGTGTCTTTTATTGATACAAGAAGTATTTTTAATTTTTTTACTATAGATGTCAATTGAATTTGTAGTTTTATGGTTAAGCCAATTATTTAGCGTTGATAACTTTGCACTTTTTTTTTAACAGTGACATTCGAAGTAACTTAGAATAATGGAAGGAAAACCTTATTCAAGTATTCCAACGAATTAAATAATGCATATATCAGTGAATACAACAAAAGATTTTTGCCTTTGTGGAGTTTGCTTTTTATTGTGGACTTTTTATTCTCTTTTTGTTCTATTGGTTGTTTGCACCAAATAACATACTATCTTAATGATTGTAGCTTTATATTAAGTCCTGTAGAAAATACTCTCCCATCTTATACTTCAAAAGTGTTTTGACTATTCCTGTCTCTTTACCATCTCATATAATGTTTAGAACCAATTTATATTTACTTTTAATTGCATCTTCTACCTTTATGTTAATGATGATTTTTTGTAGATTGATCTTATAGCCAGAAACTTGCTAACTTATTAATTCAAATAATTTGTTTCTTGATTTTTGGTTTTCTATGTAGATACTCATATTATCTGCATATAAGGACCGTGTAGTTTTCTCTTTTCCAATACTTTTATAGTTTTAGTTTTTTCTTGTTTTATTGTTCTGACTATAATCTTAAATATTATATTGACTGAAAGTGGTGATAATAGTTATCCTTATATTGATCTGGTTCTTAAAGGGTTTAAATGCTTCTGTGTATGTGGTTTCCTGTAGGGTCTTAGCAGATTCACTTTATCAAATTAGAGAAAGTTCCTTGTGGTGCTAGCTTACTAAAGGTTTATGTCATGAGTGGTTGCTGGATTTTGATGAGTGGTTTTCTTACATCTGTTGAAATGATTATGTAGGTTTTCTTTTTTCATTTTCTAAATTAATGTAGTTATATTAATATATTTATTCAATATTGAGCTATTCCTTTCCTGGCTATGTTAGTCAAAGTTCTCTAGAAAAAATACAAGCAATAGGATTTTATAAAGGAGATACACACATACATATAAGATACATGCACATGCATGCACACATACACACACATATCAAAACAAGGAGGAACTAATCATGACAATTATAGTCCTTGACTACAGGTGCATGCCGCCATGCCTGGCTAATTTCTTTTGTATTTTAGTAGAAACAGGGTTTCACTGTGTTGCCCAGGCTGGTCTCAAACTCCTGAGCTCATGCAATCCGCCAGCCTTGGCCTCCCAAAGTAGTGCTAGGATTACGGGTATGAGCCACTGTGCCTGGCCTATTTCTTTTTCTTACCTAATTGCTTTGCCTGGAATTTACAGTATTGTGTTGAATAGAAGTGACAAAATTGGACATTGTGTTAATGCTTATCTTAGGGGAAAAGTTTTTAGTGTTTCACCATTAAGTTGGATAGTAGCTGTGAGTTTTTCATATATGGTCTTTATCAGATTGATAACTTTTCTCCATTAACTTTTTAAATGCTATTATATTTTTCATTTCTATTTCTGTTTAGTACTTTTTCAAAAATGACTAAGCATTTGGTAAGATTTTTGTTGTCCTACATATACTTCTCATTTCTCTTTTAAAAAAACATAAATTACTATAGTTAATAGATACTTATTTATTCAGGTATGTATAGGCTGTAGGTCTGATTCTGCAGTTTGTTGGTCCTGCTCACTCTCATTCTTGATGACTTGATTCCTGGTACATGTAGTGAATTTTGATTTTGAATTTATGGTCCTTGATATGTCATCCATGGGAATTCTTTCAGTTATTTGTTCGAAATATGTTCTTCAACAAATGAATTGCATTTGTTTCTACAAGGTACCTGTGGGCACTATCAATATAAATCACTTTAAATTAATGCTTGGCCTTTTTTTAAGGCTATATGGGTAGCAGATACTCTAGCACCATGGAAGTGAATTTATAGTTAACAATTCTTAGGGAAGATTTTTTTCCTCTCCTACTCAAAGCTTCGGGTGAGGTAGGCAAAGTGCATTCTCTGGAATGGGTATTTTCCTAGTTCACACATTGAGGGTGTCACCATCATTTTATGTTAGGTTTCTCAATGTTATATTGGATTCTCAAACTGATTTCCTACCTTTCTTGTCCCCACATTCTTTTCTATACCTTGAATTCTCTACTAGTTCGGTATAGACTGTAGGTTACTGTGATTAGGTAGATGCCTTCAGAATAAATTTTGAAGGTTCAGTACTCTATTATAGAACTCTTTTTTTCATCTTGTCTGACTTTGGTTTTGTCTTCCCTACTGCTGGTTAAAGCATACTTTAAATATATTATTGTGCATTTTCAAGTGTTCTTTACCAAGAAGGTATTCTTTGCACATCCAGTCTACTTTTAAGTTTTAAGAAGAGGAATTCTAAGGCCAGCCTTTTTAATCCATTCTTGAAAATCTGCTTCTATATAATTCCAAGTCATATTCAATGGTATTTACATAAATTTTTCTTACCAACTTTCAAAGCTGATTACATCATACACTTTTATACCTTTCTATGTGGCTCTTACATTGGTAATTGGGATGTGGTTACATGATTTGCTGGTTGCCAGTATTGTGAAGTAGTTGTTAGTATTTTGCATTTTGAAACAATAAATTCCCTTTAAAAAATACTGTACAAGGCGGGCGTGGTGACTCATGCCTGTAATCCCAGGACTTTGGGAGGCCAAGGTGGGTGGATCACCTGAGGTCAGGAGTTCGAGACCAGCCTGGCTAACATGGTGAAACCCTGTATCTACTAAAAATAAAAAATTAGCCAGGTGTGGTGGCACGCGCCTGTAGTCCCAGCTACTCTAGAGGTCGTGGTAGGAGAATTGCTTGAACCCGGGAGGCGGAGGTTGCAGTGAGCCGAGATTGTGCCACTGCACTACAGCCTGGGCAACAGGGTGAGACTCTGTCTCAAAAAAAAT
This sequence comes from Homo sapiens, assembly GCF_000001405.40. NCBI lineage: Eukaryota > Metazoa > Chordata > Mammalia > Primates > Hominidae > Homo > Homo sapiens. Next base: position 45,106,545 of record NC_000006.12, on the reverse strand, counting down.
AAAAAAAATAAAAACTGTACGAATCCAGAAATAGCATAGATAACACTGCACTTTTCTTTTGAAGTTGCAACTTGTGTGGGAAAGACTTTCTTTTATTTTCTTTTGTCTTTTTTTAAAACAGGGTCTGACTCCATTGCCCATGATGGAGTATGGTGGCATGATCTTGGCTCACTGCAACTTCTGCCTCCTGGGCTCAAGCCATCCCCCCACCTCAGCCTCCCAAGTAGCTGGGACTATAGGCACATGCCACTGCTTCCGGCTAATTTTTGTATTTATTGTAGAGGCGGAGTTTCACCATGTTATGCAGGCTGGTCATGAACTCTTGGGCTCAAGTGATCCTCCCGCTCCGGCCTCCCAAAGTGCTGAGATTAAAGGCGTGAGCCACCACACCTGGCCAAGAAAATTGCACACCCATTCAGACATTTGGGCAAACAATTTATGTTCTCCTTACTAAACTGATTCATGTAATAAATGTTTCACTTTTTGCCTTTCTTAGTTTTATAGTCCTTAATATTGGTGTGTTTAAAATTATTTTGCAGGTATTCTTTAGGTGATGCTAGAAGGCCTCTTCATGAAACAGCAGTTTTGGTAGAAGATGTGGTACACACTCAGTTAATTAATCTGGTAAGAGCATATATAATTTGATTTGGTTTCTCTTCTCTGCATTCTTTTATTAGGATGGTAACCCAACACTTTAAAAACATTTTATTTACAGCTGGAATTCTTTTTTGTTAGCATTATTGAAGTATACTTTATATATAACAAAATTTACTAGTTTAATGCATAATTTGCTGAGCCTCAACAATGGAATATTATAATATTAACTTATAACACAATCATGATATCGAAAATTTGCATAATCTAAAACAAACCCTTGTTCCCCTGGGCAGTCAGCAGCCATCATCATCACAGCAGAAAGATTATGACTCACTGAAGGCTGAGATGGTTGTTAGCATTTTGTAACAATAAAGTATTTTTAAATTAAGGTATGTACATTATTTTTTAGACATGCCATTTGACAATCAATAGACTATAGTATAGTGTAAACATAGCTTTTATATGCACTGAGTAACCTCATAATTTGACTGTACACCTACTCTGTACCCACAAAAATTAAAAGTTAAAAAATTTAAAAAAAATTTGTCTGACTCACTTTATTGCAGTGGTCTGTAACTGAACTTACGGTATCACTGAGGTATGCCTGTACCATGTTTAAAGAGGAATTCACTCATGTAGCCTTCTAATCCTTGTAAGATTTTATTTTTACATTTAGCTCATTCATATAGTTGTTGTTTATTCCTGTTATTTTGTGAGATATGGATCTAATTTTATCATTTTTCAAATGGGAACTCAGTTTTACCATCATCATGTATTTTAAAATTTATCTTTTCCTTAGTGATTTGAAATGCCTTCTTTATAATATACTTAATTTATATATATAGGTATCTGTTTCTCGTTGTATATGCTATACTAAGGGTTTAGTATATGTATATCCTAGTATGGCATTTATTACAGGTTTTATAGTATATTTTAATGATTATTAGGGCTAAACTTCCTTGTAGTTTTTCTTGTTTTTTCAGTATGTTCCCAGCTATTCATGTATATTTATTGTTCCTCATGAATATTAGTAGCAACTTCTCTAGCTAATAAAAATTTTCATTGGTATGTTTATTGAGATTACATGATTTTATAAGTTAAGGAGAGCTGCATCTTTAAAATCTTGAATCATTCTATGAATGGGGATATCTACATTTGTTTGAGACTACTTTTGTGTTTTTCAGTTGTGTTTTAATATTTTTCTTCTTTTAGCTTCACACATTTCTTGTTAATTTGTTTTTTTAACTATTTCATCTTCTTTGTTGCTATTGTTAATGGATTTCTTCTATAATTATGTAACAGCTGAAAACATTCAAAAGTTTAATGAAATACATAAATCTACAGATTCAAGATGAGCCAACTCCGTTTAGAACAAATTAAAAGAAATCCATGTTCAAACTGCTGAACAATAATAACATAATACAAATCTTAAAGCCTGACAGGTTTATTATCATAGGGGAAGGATGATTTGAAAGATAGTGGAATTCTTATCAGAAAACAGGCAGGCTAGAATGAAATGGCACAACAGTTTTAAAGTACTGAATGTAGAATATTAGGTTGACTGTTCTTTTTCTCTATCTTTCTATAGCCTTCTCCCCTTCTTTACATGTCCTCCTGTCTTATAAGGACACCAGATATTTACTCTTTAGTGGTATTGTTATTCATGTTAAATCTATGTATGTTACTATTTTTATATGACAACATTATAACTTTTCCTTTAAAGTCAAATGCTTTTAAGGAATGTAGATAAAAAAGGAAGCATATGGCCTATTTTGTATTTACCCACATATCTACCATTTCCCATGCTCATTATTCCTTCTCACAGATTTTAGTTGCCATTTCAGTCTTTTCCTTCATCCTGAAGAAGCCTTGTAACTTTTTTTGTAGTACAGCTGTGCTAATGATGAAGTCTCTTACATTTCTTTCATCTGAACATATCTTTATCTTTATTCTTTAAGTATGTTCTTCCCTACATGGAATTCTATGTTGATAATCTTTTCCTTTCGGCTCTTTGAATATGTCATTCTAATATTTTCTGACCTACATTAGTTTCTGTTACAAGTTAACTGTTATTCATTTGTTCCCCTGTATGTAACATGTAGTTTTTTTCTGGCTGCTCTCAAGATTTTTTCCTTATCTTTGGCTTTGGGTAGTTTGCTATCTCTAGGAGTGATTTTTGAAATCGTTATTTTCTTGTTGAACACTAGGTATCAATTCGTGGAAGTTTTCAGCCATAAGTTTTACCATTTGACATTGTTTCACAAGACTTTCAGGGCCTTTAGTGTTTCTCCAAACTTTTTCTGCCCCTTTTTCTTCTGTTGTTTTGTTTCATTTGACTTTTGTAATTCCTATGGCTTTACCTTTAAGTTTACTATTTTTTCTGCCATGTCTAATATGCTATTTAGTCAGTGCTAGTGTTTTTTTCAGTGTAGCCCATAGTATTTTCTATTGCAGTATCTGTTTGAAAATGTATCTTAGTGGGTTATAAACCCCTTTTGAATTATGGATACATACTTTTATATTCTATTTTAAATACAGAAGGTGGAACATTATTTGATGACTGCTACACTAGTATAAACAAGAAATAGTATGTGCCTTTACTTATAATGAGAAATCCTCTTATTACAGTAGATGCTTACCTCTCCTTACCCATTTAATATTTGAATGATAGTTTTGATGCCTATTTGTGAGATTCATCCTGTCCAGATTCCACTAAATATTACATTGAATGATATACCTAACTAGAGGAAAACCTTGTTTTGTTTACCTCTACAATATCCAGGCATATGTCAGAGTGAGTTCTTTAGAGGAAAGGAAGAATTATAGAGAACAGTTATTTTCAAAAAGTCAGTCCTTTTTTACCATGGAATATCATGTAGTCATGACAAATTATATGTGTGTGTTTTGTACTCTTCATTTAAATCTCTTTGTAGTTCTTTATCCATTTGCCTATTAAGATCAGTTTTTTCCTGTAATTCTTTGAACATCTTTTTTTTTTTTTCTTTTTTTTGAGACGGAGTCTCACTCTGTCGTCCAGGTTGGAGTGCAGAGGCATGATCTCGGCTCACTACAATCTCCAACTCCTGGGTTCAAGCGATTTCCTGTCTCAGTCTCTTGAGTAGCTGAGATTACAGGTGTGCCACCACGCCCAGCTAATTTTTTGTATTTTTAGGAGAGACAAGGTTTCACCATATTGGCCAGGCTGGCCTCGAACACCTGACCTGAGGGATCTGCCCGACTCAGCCTCCCAAAGTGCTGCGATTACAAGCATAAGCCACCACACCCGGTCAACATCTTTATAATAGCTTTGTTGAAGTATTTATAGTCTAAATTCAGTAACTGTACCACATTGGAAGGCATTTATATTGACTCTGCTTTTTACTTACTAGGTGTCATTCTTTTGGGGTTTTTTTTGCATGTCTAATAATTTTTTTAAAAGTGGATATTTTATATAATAAATTATTGTGACTCTTCTGAAGACTTTTTGTTGGTTTTGTTTTAGCTGGCAGGTAACTTGGCTGGACATAAAATGTTTTCTCCCCCATATTGTAGACAGGAGGTCACCTCTCTCGTTAATTCTTATTGCTTTCTGCTGCTGTTTTTTGGCTTTTCCCCTTTTGTGTCTCTCTTAAACTTGTACGTTTTCCTCTTTTGTGTCTCTCTTAAACTTGTATGTTTGAATGCTTGAGAAGAAAGGGAAAAATAGTAGGCAAATTGTTTTTTAAGTGTTAATATTCCCTTACTGTAGAATACTGTGTAACCAGTATACATTATATTTGTTAGTTTTTATAATATTAAATTTTTTGTTGAAATTACATAAAACAGAATCTGTTTTGTTTTCTTTTTTCAGTTCTTTATGTTTTGTCAAATGTGTAGTCTTATAACCATAACTAAAATTGATTCAGAACAGTTCCCTCATTCCCCAAAAAATTATCTTGTTCTACTCATTGTCAAATTTTTCTACCCCAACCCTCTGCCACTATGAGGTCCCCATTGTTTGTCAAAGAAGGAAAAGACTTCTCTTTTAATTCTTTTTGTCTATACTTGGTAAGCAGTTCCTGGATTCATACTCCCTTTGAGTTCAATACAGGGGATATGAGTAGAAAATAAAAACAATGAAACTCACTGCCAGGTTTTTTTTTGTTTTTTATTATCATTTTTAATAGACACATAATAATTGTACATATTTATGGGGCACAGTGTGTTATTTTGACACATGTATACAATGTATAATGATCATATCAGGGTATTTAGCATATTCGTTACCTTAAACATTTATGATTTCTTTGTGTTGGGAATATTCAAAATCCACTCCTAGCTATTTGGAAATATACAATAAATTGTTACTATTATAGTCACTACATAATGCTATGGAACCCGAGAAATTATTTCTCCTATCTAGCTGTTTATCTCTGTACAACTCTTTGGCTATACCTTTCTCTCCACTTCCCTTTCCTCACCTCTAGTAACTACTATTCTATTCTCTACTATTATGAGATCAACTTTTTGTTGTTGTTGTTTTGGAGACGGAGTTTCGCTCTTGTTGCCCAGGCTGGAGTGCAATGGCACGATCTCGGCTCACCGCAACCTCCGCCTCCCGGGTTCAAGCGATTCTGCTGCCTCAGCCTCCCAAGTAGCTGGGATTACAGGCATGCGCCACCATGACCAGCTAATTTTGTATTTTTAGTAAAGATGGGATTTCTCCATGTTGGTCAGGCTGGTCTCAAACTCCCGACCTCAGGTGATTTGTCTGCCTTGGCCTCCCAAAGTGCTGGGATTACAGGCGTGAGCCTCCGCGCCTGGCCAACTTTTTTACCTTTCATGTATCAGTGAGAACATGTGATATTTATCTTTCTGTGCATGGCTTATTTCTCTTAACATAATGTCATTTAAGCTCATTTATGTTGCCACAAATGACAGAATTCCCTTCTTTTTTATGGTGAAATAGTATTTCATTGTGAATATATACCACATTCTTGATATCCATTCGTCTGTTGATGGACACTTCAGTTATTTCATGTCTTGGCTATTGTGAGTATTGCTGCAATAAACATGTGAGCACAGATATATCTTTGGCATACTGTTTTCCTTTGTATGTGGACCCAGTAGTGGGATTGCTGGATCATATGGTAATTCTATTTTTAGCTTTTTATTGTTTTCTATAATGGTTATACTAATTTACATTTCAATCAAAAGTGTGTAAGACATTCCCTTTCTCCTCCTCATTGCTAGCATTTGGTATTATTAATTATAACCTTGTTTTTGATAATAACCATTCTAATAATTAGGGTGAGGTGATTATTTCATTGTTGTTTTCATTTGCATTTCCCTGATGATTAGTGACATTTAGAGTTTTTTCATGTACTGTGGGCTATTTGTGTGTCTTTTTTTTTTTTTTTTTTTTTTTAAGTACAGGGTCTTGCTATGATGCCCAGACTGGTCTCAAACTCCTGGGTGCAAGCCATTTCCCCCCTCAGCCTCATGAGTAGCTGGGATTACAGGTGTGTGTCACTGCACCCAACTGTGTCTTTTGAAAGATGTTGATTCAGCTCTTTTGCCTATTTTTTTAATTGGATTTTTCATTTTATTGCTTTTAAGTTCCTTGGATATTAATCCCTTGTCCGAAGAAATTCAAGCATTTTCTCCCATCTTGCAGGTTGTCTCTTAACTCTTGATTTTGTGTAGAAGATTTTTAGTTTAATATAATTCCATTTGTCTATTTTTGGTTTTGTTGCCTGTACTTTTGAGTTCCATTTCATGAAATATTTTCCCAGAACAATGTCCGAAGCGTTTTCCCCTGTGCTTTCTTCTAGTAGCTTAAAGTTTTGGTTCTTAGATTTTAAGTCTTTAATTCATTTTGAGTTGATTTTTTGAGTATGGTGAGAGATAGGGGTCTAGTTTATTTTTCTGCATATAGACATCCAGGTTTTCCAGCACCGTTTATTGAAAAGACTCACCATTCTCGGGAATATTCTTGTCTGTATTTCTTTGTTCTGATATGTGGGAATCCCTATCTGGCTAAGCCTTTAGCCACACAATCTAAAATGATATGTAAATGGCCCTGAGGTGTTCTTTGCACATCGAAGTTAAATTTTTTTAATTATCCTGAAAACAAAAGTGTAAATGAGGTCATCATTTCATTTTTAGATTGCCATTTACTGTTTTGAATGGTTTTCTGCTTTAATAAATTATTAGGTATTTTTTACTTTTTCATGTTTTATTCATTTATTTAGTACACTTATTTATTGACACTGGTATAGCTCTGGTTATAGCGATACAAAGATGAATAAGAGTTTACAGTTTTGTCAGGTACATTAACACATAGAAGCTAATTTTAAAACATTATGGTAAGTGATAATACTGATATCCAGAGTGAGATGAGGGTTTTAAGAAGAGATAATTATTCTGGGCTGGAATTCTTCATGTATTTCTATATTCATGTCTCTAATAAATGATAAATCTTTCATAGGATTCAACATGTATTTATTGAGTTGAATTGAGGAAAGTAAGCATTGGAATAGAGGTTATAAACTTGGCCCAAAATGTGACACAGAAACGTGTTTTATTCCATTTACAGTATGATTTTTTTTTTTTTTTAAGAAAAACACATTTATTCCAAGATTCATTGATTCGGATTTTTAAGTGTTCTTTCTTCCATAGAGCCCCAGAGTGTTGATAGTGTGCTAGGGTTTCCTATGTTTTCTGGCATGAGCTCCCATCCTCTGAGGGTCATGAGAAAGATAGTGGATTAATCCTGGAGTTGTCATGAAAGGAAAGGGTGGTCCCATTGAGGTGAATATGTGTGGCCTAAATCCTGGGGTTGGGGGTGTGGAAGACTAGGGGCTGGTGGCTGGGCAATGTTCACCACAGCTGGAGGACCATGTTGGGGCAGGTTGAAGTAGCTGGCACATGCATCTTCTGCTGCTGTAGGAGGAGGAAGAGCTCATGGCAGTGCTGGAATAGGCTGTAGCTGGATCCCAGAGTCTGTGATCTGTTCTTCTCTTTTTCTTTTCCTCTGGATGCTTGGGATCTTCCCCATTTTATGTTGAGTCTACAGCCATTGACAATCAACTTATCAAAGGACTTCTCAGCAGCCACTTCTGCAGCCTGCCCTGTGGAAACCTGGATGAAAGCACACTGCTCTCTCTGAACAACAGTAATCAATCTGCATCTCTCCAAACTGGTAGTGATGATGTCTTAGATCTGTCTCAGAAAGGGTATTATCCAGACTACCAACATATGGGGAGGATAACCTTGTCCTCTGATGGGTCCAGATGGGGCATGATTGAAGCCCACTTTAGATGCTTATCTGTTTCTGGATCATTGATTCCATAATATTCTGATTGGCAAGGGGATCATCTGGATCTATAGGCTTCTCATGTCTGCATGGATGTTCCTCTCCTCTCTTATACTCTCCTTTCACCCAGGAGGAGCAAATGTGGGGCTTACTCCTTTGGTAGGAGGGTGTGGTCCAAGCTGGACTGAGTAGCATGTCTCTGGTCAGTGTGGCTTTTTCCCCAGCAGGCAAACTGGCCACGTTCCATCAGAGCTAGAAATCCCTGTCTCTCATATTCTACATGCAGTACTCTTTTTTTGACATCAGACTTTGGCAGGTCACCTTCAGAAGACAGTTCTGCATTATTAACCTGGATGGGCAGACCATGCTTTAGGTCTTAAGATTTAGGCCTAACAGACATGCTTCAATTTACTGCAGGGTTGGCACACTTCTGTCTTCTTGAAATGCATGTGGACCCCAGGGCACAAGCAAAACACTGAATGGCCTGGCACAAATTTTGCGTTCCTTCCTGCTTTTTTCTTTGGCTATTTAATATATATAGATTTCTGCAAGACATTCCTGGCACAGAACAGGAAAGTCCACCCCCTCCCAGTTCTGGGTGTTGTAAGCTTGGGAACCCAGAGAGCTCGCCATCTTTAGAGCATCTGGAGGCAGTGGTAGCTGTTGAGGTGGGAGAGAGGACCGCCACAATCCTATCAGACCCAGCCCCAAATTTCATGATTTTTCTGCAAGAATACTGAAATGGATGACCTTGCAGTCCAGTTTTTTCATAAGTGTCTTTGTCCAGTATGAAATTAATTTCCCTGTTAATGATAGGTCTAAGAAGGGAGTGAGTTTGGAGAGAAGAAGATACAAGGGCAGACTTTCAGTTTATAAAAACCTGTATGTCTTTTTGCACAGTATATATATTTTTATCATTAGAGATAGAAGAAACATGAGTGTTGTTACTGTTTTGTAGAAGGACAGCAGTATTATCTTCATCAATATTTGTATTTGCATAGCAGGAACCTTTGGGGACCCATTGTAGCTACAGTCACCTGTAATTGTAACAGTGGATCTCTTTGAGATGTCAGTGGAATGACTTTGTGTGGCCACAGTTGAATTTCTCACAAATCAGCAAGTGGCTGGAAGCCTCTCACAGCCTGCATAGGGCTGCCTTGTGCTGGCCCATCTTAAGCTAGGTGGGCTTCCCCCTTTCCTTATCACACCTCTTTCCTCTGCCTTTGCTTCTGTGGCAGCTCAAGAAATTGTGAGCCGTCATCAATTCTCCTTCAGGGCACGGACTTCTCTCTCTAGAGTTTCTGGGAAGCCAGAAAACTCACAGCTGGGCTTGACACTTGTGTCCTGTAGCAAACTTCCTGACTAAAGCAGTGGCTTTCAAATTAGCATGGTCCATGAAACACCAGTATTCAAAAGAATGTTCAGGGACACCTCATATTTGAGGAAGAGAAGAAGATGGGGCTCTGAGATCCCTACCCCAAATTCAACCAGAACAGTTCCTTTTTGATTATTTGTGTATTGTAGATTTCTGTCAGTCAAAAATTTTTGAAGTCCATCTTTGATCAGTGTTATCTTTTCATCATTTCACTATGTATAGGATAACAAGTTCCACAAGACTGATGCCTGATATATATTATACTACACTCTCTTTGTCCTACAGCATTTTTTCAGTATCAGTTATGTCAGTCCTTTCAGCTCCTCAAAATTTTATTTTGGGACTATGGACTATTTCTAGCTATTATCTCCTGATAGATATATATCAAGATTGAATATAGCACCTCGAAGTAGGTGAAGCTGTGTTTTTGACAAGACTTATTATGATATACTTTGATTCTTTAAAAAAAAACCTCCCTTAGTCAATACAGATTTTTATTGAATATCTACTGTTGATATTTTGTTGAATATCAACTACCAAGGATGATGGACATTTTTTAGATTATTTTGGCAGTAGGTACATATTGTTTCATTTGGGGAATACTACCATAAGACTGGCAATAAACTACATTTAGAAGTTTTTACTTAAATCATTTTTTTTTGTCTCGTCTTTCTTTGACCTGTTGTTCCCATGTGGAATCTATATCCTCTCATCTAATGCATAATTCTTATCCAGTGCTTCACTTAGGCCTGTGCTTCATTTTAAGTAATTTCACCTTCTTCCACTCTTTTCCACTTGTTAGGTTGTGGATAGCTTAGGCCTGAGTTGACTGTTTTTCCCTGAAGTTTATGTACATGTAGATTATATACTATGTTAAATAATGAAAATACATCATCTAAAATCTATATAAAGCTTTCGATTTTACTATTTCAAGAACAGATTAGAACAATAAAGTCATAGAATTTCAAAGTTGAATTACACTTGAGAAATTATTTAAACCAACTCTTACATAAGTTTGAACCAAATGAAATTGACATATTTACAGGCTATAAATGATTGAATATTGGTGATTTTATATGATTCAATGCAATACAAATTAGAAATTGTCACTAGAGAAAGGTTTCAAACTCTTAGTTTCTTTATTTTGTTATGTTGCAATGCTAATATTTACTTTTTACTGTAGTTATAAAGCATCATAAAGATTATATATATATGAAGGAGTTAATGAAATTCCTGGAACATAGCGTCCCTTCTCTAGGTTACTAGTAACAGTAGTAATAGTTGCTATTGTCGTTAATAATGGGGCTATTTAATGGCATGATTGAGATGAGAAATGGATTAGAAAATTTCCAAGAATTTCACATTTACCAGAGAGATGCAAACTTTTTCATATCCTAAGCTTCCTTACTCCTCACTTTCCAGGTTGAGTTAAATCACATTTGAAGTAAGTAGAGATTTGTGCCAACTGCAAATTATGTTTGAGTTGTTGTTATGATGTTGTCAATATCTCTTTCAAGTTCAAAAAGTAATGATTTCAGATGGCTATATAGCTGCTTTCATTTCTCTGTTCATTCAAAGTTAAATATCAAAAGATTCACTACATTTTATGCATAGAATGTAATTACCATTCCATTTAAAAATCATATTAGATTTTCACTGTATGAATCTACCAGTCAGTAGTAAGCTGTGTAGTTGGTTACACTAGTTTTCACATCAGAACCAATTTATCATGTTTAGCTAATTCTCCTTAATTATGAAAAGTAATAAAGAACAAATTTATAAGTGTGAAGAGTTATGGCTTAATCTCCGATCTGGATTAAAATGCACTGAATTCACCCCTCCCTCCTGTAATGCTTTTTAATTTCCCTGGTAGAAGCAGTTCATGCAAAGCTCTGTTCTGTCCTCATCACCAGTTCTGTGAGGCTGTCACTTATGCCACCTCAGTAATGTTTTATGGGTGTGTTTTAAAATAGTAATAAAGTTTCCTATGTAGAATTTCAATTATAAGGGTTATCAAAATAGGACAAACTAATATAATTTGTGATTGCATAAAATAAAGGAAGCAGAGGTACCATGGGGACCTAATGAATCATAGGATGGAAACAGTCTTCTTGCTAACTAAACGTTCATACTTTGTACTAAGCCAGAGCATGTATATGTAGTTCAGCAAACCAGAACACACTCTGTGTTTACATGAATGGAATATGAGGTAGTCCACAAATACCATCTGGGAAAAAATTCTCGGCCTTTCTGTCTGCTACTGTGGAGTAAATTAAGCATATGTTTAGAATAAACAGACTAAAAACACACCTGCTTTGGGGAAAACACACACGTATGGTCACATATGCGTACAGAGTTGTTCAAAATAGAATATTTTGTGTTGGTAAAATCTGATTACTTTTCTTCATTTTTACTTCTTAAGTAAAAATGAAGTATTATGGAATAAGTATTATGGAAAATTTCCTGATTATTTCTGTATAGCACCACTTGTTTGTAATTGATCACTCCTAATATCTTCTACTTAAATTAGTCTTATTTTCTCTCATATATTACTACCTCATGCATCAATAAATACAATTGTCTTTTTAAAAAAATAATAAGTAACTATTGACTGATACTTAGTTTTTAAAATGGGCATATTCTGTGTAGAATGCCTCTTATGCTACATTCTCCCCACCAATTGCCATGGATAGTTTGCTAAAGGCATGACACAGAGGATCAACTGGGAAGGAATTCCCAGTCCTTTCTCCCACTCTTAACATATTTTTTTCCTGCTGTAGTATATCCTACTAACCAATTCATTTTGAAAAGCAGTCTTTACTTCAGTGTCACAGAATTTCAGAGTATAAATTGTTTTTCACTTCCAGTAAATTACAAGTATTGTCTCATGTTACTTGGTTTTCTTAGCATAGATATAAAATAGCATCTTCTCACCTTTCAATTTGTGTTTCTTTTCTTGCATCAGGCTTTTCTCCCTAAAGGTTCTTCCTTTTTTTCTCTGCTGGTCTGCTAGACTCCTATCCCCTGACTTAAGCTAAGTTCTAGCTACTTGTATCCTGTACCATGCTTGGATTTTTAATCTGTGCTGAACGTTTTAGTTCGGGCTAAAATTTCTCATAAATGCTTAGGTTCCAAGTGTTTTAGATTTACCAGAGAGATGCAAACTTTTTATAAAACTCCCACTCTCCAGATTGAATTGCATGTCTTAATAGAGATAGGCAGAGATTTGCGCCATCTTGAAATTGTGTGACTGAGTCTATATTATGCTTTTGATAATACCCAATTTTAAATGAAGTTCAAAAATTGTCATGATTTCTGATGGCTATGTGGCTGCTTTCACTACTCTATTAAATATGTGTAGAATATAATTTGTTTTATGCATAGAATATAATTATCTAACCTTCCATTTGAAAATCATATTAGGTTTTTTTCTATGTGAATCTACTCAACAACTAGTAAGCCATTCAGTCTGTTGAACTATGCTTTCATATGTGAATCTATTCTCTGGATTATTTTTGAGATTATTTATAATCTTGAATTATAAAAAGTAATGAAGAATAAACATATCTGTGAAGAGTAACTGTTCAGTCTCCCATCTTGATTAGCATGCATCAGGTTCTCTTTCTCCCTCTTTCTTTGTTCTTACTTTTTGTGCTTTTTAATTTGGCAGATGTTTTCCAAGTATTCTATTCTCATTTATCAGTTTTTCTTTTCTCCTCTGTATCTGAACTAAGAGATTGTTTAAAACTTCCTCTTTCCAGTTCCTTTCCCAAGATCTTTGAATGTCTTTTCTTTATCCATAACTCTGCATCTTCTTTCCCCATTGCTGCTATTACTCTTGATTAGTGTTAAGTTTCTGCAGAAAAGAAGAAAATAACAGTTAGTAAACATCTACTATGTGTGAGGCCGTCTTCTAAAGAGTTTGCTTATATTATTTTATTGTATATATAGGCCATTTTCCAGGTTTTAAATAAAAACATTTCTGTATAGCTTTTTAACTTACAAAATTTTAACCTAGCTTGAATTTATCCTATTTTTTATAAAAATATAATTAGCAACTTTTATTTATTTATCAGATCTCAGTATTATATATTTTTCTACATTTGAAGAACATACAATTATTTTGTAAAATATGTATTTTTATCCCTTTAGATTCTGATATGAACTCTTCACATCCATTGCGATGTTTTATTGGGGTGTTATTTTACTACATTGTGTTAGTTGTTTTATTAGGGGTGTTATTTTACTACATTGTGTTAGATGTTTTATTAGGGGTGTTATTTTACTACATTGTGTTAGGGAACAGATTATTTATGCTGATAATTTCAATTCTAGTCGTTCTCACATCTCTGGGTGAATTTATAAATCACATTGTTAGTTTCCCAAGCATATATTAACTGTCCTTAGAGACTTCTCTAGTAAGTTGTTATGAAACTCTAAGTATATATATAATCTGAAATTCAAAAGGTATTTATATTTGAAGCACTAGAATAAAATTGACTTAATTTTTTTTTTTTTTTTTTTTTGAGACGAAGTCTCACCGTTGTTCCCCAGGCTGGAGTGCGATGGCACAATCTCAGCTCACTGGAACCTCCAACTCACAGGTTCAAGTAATTCTCCTGCCTCGGTCCCCCAAGTAGCTGGGATTACAGGTGCCTGCCACCACGCCTGGCTAGTTTTTGTATTTTTAGTAGAGGCAGGGTTTCACCATGTTGGCCAGGCTGGTCTAGAACTCCTGACCTCAGGTGATCCACCCGCCTCAGCCTCCCAAATGCTGGGATTACAGGTGTGAGCCACCGCACCCGGCTGACTTCAAATTTTTTAATTAAATGGAAAGAGAAAGTCTATTAAATAAATGTGTCAACTAGAAAAGGCTTAAGAAAACATCTTCAGGATAGAACTTTGAAAATGATGTTTATCAGTAAAATTTTCACTGACTTTGCACTTCTAATTCAACTAATAATATGGCATTAAGTAATAAACATCAGCATAAATACTGTAAAAATCATGCTCAGTACCCAGAATGTATTTAATCTAAGAGTTTCTTTATGTGTTTTTTGGGTTTTTTTTGCAGTAGAGTAGGAGGAAAATGGAATGGAAAGGACCAAGGCAATTAATAAGGCAGATGCTGATAAGAAACAGCAAGAAGTTGTGACGGTGTAGAGCCAAGATAAAATAATTGCTAAAAACACAAATACACACAATTATAGGTTATCTAGTTGGTTTACAAGTAAAATATATAATGTAAAGTATGTTCCAGAAAATATATATTAAAATATCAAGTTTCCTAACTTTTTGGTTTCAGAGAACATCATTCTGTTGTATTTAGCCCAGTATGCGTATTGATATTTGTAACCATATAAAATATAAAATTTATATTTTATTTATGTAAAATGACCAAAAATTTTATATGACCAAAAACTTTTTCTCCCCAAAACTGTAATGACCAAAGACTTTTAAATGACCAAAACATTTTTCTCCCCAAAACTGTATATAAAGATTCCATAATTTAGCAAATATCCTTAAGGAATTAAGGGAAAAATATTTTTAAAACTTTCTGTGTTTCTATCTGTAGTTTGACAGAGTGGCATCACTTATAAGAAACATTTCACTAAATACTTCCAGTAAACCTAGAGAGTTAGAAGATACTCTCTTCACTTTATAGGTTTAGAAACTGAAGAACAGAAAGATTAAGCAACTTGCCCACAGTCACACAGCTTATAAGTAGTAGATAGGGAATTCAAACCATTTCTTCTCTAGAGAGTTTGGGGATTCCTTAGTATAGAAAATATGCTGTTTTTTTAATGGGTACTTATCAGACTGAATTTACTATATGTCTGTAAGGTCCCTTCTAATTCTGAGTATTCTGTGGTTCTCTGCAGTAAGAAGAATATTGTTTTCAGAGTAGTATTTACATTTTGCAAATAGTTAGTGAGGAGTGGTTGAAAAAGAAGTAATTGAAAAAGAGAAGTGCCAAGAAAGGTAAGCACAATCTTCTTTTGGTGTGGAAAATACAAATTCAGTTTCAAGTCTATGATAAATATTTATCATATTTGAAGTTTGGAAAGAGAATAGCATTCTTTAACATGAGAAATAGTTTTAATAACCAACAAAACATAATGTAGGCATAAGTTATAATTTCATAACATTAAAATAGAAATCATTTGATAGACCACTGGACAAAGGTAATTCAATATATAAGAAAGAAGGAATTTAAACATACTTGAAAAGGATATTTAAAATATTGTGAACTTTTCCAGAAATCAACCATATTATTGCTTGCTTTGGTAATAAGCTTTAAGAAGAAAAGTTTTAGTAGAATCTTTTTCCTTGAGCACTAAAGTTTCTCTTTGTAGACTGTTTTTATTAAGAAGATCACTAGACTCGATGTAAGATTTGATGATAATACAAGAAGTAAAATAACTGTATTCCTAATAAAATGTTTATGGTTCACATATAGTTAAAAGAATAATAATTTTTTCACTAGTTAACTTTTACTCCCATCATAAAAGTCTCAGCTTTATCCTTTTCAATTATTTTGTCTATGGCAGGTTTTAAAAATCAAATATTGCCTTTTTTTCTAAATATGCAAGCATTTGATTTCACTGATAAGAATACGGTTTCAATGAGTACATTATATTTAGTAGAAACTCAATATTTTTTAATTCTTTTTTTCACTAAAAGCAAAAGTATTAATACTCTTTTTCTAAATAACTTTGGTATTTTCTATCATGGTGGATAAAAAAGTCCCTGCATTTTCATAAAAATCAGAGATCAGGTGGTGATATTTTCAAATGTCTCTTTTGTGAGAATAAAGAAAATACTGGAATTCAGTTTCCCATTTCTAACATATCTAATTTATTTGTTCTCTTTTTATGCTAGTCAGGAACTGAAAGTTTTTTATAAGACAAGAATGAAGTTATTTATCTATGTCAGTATTAAAGACCTAATGGCTGTTCTCCAAAAGAGAGAATGGTAATTAATAAATTATCCTTTTATTTACACTGAGTTTCAAAACCAATTGCTTCTTTGTTTTCAGTAAGTATAATATTTTTGTGTGAATAATAAGCTACATAGTAATGATTAATAGCTAACCCCGTTTGGATTTCAGAATGGATGTGAATGATGTTGTCAGGAATGGAATGCCTATTTTAAAATGTCAGCTATATTGCAGAGCTTTTGCATTTTATGCCAAGAACCAAATTCAGCTATTGGTTGATATTATATCACCTCTGATCAAGCCATATGGGTTTCCAGTTGTATGAGCAATGTTTCTTAATTGTATGATGGAGAAAGGTGATGAAAAAGACACTTGGGACCAGATTTTCAAGGTCATTGAATTTCAAACTGAGTAATTTGTATGTAATTCTGTAGACAGCTGGGGACAATTAAAAATTTTAGAGAGTGGCAAAGTAAGTGAAGTGGATAGAATAACCTGGCTATTTTATATCGAACTGTGAAAGACTCAAGATGCTGCTTCTGGAGAGGTCAGTTATAAGGAGGATATTGCAGTATTTAGGCAAAAGTTGTTGCTAGCTCTAAGTTGCACAGTTACAGATTCTGAACTAACACATCCTAGTTTGAAAAAAAAATGTAGAGCTGCAATATGCAAGATTTCATGGGTTCAGGAATTCAGGGCCAGGAAGGTTAAATAAAAGATAAGGGAGAGCAAGTCAGAGATATTTCCTAAGCAATTGGGAGAATGACAGATTTGTGAATTGAAATAGGTCAGAAAGCACAGATTTGGAAGAGAAATGGTGGTTTTAGACATGAATTTGAAGCTCTGATGAGAGACGCAGAAGAAGAAGGGTTTTAGAATAAGGCGAATGGCATTTCAGGAAGATACTGTTTGCCTACAAAGAGGCCTGGTTACAAGTGAAATGGGTGACGCCACTCAAGAGGATACCCAGGAATCTTGAAAAGAGAAGAATTGAGTCCTGATTGTAAAAGGGAAGAACATCATTGAAATAAGAAATGTAACATATAGATTGAAATTTAATTTTATTAGAATGATACAAAACTGCTGTTTTTGGAATTCTTACTCATAATGCTTTGAAATGAATGGGATGTTTTTAAAAACCTATATATTTTTACTTTTGTTTTAAGGTGGACTAAAGGAAAATGTTATAGGCTACTCTTGGCAAGCATTTTGCCATAAAATTTTCTGATATGGATAAACAAAAAGCTAAATTGTGTATACTTGCTACTATATTTTCCATTCATATGATATTTTGAAGTCCATATCTCAATGTACTGAATTCTACTTTCCTTCAGATGAATACATCTTATTCTGGTAAAGAAAGATATCAAATTTACAAAGTTAGTGTAATTGTTATATATTATTTTGTTTTAGCTTCAACTACTTATGCTTACTACCTGTAAACAATAGTTCAGTATGGGTATAAATTAAATTCCATATCACAGAGAATAAATGAATTTAAAATCATATAACAATCAAATCTACCATGACAGCTGTCAGTATTGATCTGAGTGAGAAACTGATAGAAATACTGAGTTGTTAGTACATTTATATGTACTAACTTGGTATATTCTCATTTGGTAATCACTGTTCTAGATGTGACTCCCCTGATCCCTGATTACTTTTGCAAAACCCACAGGGTTCGTGAGCCATGAGTTGGTAAATGCTTGTAGACTGGAATGTTTTTGGAGACAAACATTGCTGGATTTGAATCTTGGCTTCATAACTTGCCAGTTATACAGTCTTGAGCATATTCCTTAATCCAAGTCCTCATTTAGTCATCTCTTGGAATTTACCTACATCATAGGCATTATATAAGATAATGTGTGTAAATGACCTAACACTGGTCTACATTATTTGCCAATGGGAACAGGATTAATGGCAGCCAAAAAATTTTTTGACATTTGGAGTAACAGAGTGTCAAAGGCAAAGACACTAAGAGGCAGAAAGAGCGCTCGAAGATTCATAGCATGCAGTATTTCTGAGGCCACCCTTCTGCTTTAGCATGTCATGCCTTATACAGTTTTGTCACTATTTCTCCTACCTCTACTTTTTATTGCCAATATTCTTAGATACCTCAACATTCTTAAAACCCAGTTTAGATAATTTATTAAACATGAGTTTCCTTGTTCCTTTCTTGTCAGTTCCCGTCTGATTTTATGTCCCTGAGAAGAAACCTGCAGACGCAGAATGATCTAAATTTAATTCATTTCAATCCTGGAGACTTAGGAAGCTTTTCCATTAATTTTATGCCTTCTCGTTTTATCTCTATAATTGGAATAGAACTTAACTATCATTGAAATAAGAAACAGCATTGACTGAAAGCACTTATTTTTATCCAGCAAATCCTTGAATATTCTCCTAAATGATCTTCGAGTCCTAAGATATTGTATTTTAGTGGCGACTTCTATGTTTAGTTTTGTTTCTTTTTCAAACTTGATGGTTTTCAGAATATTGTGTGAAGAAATTTCCCAACATTCTTGAAAAATACATGATTTCATAAGTACATAGTAATGTGGAGTTTGAGGGAGGTGAAACAGAGAAATGGATAAATAGGTAGATGAAACAGAGAGCTCAAGCCCCCAAACTTGACCAGTGTGCTAAAATGAGTATAGATTTCTTATATTATTATTATTAGGTGTAAATTAAGTAATACTATGAATGTGTTTGTAAATTGTAAAGTGCCTTTTCATAAAACTAGGGACACTGTTTTGATGTTGACATTTCCTTTTATTATTATTGCTAATAATAATCTTTTTAAAACTTGTGTTTTAAAAGCATTTACCCTCAAAAGTCTATAGAGAAAACTCTTTATCTGAAATATTGGTAAAGTTATTAGATGATATTTTTAGTATAAATGATAGCATTTATACTTTAGAAAAATTCTAGGTACTAAAATTTTAAGAGAAGCAATTGTACTTCCTAAGTTCGTGTGCCCTTTCCTTGTGAATTGACCCTTTAAACATTTTAACTTTTAATAACTTGAAATTTATGTGGGAAACTTCTGTTTGGGGAAAAGCTTAAAATTCAGTATCATTTATTAATCATCCAGCATTATTATTTTGAAAAATAACCAACGAAAATAATGCAGTATAGTAGTTCTGCACTTTAACACTTCAAAATATGTATTCCTAAAAGTAGAATTTTCTTCAAAATATATATTCTTAAAAGTAAAAATTTGCTATGCTTTATGTAGCCAAGGTTACAAAAGACTTGTAACTTCTAATAATTAGCTTAATCTGATTTTAAACTCTTGATGGTTTTGGAACAGAAATTTTTGTTTGAAAGAAAGATTGGCTTGTTAACCGAATTATGTAATTATAAGTAAATGTGGTCACAGCTGCTTTTGATTTTATTGTTATACACCTGATTGGAAACAACAGGTTTTTAAAAATATTTTTCCGTTTCTTACACTGACACCTAGTGTTCACTATTACTGATATCTTAAATATTAAATTTTATTTATTAATAATTATGGAAATAGATTTACGTTCAACATATTTTAGCCGTGTACCTATTCACAGATAAATAACTCTCATTTTCAGTACCAGTGATGCACAGTTTTTCTGGTTACTCCTGTGACATCATTATGAACCAATTGCTGAGGCCATTTTGAATGCAACAAAACTCTAAGAAGCCTAGAGTTTTAGAGATGGAAGAATTGCTGGAGGGAGTTTTTAAAACCAAGATTCTTAAAATCCCAGTGCTTTGTTATGTACATAAGTACTTCAAGCTACGTGTCTAAGTGGCTGATTTAGTTTATGTATGCTTAGTCTCTGTGTCATAGAACAAAATCACATTTAGTCATGCAAGCATTATAAATTTAAAATTCTTGGTTGACCAGGAATGGAGCATGATTGAGTTATTTCTAATTTTCAAAAAGGGAGACTTGGTGATATTATATGTTTACCATTTCCTATGAGTTCCTAAGGATGATTTTAATGCCCCAGATTTCCTAGTAATAAGGTTTAAAGGTGTCGATTAATATCCGATTTTACACAACTAGGTGAAACTGTATATATAATTCGGAGAAAATTTATTTGTGCAGTAAGCATTTGGTATGTCAGAAATATAGTTGGCCAATACAGATAATGAAATTTGTTCATTTTATTTTTTGTGTCTCTCATTAAAATGGGGAATGATATTACTAATAGGATGAAAATTTTTAGCTAAGATTGAGCCTTTAATTTATGCTTAACTTTACAAAGTCAGTGACAGAAACTAAGTTTCAAGTAATTTCTGATAGAACTCCTGCAACCTTCAGTGTTTGACTTTCCAAATGTAATTTTCAGAGAAGTATGTTTCTCATACCTAAAGATCAAACATTTTAAATATAGGAGGATTATAATTGAGTTGTTTTAAATAATAGTTATGATGTTTTTAATATACTTGTGTTTTTTATTTCTACCTAATAAGCCGTTGTTTTATAATTCGTGTAATACCTTTTCCCCAGACAAGCAAAAATTATCATTCTTCTTTTGATCCATTCATCAACTACTTATTAATCATCCAGTATTCGATTGAATCTCATTCAAGAGATAAAGTGCCAAATGAAGTTGTCATTCATGTTGTCTTAATTAACAGAAAAGATAAGTATATAGAAATGTGGAAAACATATACAAGCAAGAGATAAGTAGAAAGGAATTTTGATTACAGTGTTAAATACTTTCTGCTACATTTCTCATATAATCAGGTTTTTGGGTGGATTTCCATAATTTCTGAATAATTTTTTCCATAATCATCAAGTTCATTCTAGAATTAACCAAGTTCTTAGAAATGAGGTACCAAATATGTTCAGTTGTATCTCTAGAACAGGTGACCCAAAAGGTCTGAAAGGAACTTTGTCAGATGTAAAAAAAGGAGAAACAAAACAGGTAGTATGGAGTATGTAGTTTTCCCTTGGCTTTAAATGGGTTGAAAATTATCATTTGAGAATGTCACACACATTTATGTTGAATAAAAATTCCAGCAATAGCAAAAATGTATATAAATACTTTGTTTCTGGGTGCATAGAGATGCTTCAGAATATTTAATTAAATATTTAAACCTGTGTTGGGAGACAGGACAGAAAAAATTTCAAATCACATTTTTCCCCTGGCACTTAGTGCAAATGTATAGATGTTTGCACTTTCTTTTCTACATTTTTATTTATTTTTAATTAATTTTTTAAAAAATTTCAACTTTTATTTCAGATTAAGGGATTTATGTGCTGGTTTGTTACATGGGTATGTTGAGTGACACTGAGGTTTGGGATATGAAGGATCCCATCCCCCAGGGTGTTAGCATAGGACCCAACAGGTAGTTTTAAACCCTTGGCCCCCTCCCTCCCTCTTACCTCCTATAGTTCCCAGTGTCTGTTGTTCCCATCTTTACATCATTTGTACCCAGTGTTTAGCTCCCACTAACAGGTGAAAACATGCAGTATTTGGCTTTCTGTTCCTGCATTAACTCACTTAGGATAATGGCCTCCAGCTATATCAATGTTTCTGCAAAGGACATGATTTCATTCTTTTTTATGGCTGCATAGGATTTCGTGGTGTGTATGTAACACACTTGCTTTATCCAATATACTGTTGATGGACACCTAGATTGATTCCATGTCTTTGCTATTGTGAATAGGGCTGTGATGAACATGAGTGCATGTGTGGTTTTGGTAGAATGATCTATTTTCCTTTGAGTGTATACACATTAATAGGATCCTGGGTCAGATGATACTTCTGTTTTAAGTTCTTTGTGAAATCTCCAAACTGCTTTCCACAGTGGTTGAACTACTTTACATTCCTACCAGCAGTGTATGAAAGTTTCTTTTTCTTTGCAGCCTCGCCAACATGTTATTTTGATTGGTATGAGATGGTACCTCATTGTGGTTTTGATTTGTATCTCTCTGATGACGAATGATATGGAAATTTTTTTCATATGTTGTTGGTAGCTTGTATGTTTTCTTTTCAGAAGTGTCTGTTCATGTCCTTTGCCCACTTTTTAATGGGATCATTTGTTTCTTGCTTGTTGGATTGTTTAAGTTCCTTATAGATTCTAGACGTAGACCTTTGTCGCATGGGTATTTGTGAATGTTTTCTCCCATTCTGCAAGTTTTCTAACGTACTCTGTCAATAGTTTCTTTTGCTGTGCAGAAGCTCTTTGATTTAATTAGGTCTCACTTGTCAATTTTTTTTGTGTTGCGCTTGCTTTTGAGGATTTAGTCATGAATTCTTTGCCAAGGTCAGTGTCCAAAGTGGTGTTTCATGGATATTCTTCTAGGATTCTTACAGTTTGAGGTCTTACATTTAAATCTTTAATGTATCTTGAGTTAATTTCTGTATATGGTGAAAGGTAGGAGTCCAGTTTCATTCTTCTGCATGGTGCTGGGATAACTGGCTAGCTAGCTAAATGTATCCAATGAAGGTCTATAGTTAGCCAGTTATCCCGGCACCATTTATTGAATATGGAATCCTTTCTCCATTGCTTAGTTTTGTCAACTTTGTCAAAGATCAGATGGTTGTAGATGTGTGGCTTTATTTCTGGCTTATCTATTCTGTTTCATTAGTCTATGTGTCTGTTTTTATACTAGACCGATGGTGTTTGGTTTTTTTTTTTTTACTGTACCCTTATGAAGTCAGGTATATGATGCCTCTGACTGTTCATTTTACTTAGGATTGCTCTGGGTATTCAAGCTTTTTATTGGTTCTGTAAGAATTTTAGAAGAGTTTTTTCTAATTGGGGTAAAAACAGTGTTGGTAGTTTGATAGGAATAACATTGAATCTGTACCCTGCTTTAAGCCATATGGCCTTTTTAAAGATAGTGATTCTTGGCCGGGCACAGTGGCTCATGCCTGCAATCCCAGCAGTTTGGGAGGCTGAGGCGGGTGGATTATGAGGTCAGGAGTTCAAGACCAGCCTGGCCAACATGGTGAAACCCTGTCTCTATTAAAAATACAAAAATTAGCCGGGTGTGGTGGCGTGTGCCTATAATCCCAGCTACTCAGGAGGCTGAGGTAAGAGAATCGCTTGAACCTGGGAGGCGGAGGTTGCATTGAGCCGAGATAACGCCACTGCACTCCGGCCTGGGCTACAGAGTGAGACTCCGTCTGAAAAATAATAATAATAATAATAATAATAATAATAATAATAATGATTCTTTAATATCTATGAACATGGAATGTTTTTCCATTTGTGTCATTCTGTGATTTCTTACAGCAGGGTTTTATAGTTCTCCTTGTAGATCTTTCACCTCCTTTGTTAGATGTATTCCTAGATATTTGTGTGACTATGACTATTGTAAATGGGATTGTGTTCTTGATTTGGCTTTCAGCTAAAATGTTATAAATGTATGGAAGTGCTACTGATTTTTGTATGTTGATTTTATATCCTGAAACTTTACTAAAGTCATTTATCATTTCTAGGAGCCTTCTGGTCAGGTCTTTAGGGTTTTCTAGGTGTCGAATCCTATTGTCTCTGAAGAGAGATAATTTGACTTAGTATTTTCCTATTTGGGTGCCTTTTATTTCTCTCTCCTGCCTGATTGCTCTGGTTAGGACTTCCAGTACTATGTTGAGTAGAAGTAGTCAAAGTGAGCATCCATACTTTGTTCCTATTCTTAGGGAGAATGCTTTCAAGCTTTTGCCTTTTTACTATGATGTTGGTAGTATGATATGATAGTATGTCCTTTGATGCCTAGTTTCTTGAGGGCTTTTATCGTGAAAGAATGTGGGATTTTACTGAGAGCTCTTTCTGTGTCTGTTGAGATACTCATATGGTTTTTGTTTTTAATTCTGTTTATGTAATGAATTACATTTATTGACATATATGTTGAACAAACATTGCATCTCAGGAATAAAGCCTAATTGATCGTGGTCAGTTAACTTTTTGATGTGCTGCTGGACTTGGTTTGCTAGTATTTTGTTAATGATTTTTGTGTCTACAATTGTCAGAGATATTGGCCTGAAGTTTTCTTTTTGTTGTTGTTGTTGTGTCTTTGCCAGCTTTTGGCATCAGAGTGATGCTAGTTTCATAGAATGAGTTAGGGAGGAGTCCCTCTTCCTCATTTTTTTGGAATAGTTTCAGTAGAATTGATATCAACTCTTTGTATGTCTGGTAGAGTTCAGCTGTTAATCTGTCTGGTCTGGGGCTTTTTCTGGTTGGTAGGCTTTTTATTACTGATTTAATTCTGGAACTCAGTATTGGTCTGTTCAGAGTTTCAATTTCTTCCTGATTTAATATTGGGAGGTTATGTATTTCCAGGAATTTATCCATTTCCTCTAGATTTTCTAGTTTGTGTAAAATGCCATAGATGTGGCACTTTCTTTATTTGCAAGTTGATTGGCTTTATTTAAATTGCTTATTTTATTTAGAAGCCCAAATGAAATAAAACTAATGCATTGCATTTTCATGTAACTGAGTGAAAGTTCACTTGATTTTTTCCCCCTATTTTTTCCAGGCTCAAAAATTGGCTGAAATTGCTGAGCAGGCAGTTCTTTTAGAATTGTTTCTGTCAATATTTTATCAGGCCCAAGAGTAAAATATTCTGCAGCTACTGCAGTGTTTTTATTGCCACTCTTAAGGTAGAACCCTGTTAAATGGTGTATAAGTATGTGGATTCAGATATGATAGAAAATCCTGTTTCCACAATTATAGTGTATATATAAGACGTAGAGTTAGATTGGATGGTGATTTCTAGCCACAGAGGAGCTCTATCATTCATTCACTCATCAAAGACTTATTGATAAATGTGGCAACCATTGTTTTAGGTACTGGGGATATAATGGTATATACAAGAAAGTCTCTTCTCTAATGGAGCTTATATTTTGGTATGCAAGAAGGACAATAAGTAAATGAATAAATAGTATCACATAGTGTTAACTACTATGAAGGAAATAATCTAGGACAAGGACTGGGAGTAATAATGTTAGATTACCTCAGAGAAGATGATACATGAGCAAAGAATTAAATAATGTGAAGGAGAATACCATGTATTAACAGGGAGTATAAAGGTACTGAGATTGGAATGTACTCCAGAAACAGAAATATCAGTATTTCTGGAGTGAAGTGAGTTAAGGATCAAATGGGACGAGCTGAAATGTAAAAGTAAGATAGGGACCAGATTATGTAGGCATTGTTTTTCTCTCTGTCAATTTCACTCTCTTTGGCTTTGTTCAGGAGAGAAGGTTTTGTTTATTTATTCATTTAATTTCTTAATTTTTAAATTCTTGTGGATACATAGTTGTATATATATATGTACATATATACGTATATATGTACATATATATATGGGATATATGAGATTTTCTGATACAGGCATAAAATGGATAGTAATTTTATCAGGGTAAATGAGGCATCCATCACCTCAAGCATTTGTGCTTTCTACTGCAATCCATTTATACTCTTAGTTATTTTTACAGCTATAGTTAAATTATTATTGATTGTAGTCACTCTGTTCTGCTGTCACATACTAGACCTTATTTATTCTTTCTGTTTTTTGTACCCATTAACCATCCCCACTTTACCTCCACTTCTTCATTTCCCTTCTCAGCCTCTGGTAACCATCTGTCTACTCTCTGTGTCCATGAGTTCAATTGTTTTAATTTTTAGCCTCCATAAATAAGTGAGAACAAGTGAAGTCGGTTTTTGTGTGCCTGGCTTATTTCACTTAATGACCTCCAGTTCCATCTATGTTGTTGCAAATAACAGAATCTTTTTTTTTTAATGGCTGAATAGTACTTCATTGCGTATATGCCACATTTTCTTTATTCATTCTTCTGTTGATGGACACTTATGTTGCTTCCAAATCTTTACTATTGTGACTAGTAAACACGGGAATGCAGATATCTTTTCAATATATTGATTTCCTTTTTTCTGGGATATACCTAGCAGAGGTATATCTGGATCATATGGTAGCTCTGTTTTTAGATTTCTGAGGAACCTCCAAACTGTTCTGCGTAGTGATTGTACTAATTTACATTCAAACCAACATGTATGAGAGTTCCCTTTCCTCCACATTCTCACCAATATTTGTTATTGCCTTTTGGATAAAAGCCATTTTAACTGGGGTGAGATACTACCTCATTTTAGTTTTGATTTGCATTTCTCTGACGATCAGTTGTAAAGCACTTTTTCATATACTTGTGTACTGTTTGTCTTCTTTTGAGAAATGTCTCTTCAGATCTTTTGCCCATGTTTTAATCAGATTATTAGATTTTTTCCTATTGAATTGTTTGAGCTCCTTATATATTCTGGTTATTGAACCCTTGTGAGATGGATAGTTTACAAATATTTTCTCCCATTTTGTGGGTTGTCTCTTACTTTGTTGATTGTTTCCTTTGCTGTGCAGAAGCTTTGCAATTTGATGTAATCTCATTTGTTCATTTTTACTTTGATTGCCTATGCTGGTGGGGTATTACTCAAGAAATCTTTGTCCAGTCCAATGCCCTATAGAGTATTCCTAGTGAGTTCTATGAATAGTTTCATAGTTTGAGGTCTTAGATTTAAGTCTTTAATCCATTTTGACTTGACTTCTGTACATGGCAAGAGATGTGGGTCTAGTTTCATTCTTCTGCATATGGATATCCAATTTTCCCAGAACTGTTTATTGAAGAGACTGTCCTTTGCCCAATGTATGTTCTTGGCATCTTTCTCGAAAGTGAGTTCACTGTAGATGTATGTATTTGTTCTGGGTTCTCTTTTCTGTTCCACTGTTCTGTGTATCTGTTTTGATGCCAACACCATACAGTTTTGGTTACTATAGCCCAGTAATATTATTTGAAGTGAGGTAACATGGTTCTTCTAGGTTTTTTTCCTTCCTTCCTTTTTTTCTTCCTCCTTCCTCCTCCTTTCCCCTTCTTCTTCCTCCTCTTCCCCCTTCTTCTTCCTCCTCTTCCCCCTTCTTCTTCCTTCTCCTCCCCACTTCTTCCTTCTTCCACTTCTCCTCCTCCTCTTCTTTTTTCTTCTTTCTTTTTCTTCCTTTTTGCTGAGTGTGGTTTGGCTATTCTGGGCCTTTTGTGGAGTCTCACTCTGGCGCCCAGGCTGGAGTGCGGTAGTGTGATCTCAGCTCACTGCAACCTCTGCCTCCCAGGTTCAAGCGATTCTCCTGCCTCAGCCTCCCAAGTAGCTGGGACTACAGGCCTGTGCTGCCACGCCTGGCTAATTTTTTGTATTTTGTTGTAGAGACGGGGTTTCACTATATTAGCCAGATGGTCTCGATCTCCTTACCTAGTGATCCACCAGCCTCGGCCTCCCAAAGTGCTGGGATTATAGGCATGAGCCACCGCGCCCAGCAATATATGTAACAAAATAATAGCTGAAAACTTCCCAAGTATGGGGAGAGATGTGGACATTGAGATCAAGAAAGCACAAATGTCCCATGTTAGATTCAAGTGAAAAAGATTCTCTGGAGCACATTATAATTAAACTGTCAAAAGTCAAAGACAGAGAATTCTAAAAGCTGCAAAAGAAAAACACTGAGTCACATATAAGGGAATTTCCATTAGACTATCCGTATATTTACCAACATAAACTTTGTAGGCCAGAAGAGAATGAGGTGTTGTATTCAAAGTGCTGAAAGGAAAGGAAAGGAAGGAAAACAAACAAACAAACAAATAAAAAAACCTGTCAGCCAAGTATACTGTATCCAACAAAGCTCTCCTTTCGAAATGAAAGAGAAAAAGAGACCTTCCCAGAGGAGCAAAAGCTGAGGGAATTTATCACCACTTGACCAGACTTACAAGAAATTCTTAAAGGAATGCTACAACAGGAAATAAAAAGGTGAGAATCATTGTAATGAAAACATGTGAAAGTATAAAACTCACCAATAGAGCTAAATTTATAATAAAACTAAGAACACCCCAATGCTGTAACGATACTGTGTAAATCTTTCAGTCAACTAATATGAAGGTTTAAGGTCAAAATGGTCAAAAACAACAACTGCAATGTTGGCTAAGGAACACATAATAAATAAAAATGTAAATTAAGGCCACAGAAATATAAATTGTGTGGCAGAGTGGAAAAGTCGAGAGTATTTTTATGTGACCAACATTTAATTAATTACAGCAGATATACAAACAAAAAAGAGAACAAAACCAAAGCAGTAAACAGTAGAGCATGAAAGGAAGAAAGGAGGTATAAAATGACCGGAGGACTGGACATGGTGGCTCACACCTGTAATCCCAGCACTTTGGGAGGCCAAGGCGGGCAGATCACTTGAAGTCAGGAGTTCAAGACCAGTCTGGCCAACATGGCGAAACTCTGTCTCTACTGAAAATACTGAAATTAGCCAGGTGTACTGACAGTCCTGTCTTTCTTATGTTTTAGATTGTGTGTTCCCCCACCCCCCCAACCAGTCCTTCTATCCATCTGATTTTGTTTAATTTCTGTTTTTAGCAATTCCTCAGTTTTGGCTCACTAATACCATTCTTTATTTTCCAAAATTGTTTTTGAAGCTTTTCTTTTTTCCTCCAAAATACACCTTTTTAAAACTTCTTGAAATTTTAGGCAAAACAAAAAGTTGAGGTGTGGGCTATTTGTCATTTTGATCTATCTTTCTTTACTTTTGTGTTTATTGAGTTTTTCTACTGATAATGTGACACTATAAGTAGAAATGCACTTGGCCTTGCAGAAATACAGATTTTTATTGATTTGTTTCATGAACACTTTTTTTTTTCTTTTCTTTTTTTTTTTTTTTTGAAACAAGGTCTCACTCTGTCACCTAGGCTGGAGTGCAGTGGCACGATTATGGCTCACTGCAGCTTCAATCTCCTGGGCTCAAGTGATCCTCCCACCACAGCCTCCTGAATAGCTGGGACTATAGGCACAGGCCACCACACCTGGCTAGTTTTTAAAGTTTTTGTAGAGACAGGGTTTCACTATGTTGCCCAGGCTGGTTTCAAACTCCTGGACTTAAGCGATCCTCCCACTTCAACCTGCCAAAGTGCTGGGATTATAGGCATGAGCCACCATGCCCAGCCTATGAACATTTCTTAAACACCTATCATAAGCAAAATCCTATGGTTGGTACTATGGACAAGGCCTTCTATCTCAATAGAGAGGATATAGTTTGTATGGTATATGGTCTGTTCAGGAATGAATATACTACTAATGAAGATGTAATGTTTTATAAAGTGTCACAGTGGTTCAAAAAGGGAGAAATTACTTCTTCCTTAAAAGAATGAGGGAAAGCTTCGTGGGGGAAATCATTTTTATGCTGGTATTGGAAGTGGTGGTATCTGACCACATAGAGATTAGAAAGAGAGTTGAGACAGTGGGAAGTACAGGTAGGAGAACAAGTCAAGAAAAGTGAATAGAACATTTTGAGGGGAACATAGCATGCATGAAAAGGAACAAAGGGAGATTAAAAAACTACCAAACCATATTCGGTAGAAATTTAGAGCCATTTAAAGTTTTGAGCCTAGTTTCAGCTGGTGTTTTTAGCTGATAACCCAGTATTGTGCATGGAATAATTTGAGGCAAGGAGGCCATTTCTAGGGGGCCCTGCTAGGAAACTGGGCATCTAGACTGCCAGGGCTTGACAATAGGTTGGATTTTCTTTCAAGCAGATTGTAAGAAATCATTAGTGTTACTCAGTAGGCTGCAACTTAATCATTTTGACAGCCAAAGGGGGCTAATGATTAAAGGCGTCAATTTAATTATTTAAAACATTTGACCATATATGCAGAATATAACCTTGTATCACTATTTTACAAGTACAAAAGCATTTTTGAGTGTGAGTCTGACTTCATTGACTAAAGTTTGGAAGAGCCTGTTTGTATCAGAGAATACATCAGAGTCTCTGCCCTAGTTTTTTTTTTTTCTTCTTGTAGTATATTCTTTATGATAATCAGACACGTAACAGGAAGAACATCTCCATCTGGTAATCATTACCTGTAGGATGTAGAGCTTGTATGTGTCTTCTGGAAGTTAACTTTTAATGTTAAACAAAGGAAGCTGATCAAAACCAGCTGTAAAACCTTTGCATAGTTCATATTTTATACAGTCAGCATTACATTACCATTCACATGACTGTATGTCTGAAGTTTTCTAAAAAAGTAAATCTTTCATTAAAATTATTGTAATCCTGATTTTATAGTTAACACAACTTAAATGTTTCCCTGTTTGGCAGGAACATTTAACGCAATTGACATCACTGTGTGTATGGTTATACACCTTGGAGAAATAATGGCTCATTTATTAAACATATATGCCACTATTAATATATTTGGGATGCAGTCAAAATAAAAGCAGTAGGTAGGTCAAAATATAATTTTCTAATTTAAAATTATGAGGTTAATAAATGTAGAAACTTGCCAGCTAAACATGTAACAGGCCATTAAATATATTATATGAACTAATTATATAGATACTGAAAATTATTCTAGTAATACCCCCTTTGACACATGGCATTTATTATAATCCTAGGTACACACAAGCATAGTAATTTTAGATCATTATTATTTATGAAAAGAAATGGCTCAGAATTATAAATCAGGAAGAAGACTTCTTTTTTTTTCCCTTAATTGAATTTAGAACTACTGTGGAACTTGGAAGAATTAAAAATTCATCCTGGGCAGTGCTTTGCATTCTGCAGGTATATCGTGTATGTTAAATAATAATAGTTTCTTCTGCCTGGAACTTGCAGTCGTTATATAAATAGCAATTTTGAAATCACAAAGCACATGAATTTCTAACAACACATACTTGTGAAAGATCTGTAACAACAGTATTGAGGATTTGCTATCATGAGATGGAATTTCATGACGAGAAAATTTACCAGATAATGTAATGACTCAGGCAGAACAATTTAAGCAGAAGACAGTAAGCATTTCTCTCCGAAGGAAATATTTTGTTATTCAGTGGTTGTTTTGTAGATGATTAATACTGTTGTGTTGGAAATGTTCTAGTCTGGAGAAACCTAAGTATTGCTCACAAATACCATGTAGTCAGAGAAGCCAAGGACATTTCTGGTGATTCAATATAGTGTAACATCAAGTATGACCATATCTGGTATTAGGGCCACTGTTGTAAAGGTGCTTTTCTCAGGCCTTGGTTAACTGTTTAGGAAGGTATTTAAAAATGTACAAGCACATAAGTGGAAAGTAACTGATGGCAAACGAATAATTTTCAAAATACTATAATTATAGTTTTCATTTCTGCTAATAGTGGCATATTCCTGTTTTAAAAGATATGGAATATATTAATTGTATGCCGAAAAGGCACTGAACCATGTTAGTCTCTGAGAATTGACAAGCTATCATTCCTTAGGAGAGAGATTTAAAGAATGGTCTACTTCAGTCACAGTATTTGTGTTAGAACGCTTAAGTAAATTTAAGACATTCATTTTTAACACAAAAATAAATAATTTGTAGCACGAAGCACATAGCAGAAACTCAGTATATGTATGTTTATTAAATTATTGTACCAAGACTTAATTATATTAACACCTTTCTTAAACTGTATCTATGTGTGTATGTATAATATCTGTAAATACACATATTTGTATACATAAGATTAACAGAAAAAGTGCAGATTGTAAGTGCTTAACTCAGGGAGTTTTGACAGTTCTGCACTCCCATGTAACCAGCACCCCAAAAGCAAGGAATAGTATTTCCTGTACTTTAGAAAGTTCTCCTTTCCAGTCACAACTTTCTTACTTCCTCCAGTGGTTTCTATTACCATAGTTTAGCGTGTCTGTTCTTGGATGTCATGTAAGTGCAATTACATAGAGTGTGCCCTTTTGTGTCTAGCTTTCCTTGGTTTTGTTAGTCTTTTTTATTTTATGTATTCTAGTGGGTGTGCAGTATTATTTTATTGTGATTTTCATTTCTGTTTCCTTAAAGATGAATGATATTGAGCACCTTTCACTTGGCTTATTGCCTTTCATATATCTCACTTTGTGGTGTGTCTATTCAAACTTTTTGTTCCTTTTTATTGGGTTATTAATACTTTCTATGTTTTGTCCAAGAAATCTTTGCATACCCAAAGGTCAAGAAGACTTTCTGTTAGGTTTCTTAATGTTTATATGGTATCTATTATCTTTATAGTTATATGGTACCTATTATCTTTATGGTTATAGTTTTTATGCTTAATTTTGTGGTCCATATTTAATTATTTTTTAGGTATTGAGTTAGATAGATAGTGGAGCTTTTTTGTTTTCCATTTAGCTGTTTCAGTAACATTTGTTACCTGTGTTTCAGCAACATTTTTGGACATAAATAAAGGACTGTGTGACTAAAATTACATATAGAGTTAACATTTTTATTCTCTTTCCTCCTTTAATTTAATTGCTTTTCTGTTTAGGTGCTTTTCTGAACCCTTGCAGGTTTAACCACTAGTGAATCACTAAGCTGTGTCTTTCATAACATTTCAACAAATTGATGTCAGCACTCATTGCAGTTTTCTGTTCTCTTCCATAGAAATACTCAAGAATCAATTAATTCTGTCAATAAGAAGTGATCTGTAGAATTTGTATCTAACTTCTATCCTGTATCCCTCCTCCTATTCTCACCTTATATAGCTCCTTTTTCTTGCCCTTTTCATAGCTGATAGTAAAGAAACGAACTTCAGTACCTCACAAAACAAGTCAAAAGATCTTAAGTATTTTCTGAAACTATTTAGCTGTGGTTTGAGAACATGATGCCCCTAACATGTTAAGGTATTTGGTATAGTAGTATAAATCAAGGTATTAGATATAGTAGCATAAATTAGTGACTATTCTATATAAAATTTCCTAGTCATCTGTGTTCATTTTGGGATGCATCCCATCAAAGGAGATGGCTTTGTGGTTTTTTACATTAAATATATTTTATCAGTTCGCCATAAACTGACATAAATTGGAAGATCCATTTTTGGATTTGAGTTTTGAATTATTTGTGATTTTTATCTTTATTAAGCTTTTTTTTGTATTTTCTGAGCTTTCCATGATAAACATTTATTGCTTTTATAACAAATCCATGGGTAGATTGTATTCTCTAAACTTTTGGTAGTCTAATTAATTAACAAGGTATATGTAGATACTAGGGCACTTTGATTAATGAATTCTCAAGCTGATATAAATAGAAGACAGAATTGAGCTTCTAGAATGCTTTCAGTTGGTAGGTTTCATTATATTGTTTGAGTTATATAGACACATATGTTTGAATGACACTGCTCATGGAATACCTACATATCTTCAGCGTAGATAATGAAGACTATCTGTCAAAGTATCAACCAAAATCTTGTCTGTGAGTATAGATAAGAGATGAGAAATAGACTTTAACGGAGAAAGTCATTTCTTTCAAATTCATATTTAGGCAAATAAACATCAGAAAACATCAAGAAATCTTAGAAATGACAGAACAATAAATGATACTATTGTTTCGTGGCTTCTAAGATGTACTTTTTTTTTAAACTTTTTAACTTTCTGATGTTTGGATTTGTGGTGACACAGCTGTTATTTCCTGAGTTCTGGTAAGATAGAGAGAGGGCCAGTATCCAAGTTTGAAGAAGGTGTCAGTGCCTCAGATTAAAACCCAGGAGCTTTTAATCCTAGATTGGGCAGCCTTGGTAACACAAAGAAAGATGGGTACCAATTACTCTGCATCAAAAAGAGATTCAGAAGAGTCAGACTCTGAATGTGAAAACATTTTACGAATACTTTAACCAATTTTTTTTGCTGCTGTTTTCCTCCTTTTTATGCTGAAGTGAAACAATAATGCCCAAGTATGATCTATAATGATAATCTATGCCTTGAATCTAAAAGAACTTTAAAAATGAGAATAAAATAAAAATTCTAAGTCAATGCTTCTTAGACTATCTGAAGCCAAGGTCTAGTTTTTTGTTTTCTACCTTCACCACTTTTATAAAATATATTTGAAATTTTCACTGCAATATTAAAATGTTACAAAAGTTTCTAAACACTCTTATTTTCTGACCTTGTAGACTGATAACAGTTTATGGTCTGGCACTGGTCAGGGTCCACATTTTGAGTGGCACTGAAAAGAAAACATTTTATCAGTTTAATTTTCATTGTGTCTTTTTTTTCTTAACCCACCAAAATAATGGTGATCTTACACTTGGTGGTGTTAGAGGTTTGATGAAATAGTTGGTGTATATTGCCTAATTTCTTTAAAAGCATTGTTTTAGGAGTCTGACTGCCTAGTTAACTTTGGAGGAAGTCCCATATCATTTCTAAGCCTGAGCCTTTTGATTGTAAAGTGGGGATAATATTAGTTCTGACTTCATAGCATTGTTGTAATCATTAAATAAGAAAATTTGTGGAAATCACTTGACTGGACGTAGTAGGAATGTCATATATATTAAAGCATATTGTCATACTCACCCAGACTTTTCCTCATAGGAACTCAATGACAGGGCACTGTAGAGAGATTATTAGCATGCCAGGAGATTACCCCTCCTCAAAGAGCTGGCTCTCAAGGACCTTTGAATTCAGGTATAATCCAGGGAATACCAACAGCCTTGCATTTCTTTGGTAGGTCTGGGCATCAGAGATCTGTATCACATTGAAGGATGTATGTCTGAATGAGCTGAAACAGGTCTTTAGTAAGCAATTGATAGAAAGTCATGATCTCCCTTCTCAGAGAGAGGAATCTAGTAAAGACTTAAGATGGCTTGTCAGGGCTCATTTTGGACAGATCAATGTTCTCAGTAGGACTCTAGTCCCAAAAGAAAACTGGAGTGCACCCTAATAACTGGGACAGATCCCCAGTCACAGTATACATGGCTCAGGGTTCTGGGAAAGCTGTTTCTTGGGTGACATGTGAACATATAATATCTTACCTGTCCTCTGCATTGGGTATCAGGCTAAGACAACTGATTCTCTTTTACCCTTTTCTGGCTGCTGACTCTTTCTCCTTGACTCCAAGCATAATAAGGACTCAGATTGCAGATCAGTGATCTTTAATGGATATCATGGGGCAAAAAAAGACAGGAAAATAATAAAGAGTTTACTGGGTTTGGTTAGGTAGTTTCCTCATGTGTAACTTTTGCAATTTTTTTCAATGTTTCTAACAATTTTAAAATATAATTTAGATTTTCTTGATGTGGGTCTGGGGAATCCTTGGTTTACTGACCTATGGGATTAATAAAAATTTAGGTTTCCCAGGTGTCTGTTAACCATGCTTTCATTGTTCATATATCCCAATTAACTTGAAACTCTTGCCAAATAGGAACCTGCCTGAAATGAAGATACATATTTCTATTACTATGTCCATTTTTCTTCATTTTACATTCTCCAAAAAAGGTAAACAGAGACAAAATATGGGAAACATCTTTTTTCTGTATTGGTTTGATTACTTTTTATCATATTTATTTTAATAGTATAGCAAACATACTGATTAATTAGGAATAAATGGCAAGAAAAGACTTACAAAGAATAGGGAATTTGTTTTGCGGCTCGGATGTTTGTTGCTTATACATCTGCTTTGTTTCCTGTGAACTTAATGGTGATTTTAAATTTAGTAATATAAACTCTCTGCTATACACTGGTAGTAACACTTCTTCCTTGTCGTCACTCCAGTTTGTAAAAAGAAATTGCTTTCATTTTGAGATTAAAGCATTTCTTTTTTTTTTTTTTTTTTTTGTTTGAGACAGAGTTTTGCTCTTATTACCCAGGCTGGAGTGCAGTGGTGCAATCTCAGCTCACTGCAACCTCCACCTCCCAGGTTCAAGTGATTCTCCTGCCTCAGGAGTAGCTGGGATTACAGGCGCGTGCTGCCATGCCCGGCCAATTTTTTGTATTTTTAGTAGAGACGGGGTTTCACCATGTTGGGCAGGCTGGTCTCGAACTCCTGACCTTAGGTGATCCGTCTGCCTCTGCCAAAGTGCTGGGATTACAGGCGTGAGCCACCATGCCCGGCCAAAGCATTTCATTTTACCAGCTGTTGTCCATGCATGTGACCTTATCAACAACAAAAGTATATACTTCTGAATACCAAATAAGATTAGGTTGGATCCTGGGGTTTCCAAATTGGCTTTGGGTGGTCTTGAAAGATCAGAAATCTTCTGTTGATCTGAAAACTCTATATAATTCTCATAAATTTCAATGTGTTATAACTTCAATCAATATAGTGAATATTTTTTCGATAAAATGGGTTTATTGGATAACAATGGTCCTTTTCCCCTTAAGTTTCCAGATTATGCGAAGTCAATCTGGAAAATCCAATGATATATCATTGGATTCATAGCCTATGAAAACATGCAGATTTTCTTCTATGCTTTAGGTAACTTCAAAGCAGACTCTGATAGAAGTCCTCCTTGGGAATGACCATGATATATTCATACCTGGCATTGATCTGATGGCTCTGCCAAATGTGCCCACTTTGTTGCACACCTTTGCTGAAGTGAGCAGAGATGTTTTCCTCTTCTGGCAGTTAGAAATGCTGCTACCCGCAGCTGTTGGCAGGCTCCTCTCTAGGCATATTTATATCAGTGGAAGGGAGCTAATGTATTTTTTTTTTCCTTTGTGTCATGGAAGTTATCTGAGACCTGCAGAAAATTAAATATTACCATTCAAATACTTTTGAAAAAATAAAACCAATTCGGTGACTACTTTTAAAAATAAATAAATAAGAGTTCTCTGCAAAATATAATTTTGTTGAGTTAATCTATGGATTTTTTGGTGGTTTCCTCGCCCTCATATATTTCAGATTATTTTTAGTATAATGCTTAAGCAGTTAATCTTTTAAAACTCTTCACAGGAACTTTCTAGGAAATAGGAAGGTGACTATGAGTGTACTGTTTTCTTCCATTAGTTTACATATACTTATACGGATCATACTTACATTTTTTCCCTCAAAACACTTTTTAAACCAAGCCAAATATGCCATGCCAATTTATAGGGGCCTATAAATCTAAGTAATATTAGGACCACAGATCCATCCTTTTTCCTTACTCTCTTCTTACAACTATAAAATTAGACCAGGTGATGATATCCAGATTTCAGTGTTAGTCCCTCTTGTGTCCTCCCTGTCTAACACATACTGTTCAACCTAAACACGTTTTTTGTCATGTCGCTCTTCCCTGCTCAGAGTCCTAGAATGTTGTTTAACACGTTCTGCATGAAGTTTTTGGTTCCTCTAATACAATTGGTTTATACTGTTATTGTGGTATTTACAATCTGTTATCTTCTTTTACTACCTTTATAATTTTCTTGGTTACAAGGCCACAGATAATCCCTCTTTATCCTTCACCTTCTAATTCAGTATTTTACATTCACATGTTCAATACAGTACTTATTGATTCTCTATTGTGCTCTAAGCATTGTAAAGTACACTAGGAATCACAGGTGGAAGCTATACAGTGTACTCTTTATTTTATTTTATTTTTTTTATTTTTTTTTTTTTGCAAAGTAAAACTCCACAAGCAAGCATTTTGTTTTTTAATAGAATGTTTAAGGGGGTTTTATAATCAAGGGATAAGTAGTGACATCAATGGAACGAACATTCTACTGATTAGTAATTCATACTGTGTTCACATGATCTTGAAAGCCCAGGTTAAGCTGGTTAAAGTGTGGCAACATGTTACAATTGGGAGACTGAGACTGAAGAGGCAAAATGAGTGTGAAGTCCACACACTATGAGGAGCCAAGCACACTAGCTACATGATCTACACAGTGACAGTAACAAAGTTGATGTTTGACAGCAATTCACTAAGCCTGGGCTCAGAGGGAAAAAATATATACATTGATTCTAAACTAGTCAGTATCTTATGATTGCCAAAAATAAAGTGGAATAAAACAAATCATGTTATGTTTTCAATCAACTTGCTATTAGTACCGATTTCAGAAATGAAATTTATTTTAGGAGATTACCCCTATCCTTATCTCTACCCATCCCTATCTTTTTTTTTTATTTTTTTATTATACTTTAAGTTTTAGGGTACATGTGCACATTGTGCAGGTTAGTTACATATGTATACATGTGCCATGCTGGTGTGCTGCACCCACTAACTCGTCATCTAGCATTAGGTATATCTCCCAATGCTATCCCTCCCCCCTCCCCCCACCCCACCACAGTCCCCAGAGTGTGATATTCCCCTTCCTGTGTCCATGTGATCTCATTGTTCAATTCCCACCTATGAGTGAGAATATGCCGTGTTTGGTTTTTTGTTCTTGTGATAGTTTACTGAGAATGATGATTTCCAATTTCATCCATGTCCCTACAAAGGACACGAACTCATCATTTTTTATGGCTGCATAGTATTCCATGGTATATATGTGCCACATTTTCTTAATCCAGTCTATCATTGTTGGACATTTGGGTTGGTTCCAAGTCTTTGCTATTGTGAATAATGCCGCAATAAACATACGTGTGCATGTGTCTTTATAGCAGCATGATTTATAGTCCTTTGGGTATATACCCAGTAATGGGATGGCTGGGTCAAATGGTATTTCTAGTTCTAGATCCCTGAGGAATCGCCACACTGACTTCCACAATGGTTGAATTAGTTTACAGTCCCACCAACAGTGTAAAAGTGTTCCTATTTCTCCACATCCTCTCCAGCACCTGTTGTTTCCTGACTTTTTAATGATTGCCATTCTAACTGGTGTGAGATGGTATCTCATAGTGGTTTTGATTTGCATTTCTCTGATGGCCAGTGATGATGAGCATTTTTTCATGTGTTTCTTGGCTGCATAAATGTCTTCTTTTGAGAAGTGTCTGTTCATGTCCTTCGCCCACTTTTTGATGGGGTTGTTTTTTTTTTCTTGTAAATTTGTTTGAGTTCATTGTAGATTCTGAATATTAGCCCTTTGTCAGATGAGTAGGTTGTGAAAATTTTCTCCCATTTTGTTGGTTGCCTGTTCACTCTGATGGTAGTTTCTTTTGCTGTGCAGAAGCTCTTTAGTTTAATTAGATCCCAGTTGTCAATTTTGGCTTTTGTTGCCTTTGCTTTTGGTGTTTTGGAAATGAAGTCCTTGCCCATGCCTATGTCCTGAAGGGTAATGCCTAGGTTTTCTTCTAGGGTTTTTATGGTTTTAGGTCTAACGTTTAAATCTTTAATCCATCTTGAATTGATTTTTGTATAAGGTGTAAGGAAGGGATCCAGTTTCAGCTTTCTACATATGGCTAGCCAGTTTTCCCAACACCATTTATTAAATAGGGAATCCTTTCCCCATTGCTTGTTTTTCTCAGGTTTGTCAAAGATCAGATAGTTGTAGATATGCGGCGTTATTTCTGAGGGCTCTGTTCTGTTCCATTGATCTATATCTCTGTTTTGGTACCAGTACCATGCTGTTTTGGTTACTGTAGCCTTATAGTATAGTTTGAAGTCAGGTAGTGTGATGCCTCCAGCTTTGTTCTTTTGGCTTAGGATTGACTTGGCGATGCGGGCTCTTTTTTGGTTCCATATGAACTTTAAAGTAGTTTTTTCCAATTCTGTGAGGAAAGTCATTGGTAGCTTTATGGGGATGGCATTGAATCTGTAAATTACCTTGGGCAGTATGGCCATTTTCACGATATTGATTCTTCCTACCCATGAGCATGGAATGTTCTTCCATTTGTTTGTATCCTCTTTTATTTCCTTGAGCAGTGGTTTGTAGTTCTCCTTGAAGAGGTCCTTCACATCCCTTGTAAGTTGGATTCCTAGGTATTTTATTCTCTTTGAAGCAATTGTGAATGGGTGTTCACTCATGATTTGGCTCTCTGTTTGTCTGTTGTTGGTGTATAAGAATGCTTGTGATTTTTGTACATTGATTTTGTATCCTGAGACTTTGCTGAAGTTGCTTATCAGCTTAAGGAGATTTTGGGCTGAGACAGTGGGGTTTTCTAGATATACAATCATGTCATCTGCAAACAGGGACAATTTGACTTCCTCTTTTCCTAATTGAATACCCTTTATTTCCTTCTACTGCCTAATTGCCCTGGCCAGAACTTCCAACACTATGTTGAATAGGAGTGGTGAGAGAGGGCATCCCTGTCTTGTGCCATTTTTCAAAGGGAATGCTTCCAGTTTTTGCCCATTCAGTATGATATTGGCTGTGGGTTTGTCATAGATAGCTCTTATTATTTTGAAATACGTCCCATCAATACCTAATTTATTGAGAGTTTTTAGCATGAAGGAGTTGTTGAATTTTGTCAAAGGCTTTTTCTGCACCTATTGAGATAATCATGTGGTTTTTGTCTTTGGCTCTGTTTATATGCTGGATTACATTTATTGATTTGCGTATATTGAACCAGCCTTGCATCCCAGGGATGAAGCCCACTTGATCATGGTGGATAAGCTTTTTGATGTGCTGCTGGATTCGTTTTGCCAGTATTTTATTGAGGATTTTTGCATCAATGTTCATCAAGGATATTGGTCTAAAATTCTCTTTTTTGGTTGTGTCTCTGCCCGGCTTTGGTATCAGAATGATGCTGGCCTCATAAAATGAGTGAGGGAGGATTCCCTCTTTTTCTATTGATTGGAATAGTTTCAGAAGGAATCGTACCAGTTCCTCCTTGTACCTCTGGTAGAATTCGGCTGTGAATCCATCTGGTCCTGGACTCTTTTTGGTTGGTAAACTATCGATTATTGCCATAATTTCAGCTCCTGTTATTGGTCTATTCAGAGATTCAACTTCTTCCTGGTTTAGTCTTGGGAGAGTGTATGTGTTGAGGAATTTATCCATTTCTTCTAGATTTTCTAGTTTATTTGCGTAGAGGTGTTTGTAGTATTATCTGATGGTAGTTTGTATTTCTGTGGGATCGGTGGTGATATCCCCTTTATCATTTTTTATTGTGTCTATTTGATTCTTGTCTCTTTTTTTCTTTATTAGTCTTGCTAGTGGTCTATCAATTTTGTTGATCCTTTCAAAAAACCAGCTCCTGGATTCATTGATTTTTGAAGGGTTTTTTGTGTCTCTATTTCCTTCAGTTCTGCTCTGATTTTAGTTATTTCTTGCCTTCTGCTAGCTTTTGAATGTGTTTGCTCTTGCTTTTCTAGTTCTTTTAATTGTGATGTTAGGGTGTCAATTTTGGATCTTTCCTGCTTTCTCTTGTGGGCATTTAGTGCTATAAATTTCCCTCTACACACTGCTTTGAATGCGTCCCAGAGATTCTGGTATGTTGTGTCTTTGTTCTCGTTGGTTTCAAAGAACATCTTTATTTCTGCCTTCATTTCGTTATGTACCCAGTAGTCATTCAGGAGCAGGTTGTTCAGTTTCCATATAGTTGAGCGGCTTTGAGTGAGATTCTTAATCCTGAATTCTAGTTTGATTGCACTGTGGTCTGAGAGATAGTTTGTTATAATTTCTGTTCTTTTACATTTGCTGAGGAGAGCTTTACTTCCCAGTATGTGGTCAATTTTGGAATAGGTGTGGTGTGGTGCTGAAAAAAATGTATATTCTGTTGTTTTGGGGTGGAGAGTTCTGTAGATGTCTATTAGGTCCACTTGGTGCAGAGCTGAGTTCAATTCCTGGGTATCCTTGTTGACTTTCTGTCTCGTTGATCTGTCTAATGTTGACAGTGGGGTGTTAAAGTCTCCCATTATTAATGTGTGGGAGTCTAAGTCTCTTTGTAGGTCACTCAGGACTTGCTTTATGAATCTGCGTGCTCCTGTATTGGGTGCATATATATTTAGGATAGTTAGCTCTTCTTGTTGAATTGATCCCTTTACCATTATGTAATGGCCTTCTTTGTCTCTTTTGATCTTTGTTGGTTTAAAGTCTGTTTTATCAGAGACTAGGATTGCAACCCCTGCCTTTTTTTGTTTTCCATTTGCTTGGTAGATCTTCCTCCATCCTTTTATTTTGAGCCTCTGTGTATCTCTGCA
This sequence comes from Homo sapiens, assembly GCF_000001405.40. Lineage (NCBI taxonomy): Eukaryota > Metazoa > Chordata > Mammalia > Primates > Hominidae > Homo > Homo sapiens. The sequence goes on along the minus strand of NC_000006.12, from coordinate 45,064,572 downwards.
CGTAAGATGGGTTTCCTGAATACAGCACACTGATGGGTCTTGACTCTTTATCCAATTTGCCAGTCTGTGTCTTTTAATTGGAGCATTTAGTCCATTTACATTTAAAGTTAATATTGTTATGTGTGAATTTGATCCTGTCATTATGATGTTAGCTGGTGATTTTGCTCATTAGTTGATGCAGTTTCTTCCTAGTCTCGATGGTCTTTACATTTTGGCATGATTTTGCAGCGGCTGGTACCAGTTGTTCCTTTCCATGTTTAGCGCTTCCTTCAGGAGCTCTTTTAGGGCAGGCCTAGTGGTGACAAAATCTCTCAGCATTTGCTTGTCTGTGAAGTATTTTATTTCTCCTTCACTTATGAAGCTTAGTTTGGCTGGATATGAAATTCTGGGTTGAAAATTCTTTTCTTTAAGAATGTTGAATATTGGCCCCCATTCTCTTCTGGCTTGTAGGGTTTCTGCCAAGAGATCCGCTGTTAGTCTGATGGGCTTCCCTTTGAGGGTAACCCGACCTTTCTCTCTGGCTGCCCTTAACATTTTTTCCTTCATTTCAACTTTGGTGAATCTGACAATTATGTGTCTTGGAGTTGCTCTTCTTGAGGAGTATCTTTGTGGCGTTCTCTGTATTTCCTGAATCTGAACGTTGGCCTGCCTTGCTAGATTGGGGAAGTTCTCCTGGATAATATCCTGCAGAGTGTTTTCCAACTTGGTTCCATTCTCCCTGTCACTTTCAGGTACACCAATCAGACGTAGATTTGGTCTTTTCACATAGTCCCATATTTCTTGGAGGCTTTGCTCATTTCTTTTTACTCTTTTTTCTCTAACCTTCCCTTCTCGCTTCATTTCATTCATTTCATCTTCCATTGCTGATACCCTTTCTTCCAGTTGATCACATCAGCTCCTGAGGCTTCTGCATTCTTCACGTAGTTCTCGAGCCTTGGTTTTCAGCTCCATCAGCTCCTTTAAGCACTTCTCTGTATTGGTTATTCTAGTTATACATTCTTCTAAATTTTTTTCAAAGTTTTCAACTTCTTTGCCTTTGGTTTGAATGTCCTCCCATAGCTCAGAGTAATTTGATCGTCTGAAGCCTTCTTCTCTCAGCTCGTCAAAGTCATTCTCCGTCCAGCTTTGTTCCGTTGCTGGTGAGGAGCTGCGTTCCTTTGGAGGAGGAGAGACGCTCTGCATTTTAGAGTTTCCAGTTTCTGTTCTGTTTTTTCCCCATCTTTGTGGTTTTATGTACTTTTGGTCTTTGATGATGGTGATGTACAGATGGGTTTTCGGTGTGGATGTCCTTTCTGTTTGTTAGTTTTCCTTCTAACAGACAGGACCCTCAGCTGCAGGTCTGTTGGAATACCCTGCCGTGTGAGGTGTCAGTGTGCCCCTGCTGGGGGGTGCCTCCCAGTTAGGCTGCTCGGGGGTCAGGGGTCAGGGACCCACTTGAGGAGGCAGTCTGCCCGTTCTCAGATCTCCAGCTGCGTGCTGGGAGAACCACTGCTCTCTTCAAAGCTGTCAGACAGGGACACTTAAGTCTGCAGAGGTTACTGCTGTCTTTTTGTTTGTCTGTGCCCTGCCCCCAGAGGTGGAGCCTACAGAGGCAGGCAGGTCTCCTTGAGCTGTGGTGGGCTCCACCCAGTTCGAGTTTCCTTTCTGCTTTGTTTACCTAAGCAAGCCTGGGCAATGGCAGGCGCCCCTCCCCCAGCCTCGCTGCCGCCTTGCAGTTTGATCTCAGACTGCTGTGCTAGCAATCAGGGAGACTCCGTGGGCGTAGGACCCTCCAAGCCAGGTGTGAGATATAATCTCATGGTTCGCCGCTTTTTAAGCCGGTGTGAAAAGCGCAATATTCGGGTGGGAGTGACCCGATTTTCCAGGTGCGTCCGTCACCCCTTTCTTTGACTCGGAAAGGGAACTTCCTGACCCCTCGCGCTTCCCAGGTGAGGCAATGCCTCGCCCTGCTTCGGCTTGCGCATGGTGCGCGCACCCACTGGCCTGCGCCCACTGTCTGGCACTCCCTAGTGAGATGCACCCGGTACCTCAGATGGAAATGCAGAAATCACCCGTCTTCTGCGTCGCTCACGCTGGGAGCTGTAGACCGGAGCTGTTCCTATTCGGCCATCTTGGCTCCTCACCCCTACAGTGTACTCTTTAGAAGGCTGATCCGCTTTGATGCTCCATTTAGTGTGTCTTGGCTGTAATATTTGTTAGTGTCTCAGAATTATAATTTTATGATATTTATAATGCTCTGGATTTATGCCTTGAAAACTAGAATTTAGTACAGTGTAGATTTATAATTTTTATTATTTCAACTTTTTCAAATGTTATTTGTGTTACTTTGTAAATTACTTTCTAAGATGAATGTAATAACTTTTCCCAACAGTATTACAACAACTTTATTATGGACTGAATTGAAATAATTCACCTAAAAGAGGCATCTGTATCCTTTGCCATATCAGACGCCAGTGTAAATACTAGATAAGGTGTATATTCATATAAAAATTTGTTTACTTTGTGTTTAAAAGTGAATTGATACTGGATAATGTCTAATATCAAGAAAATTTGGATATTAAATAACACTAATTTTAATAGTGTGTGTTTTAGTGTGTAAGTGTTCATATAACACATCACCCAATTTAATACCTTTCAATTAGAATTTGAGTCTTTGCCAAAAAAAAAAAAAAAAAAAAACAGCTTATGGATAAAAAACTGGCTGTACCACAATTGATTTTGGGGTGTAACTCTGAATTTACAGCTCAGAACAATGGTATCATTTTCAAAGATATCATGACTAGAATTATGTTATTCATAAGTATCACATAAAATATTAGTCTGATATTGATATATATAGTCATAATGGATTTTAGAACTATACACATATTGCAAAAGCTTATAATAAAGATTATCAATCTACATTGTAAGAAATTGTTTTTAAAAGCATAAACAATCCCTAATTTCTTTTTTTGTTTGTTTCTTCAACTTTTATTTTAAGTTCCGGTGTACATGTGCAGGACGTGCAGGTTTGTTACATAGGTAAACTTGTGCCATGGTGGTTTGCTGCACAGATCAACCCATCAGCTAGGTATTAAGCCCAGCATGCATTAGCTATTCTTCCTGATGCTCTCCCTCTCCCTGCCCCCTCTAAAAGGCCCCATGTGTTGTTCCCCACAGTGTTTCTACGTGTTCTCATCGTTTGGCTCCCACTTATAAATGAGAACATGCAGTTTTTGGTTAGCTCTTCCTACATTAGTTTGCTGAGGATAACGGCTTGCAGCTCCATCTATGTCCCTGCAAAGGACATGATCTTATTCCTTTTTATGGCAGCATAGTATTCCATGGTGTATATGTACCACATTTTCTTTATCCAGTGTATAATTGATGGGCATTTGGATTGATTCCATATCTTTGCTATTGTGAGTAGTGCTGCAGTGAACATAAACATGCATGTATCTTTATAATTGAATGATTTATATTCCTTTGAGTATATACCCAGTAATGGCATTGCTGGGTCAAATGGTGTTTCTGCTTCTTGATCTTTGAGGAATTGCCATGCTGTCTTCCACTATGGTCAAACTAATTTACATCCCCACCAACAGTGTTAAAGCGTTCCTATTTCTCCATAGCCTTGGCAGCATCTTGTTTCTTGACATTTTAATAATCACCATTCTGACTGGCATGAGATAGTATCTCATTGTGGTTTTGATTTACACTTCTCTAATGATCAGTGATGTTGATCCTTTTTTCATATGTTTGTTTGCCACAAGAATGTCTTCTTTTCAGAAGTGTCTGTTCACGTCCTTTGCCCACTTTTTAATGGGGTTGTGTATTTTTTTCTTGTAAATTTGTTCAAGTTCCTTGTAGACTCTGGATATTAGACCTTTATCTCATGGATAGATTGCAAAATTTTCTCCCATTCTGTAGGTTAGGTTGTCTGTTCACTCTGATGATAGTTTCCTTTGCAGTACAGAAGCTCTTTAGTTTAATTAGATCCCATTTGTCAATTTTGGCTTTTGTTGAAGCTGCTTTTGGTGGTTTTGTCATGAAATCTTTGCCCATGCCTGTGTCCAGAATGCTATTGCTTAGATTTTCATCTAGTATAGTTTTGGGTTTTACAGTTAAGTTTTTAATCCATCTTGAATTAATTTTTATATAAGGTGTAAGGGAAGGGTACAGTTTCAGTTTTCTGCATATGGCCAGCCAGTTCTCCCAGCACCATTTATTAAATAGGGAATCTTTTCCCCATTGCTTGTTTTTGTCAGTTTTGTCAAATATCAGATGGTTGTAGGGTGTGTGGTCTTATTTCTGAGATCTCTATTCTGTTCCATTAGTCTATGCATCTGTTTTTGTGCCAGTACCTTGCTGTTTTGGTTACTGTATCCTTGTAATATAGTTTGAAGTCAGGTAGCATGATGCCTTCAGCTTTGTTCTTTTTGCTTAGGATTGTCTTGGCTATACGGGCTCTTTTTTGGTTCCATATGAATTTTAAAATAGTTTTTTTTCTAATTCTGTAAAGAATGTCAATGGTAGTTTAATGGGAATAGCATTGAATTCATAAATTACTTTGGGTACTATGGCCATTTTCACGATATTGATTCTTCCTATCTATGAGCATGGAATGTTATTCCATTTGTTTATGTCCTCTGTAATTTCCTTGAGCAGTGGTTGATAGTTCTCCTCAAAGAGATCCTTCACTTCCCTTGTTAGCTATATTCCCAGGTATTTTATTCTTTTTGTGGCAATTGTGAATGGGTGTTCATTTATGATTTGGCTCTCTGCTTGCCTGTTGTTGTTGTATAGGAATACTAGTGATTTTTTCATTTTAAAATCAATATTTTATAACCTGAGAATTTGCTGAAGTTGCTTATCAGTTTAAGAAGCTTTTGAACTGAGACGATGGGCTTTTTTAGATGTAGGATTATGTCATCTGCAAACAAAGATAATTTGACTTCCTCTCTCCCTATTTGAATATGCTTTATTTCTTTCTCTTGCCTGATTGCCCTGACCATAACTTCCAATACAATGTTGAATAGGAGTGATTAGAGAGGGCATCCTTGTCTTGTGCTGGTTTTCTGGGGAATGCTTCCAGCTTTTGCCCATTCAGTATGATATTGGCTGTGGGTTTCTTATATATGGCTCTTATTATTTTGAGGTATATTCCTTCAATTCCTAGTTTATTGGGAGTTTTTAACATGAAAGGATGTTGAATTTTATCAAAGGCCTTTTCTGCATCTATTGAAATAATCATATGGTTTTTGTCTTTAGTTCTGTTTATGTGATGAATTACATTTATTGATTTGCATATGTTGAGCCAACCTTGCATCCCAAGGATGAAGCTGACTTGATCATGGTGGATAAGCTTTTTGATGTGCTTTTGGATTCGATTTGCCAGTACTTTATTGAGGATTTTTGCACCAATGTTCATCAGGGAACAATCCCTAATTTCTGAATAGAGTATATTCCAGTACTGTATACCAAAACTTGGTTCTATGCTATGTAGAAAATACTATGAAGGAAAGGAAAGCAAAGATTAGTAAGACTCAGATCTTATCCTCCTGATGCTTCCTATCTTACACCTATATTATAAATATAAGTGTCATAAAGAAAAAGGTACAAAGTGCTTAAATAGTCAACCAAGAGAGCGATCAGACCTACTTAAAGCATCAAAAACAGCTTTATAAAACACTTGCAATTCGGGTAGATCTTACTGGATGAATAAGATTTCACATGGAAAGATGGGTAAGTGGAGAGGGAAAACGTTCAAAGCCAAAAGGAGCAGATAGGTGTTCATATGAGCAACTTCATAGACTAGTAAATAATGCGTAGTGAGTTTGGCTAGAGCTAAAAATGATGGGGCAGGGGAAGGGATAATGAATCATAATGAACCTGGAAAGGGAGCTGAAGTTATACTGTAGTGCAGTGTTTCTCAACAATAGCTGAACGCTCCTTTTAGTAGGAAGGGTTGGAATCTTAAAACCAGTATGTAAGATTTCAAAGAGCCCCACAGGTACTTCTGATAAGGGCCTCGCCAGGGTGTATCCCCAAACTGAAAATCACTCTGTATAATATAACAGTATTTTATGCCAGACACTGTACTAAGTACTTTGCATCCATTATTTTAATCTTTACAGCAATTGTATGCATAGCATATTCCTTAGAATATAGAAGGTGTTCAGTATATATTTGTTGAATGTATAAATAAGAGTTTAAATAGTGAATATAAATTATAGTTATTAGTGTTTCTGTTTTCCAGATGAGGAAACTAAGGTACAAAACCTTGACTATAAGAAATCAATTGCTAAACTGCCAAAAATGTGCATAATTTCTAGGACTAAGAGTCTGGTGTGAGGGTTTGTTTTAGGTTTGGAGGCTCTGATCTCACATGGATTATTTTAGTTTCATCTTGCTTCATCTCTTGTCTTACTCTTTCCAATAATAAGGAGTTTAAAATGGAATCTGTTTTCTATCAAAATAATCCACTAATGCACATTAAAGTTAAAAAAATAAGCACCCCATAATTTTCTCACATTCGTGTGTCTAAAAAGATACTTTTAACTTAGATAACTAACTTATATCACTCTCTAATTGGCATTGTTTCATGTGTATAACTAAAATTGTCAACATTTTCACGTAGTAACCGTCACATTGATATGTTAGTTCTCTCTGGAACTGCCTTTGCTGTGTTTACTTAAGCAATTCTTTGTCCTAGATTTTTCTTTTTTCTTGTTTTTGATCCTACTGACTGAAGTGACATTTTCCCCCTCACACTGTGGCTTTCCCAGCAGTTTGTCTGCAGAAATGGCAGTCTTTCACAAATCCAGGTTTTCAAAGTAACTGCCTCTGTTCACAGACCCAATAATTAAACTTTATATTCCAGGCCCTGCAAAATATGTGGTTATCATTTGTCCAAGCATTCTTTGTTTTGTCTCAATGAGACACATGACTACTGAAAAACTATGAGTTACACTGAACAGCAAAATAAATACTGCCATCCTCTCAACTCTGAGTCCTCCTCAAGGTAGAAGCCTAAAGCTTAGTTTAGCATTTCACTTTGTCAGGCTCTATTAGGTTTTTTTTGTTTTGTTTTTTTGTTTTTTGTTTTTTTAGTTTAGTTAGTTTTGTCAGGCTCTGTTGGGTTTTGTGTCATCACAATACCTTCTATGTTCCAATTCTTTTTTAAGAAAAAAATCTTGATTTTTCTAAGTGAACATTGCTGGAAACATTGCTTTATTTAATTTAATGTACTTTTACATATGTCTAGAAATGAGATAAAAGACTGATATAAACTTTGTCTTCAAATTATAAAATATGGTACCATTATCTGATTTCTCTCTAGGAAGAATTGATAAAAGATTGAGTCCATAATAAGAAGGATTTTAAAAAGGAAAAACATTATCAAAGAAATCATTTAAACAATTTAAATCAATATCTTTTATTTTTAGGGTGAACTTCTATGTTTACCTAAGGTATATCTCATGTTATTAATATATTCTTTACGTTTTAGAAAGACAATTGTATTTGTTTTAGGTCTTTGTGAAATACACTCAAATACATCTTTCAATTCTATGTTTATAATACCTTATTTAAAGCCTTTGTCTCCTAAGTCCAACATCTGAGCTCTCTCTGAGACACTTTTTATTGATTGCCTTTTTTCCTGTGTGTGGGCTGTAGATTTTTTCTCTTTCTTTGCATATCTGGTAATTTTGTTGTTGTTTAAGACTGGAACTTTTTTTTAATTTCAATTGGTTTGGGGGAAACTTGTAATGTTTGCTTACATGGATAAGTTATTTAGTGATGATTTCTGATATTTTGGTATACCCAATCACCCACGCAGTGTACACTTTCCCCAATGTATACTCTTTTATCCCTCACCCCATCCCAGCCTTCCCTCCATGTCCCCAAAGTCCACTGTGTCATTCTCATGCCTTTGTGTCTTCATAGCTTAGCTCCCACTTGTAAGTGAAAACATACAATGTTTGGTTTTTCATTCCTGAGTTACTTCACATAGAATAATGGTCTCCAGTTCCACCCAGGTTGCTGCAAATGCAAATAATGCAAATGCAAATGCTGCATTATTTTGTTTCTTTTTATGGCTGAGGAGTATTCCATGATGTACCTATACATTTTCTTTATCCACTCATTGATTGATGAGCATTGGCACTGGTTTCATATTTTTGCAATTGTGAATTGTGCTGCTATAAACATGCATATGCAAGTATCTTTTTCATATAATGACTTATTTTCCTCTGGGTAGATACCCAGGAGTGGGATTGCTAGATCAAATGGTAGATCTACTTTCAGTTCTTTAAGGAATCTCCACACTGTTTTCCATAGTGGTTGTACAGTTTACATTCCCACCAGCAGTGTAAAAGTGTTCCCTTTTCACCACATCCACGACAGCATCTATTACTTTTTGATTTTTTGATTATGGCCATTCTAGAAGGAGTAAAGTGGCATGGTATCTCATTGTGGTTTTGATTTGCATTCCCCTGATCATTAGTGATGTTGAACATTTTTTTCATATGTTTGTTGATCATTTGTATATATTCTTTTGAGAATTATCTATTCATGTTTTTAGCCCATTTTTTGATGAGATTATTTGTATTTTTCTTGCTGATTTGTTTGAGTTCCTTGTAGATTCTGGATATTAGTCCTTTGTTATATGCAGAGTTTGCTAATATTTTCTCCCATTCTGTGTGTTGTCTGTTTACTCTGCTGATTATTTCTTTTGCTGTGCAGAAGCTTTTTGGCTTAATTAAGTCCCATCTATTTACCTTTGTTTTTGTTGCATTTGCTTTTGGGTTTTTGGTCATGAAGTCTTTCCCTAAGTCAGTGTCTAAGAAGAGTTTTTTCCAAGGTTATCCTCTAGAATCTTTATGGTTTCAGGTCTTAGATTTAAGTCTTTGATCCATCTTGAGTTGATTTTTGTATAAGGTAAGAGATAAGGATCCAGTTTCATTCTTCTACGTGTAGCTTGCCAATTATCCCAGCACCATTTGTTGAATAGGGTGTCCTTTCCCCACTTTATGTTTTTGTTTGTTTTGTCGAAGATCAGTTGGCTGTATTTGGCTTTATTTCTGGGCTCTCTATGCTATTGCATGGGTCTATGTGCCATTTTTATACCAGTACCCTGCTGTTTTGGTGAATACAGCCATGTATTAATAGTATAATTTGAAGTTGGGTACTGTGTTGCCACCAGATTTGTTCATTTTGCTTAGTCTCCCTTTGTCTATGCAGCCTTCTTTTTGGTTCCATATGAAATTTAGGATTGTTTTTTCTAGTTCTGTGAAGAATGATGATGGTATTTTGATGGGAATTGCATTGAATTAGTAGATTGCTTTTGGCAGTATGGTCATTTTCACAATACTGATTCTACCCTCCATGAGCATGGAACCTTTAGATAATATATTTTAGCAACTCTCAGAATCTCTGTCACCTCTAGGGATGTTGTTTCTCATATTCTTGTTTATTTAGTGAAATTACTAATTCCATAAAATCTGTCTGCCTTTCTGTATATAACCACTGAAGTCTCTGCTCAAGTTTTTTTCTAAATTTAATTTAATAATTTTTTTTAATTTAATAGTTGCTATTATGCTTAAACATGGCTTTTTAGTGATTACCCCTGGGGCAGCAAGTTTTAATGGTCAGCCAGTGATTAAAAGTTTTCTTATGGGTTCAAACATTTTGAACCCATAAGGCTTCCACTTTTGCTGAGAAATCTGTATGTATATTAGGGCACACATTCAAAGTTCAGGCAGTTTACAAGTCTGCCTGTGGTTTCACTTCATAGTCTGCTCAGGGTGTACAGGATCTCGTGGTCTACAATTGATAAGTAGGCAGCTGAGGACTTTTCTGGTCTTTCCTAAGCATGCATGTAACCTGGTGCATGTGTAATCTGTTCAGATTCTCAGGAATATATTGGAACTTTTCAAAGCCCCCAATGGCTACATAGTGGCAGAAAAGATTTATCTTTTCCTCACTTATTGCAAGGTTCATGGCTGAGATATTTGTATTAAAAGATAGACTAACAAAGGAAAAGCATACACATTTATTTCATATAAATTTTACATGACACAGGAGCCTTCAGAAATTAAAACCTAAAGAAACTGGAAAAACTATTTTTATGCTACATTAAATGAAGAGTGGACATTTGTGCAGAAGTCTGATTGGATAAAGAGAGATATGATCTAATAGTAATAAACTGGAGAGATTTCAGCAAGACCTTTTTGTTCAGTCTTCTCTGTATCCCTGTGCGACATTCCTTGCCTCTGTGTGTGGGGTACATGAGGGCCTTAAGACCTACTTCAGAGAAAGGCCAGAGAATTCTTTTGTGGCCTGCTTCAGGGGAGAAGGGTAGGAGAAGGTAAGAGAGACCTTCCTACTACAGCTTACAGGGGGGAGAAGATTTCTCAGTCATTGCAAGGTTCATGACTGAGACCCCTATAACAAAAGACAGATTAACAATAGAAAGGCATGCAAATTTATTTAATATAAATTTTATGTGACACATAAACTGAAGGGAACTTAGCAAGTCCTGTTTGTTCAGATTTTTCTTGGCATTTCAGTGCCTTCATTCCCTCTCTCTGGGTATAGGCGAGCTCACCTGTCACCTGATGGTCTTCAGGGGAGAAGGGAGGGAGAAAGTCAGAGTGACTTTTTTTTTTTTTTTTTTTGAGACGGAGTCTTGCTCTGTTGCCCAGGCTGGAGTGCAGTGGCGTGACCTCAGCTCACTGCAAGCTCTGCCTCCTGGGTTCATGCCATTCTACTGCCTCAGCCTCCCGAGGAGCTGGGAGTACAGGCGCCCATCACCACGCCCGGCTAATTTTTTTTTTTTTTTTTTTTTTTTTGTATTTTTAGTAGATGGGGTTTCACCGTGTTAGACAGGATGGTCTTGATCTCCTGACCTGGTGATCCGCCTGCTTCGGCCTCCCAAAGTGCTGGGATTACAGGCATGAACCACTGCACCCGGCCATCAGAGTGACCCTTTTAGGTTTTATAGCCTGCTTTAGGGATGAAGGGTGAAGGAGAAATGAGAGTGGACTTTCTGCCTCTGCTATTTTCTCAATTTTCAAGATGCCTTATTTTGGAGTTGTGTTTCTTGCACCTCACCATACTGTTTTCTCAAATGCTGAAGTGCCATATTTTGGGGTAGTATTTCTTGAACCCCATCAGGTATCTTCTGCAGATTTCCATTTTAAATTTTTGGTTGCTATTCTGTTAGCCACACTTGGTATTCCTGATTACTTGCCACCAATTGCTGTTGTTTTCGACAATGCCCTTGAGAACAGGTAGGAGAATCTCTTGAGGCTGGGAGTTGGAGACCAGCCTGGGCAACATTGTGAGACCCCATCTATACCACAAAAAAAAAAAGGCAAAACAAAACAAAAAAGCTGGGCCCAGTGGCACATGCCTATAGTCCCAGCTACTAAGAAGGCCTAGGCAGGAGGATCGCTTGAGCTCAGGTGTTTGTGGCTGCAGTGAGCTATGATTGTGCCACTGCACTCTAGCCTGGGCATCAGAGTAAGACTCTGTCTCTAAAAACAAAACCACCAAAAACAAGAAATTATTCTCAACTCTCCTCCCTCCCTTTTTACCTCCCTTCTCTCTACCTGTCTTCCTCTCTCTTCTCCCTCTTCCTTTTTCCTCTCTCACTCTATTCACTCTCATATCACACATACCTTTTTACCCCCTTCTGCATTGCCTGTTCTATCTGAAATGTCCTTATCCTCTTTCATACTCTTCTACTCACCCCTCCTTTTCTGGTCTGTCTTGCCCATTAAACTATGATCTACCTAAGGTAAGGACCACATTTTAGTCATCTTTGCATTCCCAGCCTCTGGTGTAGTGTCCAGTACAGGAGTTTAGGGTAAGGTGTAGTCTATGGATTTATTTCTCATGACTTTAGGACTAAGGTAATGTCTGTTGGTAATAATGGGGCATTTTCTAAGAACCGTATTTATGTAGAGGTTTTGTTTTGTTATTGCTTTAAATTTAGCTAAATAAGAGTGTCTGAGTCAAAGGTGTCTAATTACATTGACAGTCATCCACTGAGAAACGCAGTCAATACAAAATGCTACTGTTTGTATGACTGGATTTTTTGCAAAGCTACTGAAAGGTAGTCATGCCATAATCTGGAAATTGTATTTAGCACATTCCTATAAAACCTTTCAATGTAACTTGGTATAGCTATGTATCTGCAACAGTCCTTAGCTCTTGTCACCTGATAAACAAGTTTCATGCTTTTCTTTAATTTTAATTTAAATTTCAGAATGAATATCACAACATAAATAAATTACAGCAATCTCATTTTTAAATGGGCTTTTTAAAAACTCATAACTACTTAATGACATAGTCTTTCCACCAGTTAATTATCCCATTTCAGAAAATATATTCCGAATCTTCTATCACCGACTCTCTTCAAAAGAGCTTTTTGTGCACCTCCTTGTAACTAAATATATCATTCTATCAGACAATACTGCCAAATACCTAGGTGATTCCCTCTGATTTCTCAAAAGATTTTATTGTCTGGCTCATTGTGCTTTTGTCTATAATACTCCTGTTACAATTCTTGATCATTTCAGTAGCCATGTGCATGATCCTTCTAGTATCCTGGACTTTCAGTTTTTCATTTTCTCTCCAATGGCACTGTCCTCCAATTTATTTCAGCCATTAATTCCATGATTGTACCCTAGACCTTGTTGTTTACAATGACTGCAACTCCTGTGTAACTTCAATTTAGAGTATTCTACTCTCCAATCACCACCTCCCATTGTCTGTCACCTAATTTAAAGGTTTATGCTCAATAGTTATAATTACTCCTTTGCATATGTACTTAGTACCCTTGGCCTCATTTCATTTGTCTTATTCAGCTGGCAATACTCAACACTGGTTAAATTCTGCTCTTTAGCAGCTTTTAAACTGTACCAATGCAGCTGAATATTGCTAGAGATAAATACAACATGCTTACAGTAATTCCTGACCACTAACTTTAGAGTTTTAATGAGTTGTTAATACTGTCCTGTGATATATGTATAAATACATATATTTAATAAATATATATACATACATACATTTGATAAATATATATTTAATAAATATGTATTATACATAAATTTTTCCCTATTTATTTCACTCTCCCAGTATCCTGGATGATGTGTTATACCTTTTTCTTTTTCTTTGAATTTCTAACAAGTTATTTCCTATCCTGATTCTCAGCTTATAGCTGTGCTTCCTACCTCTCTAAGGAAGTATGAGGAAATATAACAGGCCTTTCATATGTTTCTACTTCATCTGCTCTTTTCCTGTACTTATGCCCACATACCTGTCTTCCCTCCCCATATTGTAGCTTAACTGTCTATTCCCCAACCTCTCCACTTGTTCTTAAACTCCCATACCCTCAGGCTGGGCGCAGTGGCTCACGCCTGTAATCCCAGCACTTTGGGAGGCCGAGGCGGGTGGATCACGAGGTCAGGAGTTCGAGACCATCCTATCCTGACTAACACAGCAAAACTCCATCTCTATTAAAAATGCAAAAAATTAGCTGGGCATGGCGGCAGGCCCCTGTAGTCCCAGCTACTCAGGAGGCTGAGTCAGGAGAATGGCATGAACCTGGGAGGCGGAGCTTGCAGTGAGTCGAGATCATGCCACTGCACTCCAGCCTGGGCTACAGAGCGAGACTCCATCTCAAAAAAAAAAAAAAAAAAAAAAAATCCCATACCCTCTTATACACACAAGGACATCAGCACTTTTCTCTCCTGCATTATTACATTTCTACTCTTTACTAGATTATTCGGAGAATAATTAGCCAATATATAAACTTAACATCAAGTTTCTAAGTATTTGAACACTGGGGAATGTGAGAAAGTAGCTTTTGAAATGTAACATGCCTACTCATTGACCTTGTATTATCAACATGCAAAATCAGAAAACTGTCTTCCGTGAGGCTTTAAAACAAAATTAATATCAAATATATGTGGCATGGTTTATTTTCTACTGAATACTGCAGTGGAGACCAAGAACATTTTAGTAATTGTAATTTAATTTATAGGTTCAAATGATTATTGTGCCTCCCTCTCTTTCCCTGCCCGCCCCCATGAAAATTTCCTAAATGGAAAACCAAACTATGGGTTTTTTTTTTCTTTGCCTTTCAATGCTTCTGTATTAACTTCTTGTGTTATTTTGTGTTAATTGTGTTATGCAAATATTCTTGGGAAAATGTCCATGATCCCAGATGATTTTGTGGTTTATAGGTATTTCAAATGGAAGTATCTTCTTTTTACACACACACACACACACACACACACACACACTGCAGAAAAAGCAGTGTTTGCTAAACCATGTGTGTGGACTGACTGGCAAGGTGGCTCTGAGTATCCTGTTTCTTAAGCTATAGCTTACCTAGATAATCTGCTGCAGTGGCTTTCAAACTGTCTTTTATAGAAGTACTTCAGGAGATTTTACTCAGGAGATAATGATGTCCTTGTGGGTGGAATCCTAGACTTGCCATACTTGGAGTACTTGAATTAAAGGAGCTCTGTTTTACCTGTTCATGGTAAGGGGTTTCATATATGATTTCATTTTCCCCAGAACATTCTGCTGCTTAAAAAGAGGGTACCAAATATTTATCTTACTGTCAAGTAATTAGTCTTATTGTGGTTATTCTTTTGGTTCTTATTTTATTGATGGATACATAACATGAATTTTTCCATATTATTATGTAACTATTATGCAAATTGATCTGTATTTTAATTGTAAGGGGCTGCTTTAAGAGTATATTATCAATATTGTCCTTATTTTATAAGGATTAGAATTGGGTAGAAATAATTCCATCAGGAGGTAAATATAGTAAAAAGTGAAGGGGTTTTTTGCTTGTTTGTTTTCGTTTTCTTTCTGAGTTAAGCTATAAACAATGAAGCTACTTGTGTATACTCAAAGACTACTTTAACCAAGGCCCTGCTCTTACAGTCACTTAAACTCTGAGTTGGCGCAACTGTGAGTTTGGTTGCCAGCGGGCAGCAAAATTAGTGGCAGGCAAGTCGTGAAATGTCATTATAGTTTCATTTGATACAAGAACTTAGGAAAATAAAAGGGGACCTAGAAAATCCATACCCCTTATTTTGTGAAGGTAAAAGTTGAGTTGTGGAAAGGAGAAGTGACTCATGCTGTCACATGTAGACCTAACTTCCTGTTTTTATCCCTGTGAATGAGTGTAACTTGTGTTGACTGTTTGAGTAAGGCTGATTGTGTGGGACAGAGGCCCCTTGGAGCATCCCTGAATAATGAAGGTTATCTTTTAAAGGATCCACATAAATGAGATCCAGCACCAGAAGTCTCAGGGTTGGAAGCAGATCGGTGGCTGAACTCTTGGCATCCTTCTTTTCTTCTCATTTTCTTTCTAAGCTGATTTTTTAAAAAATTGTTTTAATTGACAAGTAACAATTGTATATATTTGTCATGTACACTATGTTTGGAAACACGTGTACATTGTGGAAGGGCTAAATTGAGCTAATTAATATATGTATTACTTCACATATTAATTTTTTTGTAGTGAGAAGACATATGCACTCTTAGCAATTTGCGAGAATACATTTGTTATTAACTATAGTCACTATGCTGTACAGTTCTCTTGTATGTTTTCCTGTGTAACTGAAGTTTTGTATCCTTTGGCCAAAACCTCCCCAACCCTTCTATAACCCCTCCCTCCCCCTCAGCTCCTGGTAACCATCATTCTACTCTCTACTTCCGTGAGGTCAAACGTTTTAGATTCCACATATGAGATCATGTGGCATTTGTCTTTCCATGCCTGGCTTATTTCACTTAACATAATATCCTCTAGATTCATCCATGTTGTCAAAAATGACAGAACTTCCTACCTTTTTAAGGCTGAATAACAATCCATTGTATATAGCACATTTTCTTTATCCGTTTACCCACTGATGGACTCCTAGGTTGATTCCATCTTGGCTATTGTGAATAATACTGCAGTGAACATAGGAGTAATGCTACCTCTTAAACATACTAAGTTTACTTCTTTTGAATATGTACCCAATAATGAGATTGATGGATCATATGGTAGTTCTGTTTTAAATGGTGTTGAGACAACTGGATATTCACATATAAAAGAATGAAATTAGACTCTTATTTCATATGCAAAAATCAACTCAAAATGGATTAAAGAGTTAAATGTGAGATCTGAAACTGTAAAACTACTAGAAGAAAACACAGGAGGAAAGCTCCATGACATTGATCTGGGCAATGATTTTTTGGATATGAACCCAAAAGCATAGGCAACAGAAGTGAAAATAGATGAATGGGATTACATCAAACTAAAAAGCCTCTGCCAAAAAAAAAAAAAAAAAAAAAAAAAGAGTAGAGAGACAACTTACAAAATGAGAGAAAATATTCGCAAGCCATATATCTGATAAGGGATTAATATTCAGAATCTATAAGGAACTCAATAGTAAGAAAATAATACACTTTACTATTAACTAAAATCCAAACTTTATTTGGATTTTGCATTTTTCCACTGATGCTCTTTGTCTATTCCAGAGTCTAGTCCAAAGACTACCAAATCTTAAGTGAACAAAAAGCCTTGGCGATGATGTAAAAGTTTGATTGTTAATGGAATAAAGATTTGATATTAGGACAGTGTAAAAAAAAAAATGGGCAAAGACTGTATATAGACATATCTCAAAATAAGACATAGAAATGGCCAACACATATATGAAAAATTACTGAACATCACAAATCATCAGAGAAATGCAAATTAAAACCACAATGAGATATGACTTTGCATATGTTAGAATGGCTGTCGTCAAAAAGATGACAGATATGAAGTGTTTGAGAGGATGTGGAGAAAAGAGAACCTTTGCACACTAGTGGTGGGAATATAAATTAGTACAGCCATATGGAAAATAGTATGGATTTTCCTTAAAAAAATTAAAAATAGATTATTCTTATCAGAATAAAGACATGCTGTTATTTCTCCCATCTGAAAACTCCTTTTTTAAAAACCTTCTTTCTATAGCTGCTACCCTTAATAGCAAAATTCCTTAAAATAGTTGTTTGTATGGGCCATCTTTAATTCCTGTTTCCCCATCACTTTTCCCACAGTCCAATTCTTGCTTATTTTGTATGTTATTCTCCTTTCTTGCATACTAAGAACTTGATTACCAACAACCCTAATATTCTTACTTATTTGTTCAGTGCTCTAATACATAAGAAATGGTTGCAGGATTGCCATACCAGTACCTCTACCAATACAAACCTACTTAGTAAAGCTCAAGACTGAATGCCTTCACCTTAAGAATGAGAACAAGGCAAGGATGCTCCTTTCACCAAGTATCTTGACCATTTTGTATCAGATGCCCTACACATTGCATAAGGAACAATAAGAAAAAAGCCATAGCAAATAAAAAGAAAAAAGTAAAACTGACTTTAGTTGCAGGAAACATAATCATATAGCTAGAAAATCCTATACAATTTACCAAAGAAGTTTTTCTAGAATTAATAAATGAATTTAGCAAGGTCAAAGATACAATGTTAATCGACAAAATTCAATTGTAATTGTATTTTTATATACCGGCAGTGACATCAGAATTTAGTACCAAAAACATAAGGTATCTATGGGTAAATTTAACAAATTGTATATAATACCTGTACACAAAAAATTATAAAACATTGCTAAATGAAGTTTAAGAAGCCTTAACTATATTGAGAGGAGTAATTTTTCAGGAATTAGAAAGCTCAATATTGTTGGGCATCATTTTTCCCCAAATTGTTCTACAGATTCATTGCAGCCTCTATTAAAAGGCCAGCAGGCTGTTTTCTAAATATTGACAGCTAATTCTAAAATTAATGTGGAAATGCAAAGGACTTAGAAAGTCAAAACACTTTTAGAAAAGAACAGTTAGATGTTTGTTTTAAAACTCACTGTAAACCTATAGTAAAGCAGTATGGGCTGAGAGCGGTGGCTCACGCCTGTAATCCCAGCACTTTAGGAGGCCGAGGTGGGTGGATTACTTGAGGTCAGGAGTTTGAGACCAGCCTGGCCAACATGGTGAAACTTCCTCTCTACTAAAAATACAAATATTAGCCTGGCGTGGTGGTGTACAGCTGTGGTCCCAGCTGCTTGGAAGGCTGAGGTGAGATTATCACTTGAATCTGGCAGGCGGAGGTTGCAGTGAGCTGAGATCGTGCCACTGCACTCCAGCCTGGGCAGCAGAGTAAGACTCCATCTCAAAACAAACAAACAAACAAAAAAAAACAAGCAGTGTGGTAATGACATAAAGATAGACATACATATACATCAATGGAACAGAATAAGAAATGCAGATATAAAGACAAGCATATGTTGAGTTGAATTTCTGCAGTTTGACAGGTTAGATAATTTAATGGGGAAAGGTTATTTATAACAAATGGTGCTGAAGCAACTGGGTATCCATGTGGAAAAACAATCTCAATCCTTTCTTCGTGCCATGTGCAAATATTAAAATAGCTAAAATTATTAAACTTCTAGAAAAATGTGTAGGAGAAAACCTTCACCTTAAGAATGAGAACAAGTCAAGGATGCCCCTTTCACCAAATATCATGACCTCAGTTAGACAGACTTCTTAGATAGAACATAGAAAGCATGAAGAACAACAAAAGAAAAAGTGATACATTGAACTTCACCAACATTAAAAAACTTGCACTCTGAAAGATACTGTCAAGAAAATGAAAAGGCAGCTTACAGGCAAAAAATATTTGTGATGCATATATCTGACAAAGAATTTGCCTTTAGAATATATACAGTACTCTTTATTAATCAGTAATAATGTGACAAAGAATCCAATGATAAACAGGTAAAAAAACTTGTATAGACACTTTATAAAAGAATATATGTGAATGACCAGTAAGCACATGTGAAAATATTGGAAGCTCTGGCCAGGGCAATCAGGCAAGAGAAAGAAAAAAGGATATTCAAATAGGAAGAGAGGAAGTCATATTGTCTCTGTTTGCAGATGACATGATTCTGTATTTAGAAAACCCCAGTGTCTTAGCCCCAAAACTCCTTAAGCTGATAAGCAACTTCCACAGTCTCAGGATAGAAAATCAATGTGCAAAAATCACAAGCATTCCTATACACCAACAATAGATAAGCAGATCTGCATTTACAACTACATGACTACATCCCATGAACAAGGTAGTTTGGGGTTATGACAGTATTTTAGAAGAATTTAGAGGTCTTAATACTTTGATGTTTTTGGCTTGAAGGACAGTGTGTTCCCCCAACAAAAAGATGAAGTTCCTGAGGAGGAAGCAGTTTCATTTCTTATAACGGTAGTTCTCAAAGTATGGTCCCCATAGACCACTGATGGTCTTCTAGGATTCTCTGGGTGGTCTTCCAGCTGGTTTCTTGAAATTCTAAGGTTTATAATATGACAGTATCTGTAGTCTGTTTTATGGCATGGATTAATAATTTACTTGTGACATTTCTTAAGTATTTTTTCAGATGCCATTCTTCCCATGAGTCATGATGAGGTTTCTTTTCAGTGACATAGTGGGTATAGATGGAGTTGGTCACTCTTTTTTCCTCTCGTGAAATAATCCACAATATGAAATTGAGAACTGCTACCTTAGAGATGTCAAACTATTTATATGATTAAAGCTTTGAGAAAGTCCTTCACTGACAATTTGTAACACTAAAATAATTTTTATTTTTTAACTGAAATCCCAGTTTGCATGCTTAAAATTGACTCCTCAGTTGGCCAGAGAGAAGTGGCTTTATTCTAAAACTGGAAGAGATCCCATCCAAGAATCTAAGACCTAAGAATCTAAGATAACACTTTGAGTTGAAAGCGTAGGGTCACCTGGCCTGAAACCCAGCAGGCCTGGATTTATTTCTGATTCCATCACCCAGTAACCATGAGACCTTGATCATGTTATATTCCATCTCTCAAGCTATTTTTAGCAGTAAAATTTTAAAGTATTTGTTTTACCATAATTAAATTCCTGGTATAGTGCCTGACTCATTCATTCAATAAGTAATATATTGACTGTCTCTTCTAATGATAGCTGTTTGGATGCATAATAAGGTAAGATGTGATTCCTGACTACAAGTGATTTACAGATAAGTAGTGGAGGTAGAAAAGGAGATCTAGCCTAACATTACAGTGCTATCACCTATTCCCTAGTGCTGTAGATACCCTGAGAACCAGGGGATTAGGGGTTTCCCCGAGGATATGAAACCTGAGCTGAGTTTCAAAGGTTGAATAGGAGTTAGCTAGACAAAATTGGAAAGATTATTCCAACCTGATAAAGGATTCAAAGGCATACAAAGCAGGATTTGTGTAGAGAACTCAGCCCTGCAGTGAAAAGTGCATAGGGGCGAGGTTGGAAATGATAATAGAGATTGGCACAGAGGCTTAAGAAATCAATGAATGGACACTACCATTAGCATTAACACTGCACTGCCTCTACTACTACTGCTATTTTATTAGCAGCATTAGCATTTTAGATGTTTAGGTAAATGGGAGGGAACTGTAGTAGCTTAATTTGAATAAATAATTCAGCCCACTTTGTTACAAATGAAAGTATAGGAAAAATGTATTTTTCTTGACTTACATACCTGAAATTAATAAATTCTGTTAATATGGTGTACATTTCTGAGTTTCTCATTTTTAGAAAGGCAGTAAGGGGTTCTTGAAAGCCCTGAGTTGTTTGTAGCTTCAGTTCATTTAGTTTTATTCATAGTGAGTAAAAGCTGAATTTCAATCTCTACCATGCCCCAACAATTATAAATTTGAAATTAGTGAAAGCTGAATTAATGTGGTTTCATCAAATAGTAATGGTGCATAGCTATAATCAGATCATATTTATTTGTGAATTTCTTTCCTTTTTTTTCAGCCTTTAATATGTGTATAGTCTTCCATAGTAGAATAAGCTCCTTGAAGGCAAGCTGGGACATTTTTGCTTTCCATGTTTTCACCTCTTTTTGTTCTTCATTTCCAATTCTAAAAAGCATCTAATATTGTGTCTGCGTGTAGAATAAATGTTCAGAATTTATGTCATGAAGGGATTTTTAACTTAGGTGTAAGTCTCATCATTGCTCCCTGTGGGAATTTTGCCTGAGGAGGAAAAGGACTGTGTTAAAACTAACATTATCTCAGGTACCATGCTCACTACTTGGGTGACTGGATCATTCATACACCAAACCTCAGTGACACACAACTCACCCATGTAACAAACCTGTACATATATCCCTGACACTAAAATAAAGGTTGGAAAAATAAATAAGACCGTTTATTTCTATTTGTGTGCATTTGTCATTTCTCTCATTTTCATGGAGAACAAAACAAAATTAAATAGGTGTTAATTAAGTTAAAGATTTTATACTCTTTTTGTAATTTGCCTTGGTTTTGGTGTTTGTGTGTGTGCGTGTGTGTGTGTGTGTGTGTGTGTGTGTATGTGTGTATGTAAGATACAAGGCTCCCAGAAAAGTGTACTTCTTATGGGATAGTTCAAATAACCAATGAAACAGAAAAGATTCTTTTTTCATGTATGCTATATTGCTTTAAATATTTAGTAAGGGAGGACACTGCCGTTTTGTAAAAATCCTTCTTTGAACAAAATGTTGAGAAAGGGTAATTTTTTAATAAAATAAATAGTTATAGGTATATAACTTAGCTTCTAGCAGTTTTTTTAAGCATTAAAAACTAATTTTCCACATTTTCTTAATCCATTCTATCATTGTTGGACATTTGGCTTGGTTCCAAGTCTGCTATTGTGAATAGTGCTGCAGTAAACATACATGTGCATGTGTCTTTATAGCAGCATGATTTATAATCCTTTGGGTATATACCCAGTAATGGGATTGCTGGGTCAAATGGTATTTCTAGTTCTAGATCCCTGAGGAATCGCCACACTGACTTCCACAATGGTTAACTAGTTTACAGTTCCACCAACAGTGTAAAAGTGTTCCTATTTCTCCACATCCTCTCCAGCACGTTGTGCACATGTACCCTAAAACTTAAAGTATAATTAAAAAAAACAACAACTAATTTTCCCTTATGATACCAAATATGAGTATCTGCCCTATTCCAGACATATAGTAAGCAACCATATCATGTTCTAGGTATGCATTTACCACTATAAGGAGGGATTAGACTGAATGGATTTTGTTTTGAGACGAAGTCTCCCTCTTGTGCCTCAGGCTGGAGTGCAATGCCATGATGTCGGCTCACTGCGACCTCTGCCTCTCAGGCTCAAGCAATTCTCCTGCCTCAGCCTCCCAAGTAGCTGGGATTACAGGTGCCTGCCAAAATGCCCAGCTAATTTTTTTATTTTTAGTAGAGACAGGATTTCACCATGTTGGCCAGGCTGGTCTCAAATTCCTGACCTCAGATGATCAGCCTGCCTCGGCCTCCCAAAGTGCTGGGATTATAGGTGTGAGCCACCACGCCCAGCCAGACTGAATGGATTTTTAAACAAGTTTGATGTTTTTTAAAAAGCTTTCTTTCATAATATTAAATTCAAGTTTTTTATTCTATGCCATACTGTATCTGTATTTTTTAACATAAAAATGATACTTTATTTACTGTCTCTAATATAGTTGACACTTCTGGAAGACGTGCTGCACACTTATGCTTCACTTTGTTTTACCCTTGATGGAGGCCTGCGTACCATGGTATCTTTATACTTTGTAGGATAAGCCCATAATCATCTCATAACCCTAAGAAGGAGTAGCCATTATCCAATATTTGAAATGAGGACATTGGAACCCAGAAAAATTACTGAGTCCTGAGAATATACAGATATCTTTACAATATCCTATTGGTAGGAGACACTTAATTTTACCTGTACCTAGGACTACTGACTAGTGAGGAAGAAATGTTTAGATGTTAAAGAAGAAAAAGAAGGTGGAAGGTAAGAAAAATGGCATGTTTTTTCTTTGCATTTTCAGCTGCTCCTGGAAATTTCTGTTTCAAAAGCAATTTTTCTGATTTGGAAAATTTGGCATTTATTATTCATTAATTTTGAAGGTTTATAAACAAATAGCCAACACTGCCCTGCATCAGTTGGCAACTGCCTTTTTCTGTGTCCTCACTTGTTCATTCTTATTTCTCTTTCACCATTGTCATCTCTCAGTTTCTCATATAGACCAAGTTATTTGCTGTCCAGAAGTCTTTGGACATGTTCTTCCCTGTACCTGGTAGCTACTCACCACCACTCTCTCTCCAGTGAATGCCCTTTGAATAACCAGAGCCCTTTAATCCGTTGGATTTTAAGTCTCAGCTAAAAGGTCACCCACTTAGAAAGGCATTCCTTGACATCATTGTCTAATGTAGGTGTCTCCCCTGCCTTTAAGTGCAGTTTCAGTGAACTGAGTTTTTTATTTTACTTATTATGACTTGTAAATATTTCATTTATTTATTTATTTATTCCCTAACGTAATGGAAGCCCCTTGAAGCTAGGGATATTGCTGTTTTTATCACGATGGCACCCTAGCTCCTAGCACAGTGTTTAGTGTGTAGTGGGCACTCAGTAAGTATGGTTAAGTAAATGAATGAAAACGAATTGAAAACTAAAGCTCACTTTAGTCTTGCTTCTCTAGGACAAGATAGAAAGTAGCCACCAGTTCTCTGGTGAGATTTGTTTGCTAAGATTTTGAAATGGAAAAAATAAATTGCTCATTGAGAGCTTGGGGTCCAATTACTTGGCCTCACATATAAGGGAGGGACAAATCTCTCAAGAGAAGGAAACAGAATATTCAGTTTAAAACTAACAAGTTAAAAACTTGTGACATATTGTGGGTTTGTTGTCTGAATTTCCGTATCAACCTCAATATATTTAATTAATTACACATGTTAAAGTTGTGGGGCTTCTCTGTTATTCAACAGGATTATTGGTAATTAGTATTATTATTTGAGAGCAAATAAGAACAGTAAAAACAGAATATTTAATGTGTTGTTCAAGAGTATGAATTTCTCTTTGAAAAGCTTTTTTGTTTGTTTTTGTTTTTGAAAAGCCACTCTGTGTTGGTAATGGTGAAAGCATTAGGAGAAAACAGGACTTTGCAAGTATATAATTTGCAATTAACTGTCAACATTTCCGAATGCTGTCTTAACAATACTTCATACAGTTGTGTCAAAACTTTCAAACAACTATTTCTTATTGTGACTATTCTTAATCTGCATGTACGAATGTAGATTGCAATAAAGTCTAAGTTCATGTTCAGTACTGCTCGTTTTTGTTTTACATTATAGTATAGCATTTTTCCTCCCACTATATAATTTTCATATTTTCCCCACACTACAGTAGACCAGGGGTCAGCAAACTACAGCCCCATGGGCCAAATACGGCATCCTTTGCTTATTTTCGTAAATAGAGTTTTGTCAGAACACAGCCATGCTCATTCACTTATGTATTGTTTATGGTTGATTTCATGCCACAACCTTGGGGTTGAATAGATGAAACAGCATATGGCCTAAAAAGCTGATGATATTTATTATTTGGTCCTTTATATTAAAAGTTTGTCAAACCCTGCTGCAGATGGTATAAGGGCAGTGACTGTGTGATCACTGTTCATCCCATAAGTCCCCTGACAGAGTCTGACCAACTGCAAAATCCTGTTGCCAGTTTAAAAAGCTGAAAGCCTTTATTCTTATTTGTATAACAGTTGTCCTAATCTGGAACATCTTGTGCATTTTATTCAAGCATAGCAAAGATAAACCCTATTTATCTAGCAAAATTTTTTTTTTTTGCTGTGATTAGGTCAGAGGGTTTTTTTTGTTTGTTTTTTGTTTTTGTTTTTTTCTTTTTTTGAGACATAGTCTCTCTTAGTTGCCTAGGCTGGAGTGCAGTGGTGCAATCTCGGCTCACTGCAGTGGAACCTCCACCTCCCAGGTTCAAGCGATTATCCTGCCTTAGCCTCCCAAGTAGCTGGGAATACAGGAGCCCAACACCACGCCCAGCTAAATTTTGTATTTTTAGTAGAGACAGGGTTTCACCGTGTTGGCCTGGCTGGTCTCGAACTCTTGACCTCGAGTGATCCACCAGCCTTAGCCTCTCAAATTGCTGGATTACATGCCCGGCCCAGGAGTTGTATTTTTTTAAAGTTAGGTGATGGAAACAGATTTGAGAGCAAAAATTAAATTCTTTAATAGTACAGAAATACTGAAATCAATCCTAGCAGTTTTTTTAATTCCTTCAATTTTGACATTTTGCTATTTTGTTTTGATTTTTTGTTTAAAGCCTATCACACGTACCACCTCAGCAAAGTAGATTTGAAATGTTTGGACAATACCCATCCACATATTAAAACACTTTTCTTCCCAAAGGAAGTATAGTAATTTATTCTTTTAGGAGTGTTGTGACTTAAATGCGTCTTTTTCTTCCTGTTTCTTGATCCAATGTAATTAAATAATAGATTTGATTTCATAACTTTTCAAAAGCAATAAAGAGGAAATTATGTTCAGCAGATTTGTTTATTTTTTTTCTGTGCCCTTCCAAAGTTTAAATGGTATCCTTTTTCCTTGCACTAACGGGAAGTGAAATAGCTCTTTCAAATCAATGTCCTTGAGAAATGAATGTTAATTTAAAAATACACCTTAAAGAACAGAAACATAATTTTTCCCTGGAAATATCTGATGATTAAATCTAGTTACATGCTACTTTGAAATAATACCAAGATTTTAATAACTATTCAGTTATTTAAAAATCAGTGCCATGCAATATATACACCCAGTAAAGTATAATTTAATGAATTGCCAAATTAGTCCTTATCAAGTTTTAGTTTTTATACCAAGGTATAATACACCTTTAAACTTTGTCAAAATCATTTCCTTCAAATTGTGTATGTGTATTTTATGTGCTGTATTCACTTGCCTTGTTTATATTGAAAAATAGTTTTCTCCTAATGTTATTAAAAAAAATTACAGAATTAAAGAAGTCCTAATACTTCAAACAGTATAACAACCAGAGGAGTCTTTCCTGTTTACATATAATGAGATAGCTATTTGTACATGTTTTAAAGCCAAAAGTGGACTCAGTCACTTACTAACCAATATTATTCAATGTTTCTAGGTACGATGAAGTGGAAATCATTCATTTCTGATTATTATGACAAATGATGTAAAAACAAAAAACATGAATAGCTCTCAATATGAATAGCTACTCTAATCATTAGGCATTGTGAGCTGTTGGTGGGTGTTAGACACACAGCTCTTTTCATCCATTTTGATTTTACAACTTGTCATATGTGTTTTAATGCTAGTAAAACCTATCTAAAGAAGAAAGTACTTTGATTTTTGGAGGACCTTGATGAATTAATTTGAGTACCCTCTGAACAAGCCAGCTAGCAGTTTCTCTTTGGGCCCAGGGAGATAAATTTGAGACTATTCATAGCATAAGTAAAACTTGAGTAGTTTTTATAAATGAACTGGATATTTTTAGGGTGTTTTTATTCTTTTTAATTTTATCTTTCATTGATTTGTCATGGATGTCGTCAAGACTCTAACAAGACTGTGGATTCCTTCCCATCTAATACAACATTTTACGTATAATTTCAGAAAGTCTATGAGCCCCAGTTAAAATTTCCTCAGTGACAAAATATTTACATGATTAAACCTATCCTTTAAACTTGAAGAGATAGTTTAAAAGCATTAATTGTATAACTGTATTAGTGTAAAAGTAAGAAAAGTTAATTGTAGAGAATTTGAAAAATACAGAAAGTTATAGAAAATAAAAATCACATATGATTTTGTTATCTAGATATAACTACTCCTTAGTATTTTTTTTTTTTTGAGACTGAGTTTCGCTCTTGTTGCCCAGGCTGGTTAATTAATTCTGTTTTCCTACTGAAATAAACTACCCCTTTTATTTTATCTTAAATTCTCATATATTTCTTTCATTTTTTTATTTAATTAATTAATTATTTAATTTTTAATATGGAGTCTCGCTCTGTCATCCAGGCTGGAGTGCAGTGGCATGATCTCAGCTCATTGCAACCTCCACTTCCCGGGTTCAAACAGTTCTCCTGCCTCAGCCTCCCGAGTAGCTGGGATTACAGGAATGCATCACAACACCTGGCTAACTTTTTTTTTCTTTTTTTTTTTGTATTTTTAGTAGAGACAGGGTTTCACCATATCGGCCAGGCTGGTCTCTAACTCCTGACCTTGTGATCCCCCCGCCTCAGCCTCCCAAAGTGCTGGGATTACAGACATGAGCCACTGCGCCCTGCCATATATTTCTATCTTATCATTATGTTCATCTACTTTCATAGTCTCTTCTTTTCTTTTTTTTTCTGCATCTTTTCTTTTCTCCCTCCATTTCTTACCCCCTTCCACTGCAGCCACTCCTACCAAAGCTTTCTAATACAATTATATCATAATTTTCAGTTAATTTATTGGTCATCGTTTTGGCTCTGAAATCACCTGAATTCATAGCTGAATTGTGTATGGTACTATATTTGCATTTTCTTATAATTTTGTTTTATTTTCCTCACAATAATTATCTTATTCCTTTGTTTAGTTTTCTATGTACCAGTAATTCATATCCAGCTCTGAGTGCGACTCTCTTGTCAATATAAATAAAATAAGTATTTCCCACAATATCATCTTTTTGGGGAATACCTCTCCTAGATTCTTCTGTCTGCTTGCTTTGGAAGTTGCTCTTTAAGCTTCCTGCACATCCATCCTGGGATCTACCCTTACATCTTGGGGACTTCCTCTATTCTGTTTGGGACCCCCTATGTCCTATCTTACTTCTTAGGCATAAACCAATGAAAAGTCATCTTCTTACTTGGATTTATTACCTTATTTTGCTGGAACACATCCTCTACTTCCTGAGAAAGAGTCCATGAGTGGTGAATTTTTATATATTTTGCATGTCTTAAACTACCTTAATCTACCTTCACAGGTTGTTGACAGTTTGGCTGTGTGTGAAAACTTTTAGGTTTGAAATTATTTTTCCTCAGATTATGAAGGCATTTTTTCATTATTTTCTGGTGTTTAGAATTATTATAACTTAAACAGTTAGAATGAAATGGCAATGTAACTTTTTAAGCTTTACCTGTGACCTCATTTTTTCTTATCCCTGTTTTTAGTATTACTGTTCATCAGAATTTTGAAATTTCACAATGATATGTCTAGAATCTTTTACATGACATGTCCCCCACCCCACCTTGGCTACTTTTCTGATCTCATCCCCAGCCACTCTCCTTATTCTTAGTATACTGTAGCTGTGTTAGCTCCTTCCCTTTCCTCCAACATGTTCAAGCAAAGTCTTGCCTCAGAACCTTTGCACTTCCTATTCCCTTTGCATGGGGTGTTCGTGAGTACTGCCCTGATTACCCTGTATAAAGTAATCCACAAACTCCCCTCACCTGATCCTTCCTACTCTTCTTATTTGGCATAGCAGTTATTATGACATTGCAAGTTGTTTATTATTTGTCCTCCTGACCACTAAACGATAAGCTTCATGACAACATGGGCGTTATCTGTTTTTATTCAATGCTGTGTCCCTACCATTGAGAATTCTGTTGGATTTTCAATATGAATAGTGAATGTGACTTGGTATGGTCTCTTTTCATCCATTGTGCCTAGGAATTATAATAGTAGATTCAGTTTGAAAAATCCGATTTTTTCATTTCTGGGAAATTTTCTTGAATTGATTCTTCAATAGTTTTTTCACCTCTTTTTTTTTTCTTTCTCTTCCAGAACATCCATTTTGGGATATTGGAACTGTATTAATCCTCTAACTTACCTTTTTTATTTTTCATTTTTTGTCTTAGTTAATTACTAATATACTAGACTCAAGTGTTTTAAGAGAAGCAAATTAAAACGGAAAGTGAGTTTTCTACCCACAGTTACTTCACAATCTGTAATAACTATTTACCTTTATCAGGTCACAGTGTCACTAAAATAAATACGGTTTTGGATAATTTTTCCCTTCTAATTCATACCTACGACTGTGGCAATACATTAACTAAACACATTTTTAAAATACATGATATAAATATTGATGGAGGTAGGGAAGTAATCAGAGTCTGTACATGAATGGCATTGGCATCCAGTTGAGTTGGTAACAATTCGCAACTAAGCTCCACCTCCATCCTTACCTAGTAAGGAGTCAGAGTGCTAGTACTTTTCAGATTACCTCTCCATACAACCTTTTGGACATAAAACAGTGAGGATACAAATGAATATTTCTTGAGAGTCTGATAATAAACAGTACCAGACACTTTGTATACATAGCTTAATATGGTCCATACACACTCCTGAAGTGCAGGTATCATTACATCCATATTAAAAATTGGGAGATTGAAGGTAAGAGACATCAGTTACCTAGCACAAAGTCACATAACAGTGTCAGGTCTAATCCATCAACTGAAAACTTTGAATTTAATGAAAGTCTTAGTAATGCATTTTAAGAGTACATCTGTTATAAACCATATGAAAAATTCTTACCCTACACCAAAAACAAAACATGTTTACATAGAAATACTTAACAGAAATTTATCAGAGACTTTAAATACTCCATAGAAACTATATTAAACTAATTCTGTGTAAGTCCTCTAGCATGCTGGATGTTGATTGGTCAAATTACTGAATTTTACATATTTAAATATTAGCTTCCATGAGCAAACTATTAAATATTAGTGTCCTAAGGAAAATGGGAAAAGTTGTCTACTAGCTGTGGACTACGGTGGAGACAGGAGTTATTGTCTGATAGATTTGTTCAAATCCCATTTTTGTCACTTAGCTGTTCTCAACTACAGATTTCTTATCTGTAAAATATCTATTAAAAATAATAAAACACTGACATCACCTAACAAGGTTTTTACAAGGGTTAGTAGAACTAACAGTTTTGTAAAAATAATGTAAAGTGTCAGAAATTTCATGTTGTATTCAACAAATGCTAATTTATGTTCTTGTTACTGTTATTATTGGTGTTGTCCTTTCTTAAATTAAGTCTCTGAATCTGGAATTACAATTTTCATCATTGGACCATAGTGTTTATCTGGTGCTGGACACCTCCCACCATTTATGTTTTTAAATAGTCTGAACAGAACTACTTTTAAAGAGGACTAAAAACATTCTGCTTTAAGTGTTTTAAGTGGAAAATGGCCCTGGTGAGGCTGTTCTTGATAATTCTAAAGACTTATATGACACTAAATGTCTTCTCTTTCTCTCTCTAGATCCTTTTTTCACCCTTTGTTCTTTTCTGTGTTCCAGGAGGCTAGTCTCTTTGGATCTCTCTTGCCCTCTGACTTCTGGTTGATTTTGGCCTGTGGGAGGGGACTGGGGAGCTCTGAGAGTGGGATGAATGTACAGGGTTGGTTGTATCCCTATCAGGTGGGCTTCTCTAGCCTCCAGCTTCAGGTAACAGCTAATTCCCCCTTAATCCTCTAGGCCTAGGTTTAGTAATGGTTTCATGCTGCTGTTGGAGGAGGAGGAGGTAGGATGGTGAGGAGGCACCACAATCTCCCTGGTCATTTCCCTAAAGCCTTCCCCACATTTTTATAAACAGTTCCTGTATTAAGCTCTTCTTCAGTTACACAGTTTAACTATGCTGTTTCCCTCCAAGCCCCTGACTAATATACATATATTCAAATCAATATTAATACTTCCATTGGGGTCATCCCCAAAGATGCCTCAGACACACATATATTAGCTGAGATTCAGCCAGTTAAATTCTCAAAATTGAACTTTTTCCAAATTCTGATTAGAGACTTGGAGGCATAATCTGATTTGCCTTCAGGCTTAAAATTCATCATGGCTAGTATCTAACTGAACACTAACTCAAGATGGGTAGGAATATTTTCTTTAGATATTTTAGATAATCTGTGGCAGTCTCTTTGAGACACTTAAAATCCATAACCTTAATATAGTCTGGCTTCCTTGTGCAACTTTAGAAAGATGTTAACTTTACACACTCCTCAATATAGTATATAAGTTATGATACCTATCTTGCAGTTGTCTGATTTCTAGCATAAACTCATTGAAATTATTTTAGAATAAACTTTTCATAGTGATAGTCATAATATCTGTACAATATTTATTGTACATCTAAAAGTAATCAGTCTGTAAGCCCTGTGAGGTGAAGGACCATGTTTTCATTTGTTTTCTTCTTGGTTTTGTTGTTTGTGTACTTGCTTTGGTTTGCTTCTGGTTAGCATAATTTCCTTTCTCAGCCCCATGACTGGCCTATACTAGGTGCTCAATAAGTATATATTGAAGGAACAAAGAGGCTACCAGTGTTTAACTAAAAATAATAGATTTTTTAAATCTCCATGCTTGCTTATTTTATTTTAGGTTCAACCACAATACTGTAGTTTGAAGATTTATCCTTCTGAGACTTCTCTTTTGTGATATTACTGCCCTAAGAATCACAAGATAGAAATAAAAGGTTAATATATGTTGGGCTGTTACTATATTTCAGACATTATCTTTTCTCTGTTTTTTTCCCCTTACTTGTTCTTCTTAACATATCTGCAAGGAAACTGGTATTACTCTTATATTTGCTTTTTTGTTTTGGTGAGTTAGTACAATCTTCTCTATATTTAGTTATTGATCACATTCTCACAGAGCACACAGTAGGAGCCAGCAGCGCTCAGTCTTCCTACTCTACTTCCTGTGCCTGTTCCCCTACATCTGCCTACAACTCAGAGTCTTCAGAGGCTTTTACTGAATTGCTTAAATACTGTTTTAGCTCATTCTAACACACATTAATGGAGAGTTTGCATCCTAGTAGAAAGGAAGCCGCCTTCTTATAAAGAGAGCTTTGTAGAGAAGAGTGCTGAGTGGTAAGTTGGCTGAAGTTCTATGAGGACCTGGGCAGTACAATGGAAAGGGAGTGCTTAGGTCTATGCTTGTGTTAGAGAAGACCTCAAAGAGACAGTGATGTCTCACTTTTATTTATGAAGGTTATGAGGTTCCATCTTCTCTACGCTGTTTGCTTCCTTAGAATGTAACTGTATGAGTGTTGCGTAATTGTACCATTTTATCCTGATGTGAATGAATCTCCCAGGAATATCCTGATTTTGGTTTTAGTGACCAGAGCTAAACATTTTCTCAGCCTACCAAGTTATTAGTGGAATCTCTTTTCCTTTTCTATATACATTGCTGTCTTAACTTCTCCCTAGCCAAAAATGAGCCATCCCTAAGCAATACTTATGCAGGTATAGTGTTTTATAGTTCTCTATTTGTCTTTACTACATTATTTCATTTAATCTTTACAATGATCTGTAAGTGTAATAAAATCTGTACTTTGTCACCTTCCTGAGCCCTTTTTAATAACCTGATAGTGAAATATGGAACTGACATCTGAGCTTAGGGAAACCCGACTTTTCATTTCATTTTACATATACTGCATCTAATTTGATAAATACTGTATACAACATGTATTGGTTTTCCTATGCAAGCAATCTTTGGATACAGAATTTGAATAAGGGCTACTTTCTCTGACAAACTGAGGGAGAAGTATATACAAATTATCTCTGTTCATCATATGATGAAAGCATAGGGCAGATGAGAAATGGATAGAGACCAATGTCTTTTACATATTAATTAGCAATTGCATTGCTATAATCCCATTTTGCAACTGTCTTTGGCTTTCAAATACACCTGGAACTATTGAATAGAATACTAAAGTAATTATATCACCTGCTGATTTGTGTACCATGGTAAACATGGTAAGATAAGTCATTACTGCTAAATAAGAACCCAACCCCATACTTCCTTTCATGCACTTGCAGCTAGTTGAGCTGGTTGCTATTTCCACTGGTATGACTAAGTGAGTTTCCCTTAGAGCATTGACTCCCATCTGCACCTTACCAAGTTGCGCCATTCTTTCTTATGGTTCCTCTTTATTTTTTCTCTTATTGATGTAAGTGCTTAATTATGGAACCAAAACTATACCCAGGGTTAAACACTAGAATCAGAAAAGCCAAAAGGATCTTTGGAGCTTATTTGATATTCACCTCTCTTTAGTTCTCACTTGAAGAACCTGAGGACCAAAAAGATCAGCTATTCTGTTAAAAACCGTAACAACAAAACTAATGTGTGCATTGTATTTCATTTTGAGGTAATTTTACATGAGAAATTATTAGAGAAACAATTCGTTCTCTATCAAAAAAGCCCACATTATTTTTCCCTTGAAGTTTGGATGAAAGTTAGCTTACATTTTACAAGAAAGTGATTCTAGTGATGTACAGAC
Organism: Homo sapiens; assembly: GCF_000001405.40. Taxonomy (NCBI): domain Eukaryota; kingdom Metazoa; phylum Chordata; class Mammalia; order Primates; family Hominidae; genus Homo; species Homo sapiens. The sequence continues at coordinate 45,031,389 of NC_000006.12, read as the reverse complement.
ATGTTTGGTATGTATCTATGTATGCACACACAAATATGTATTATAATTAAGGATAAAAATATCACACATATATACAAATACATTTATCCACAAATTATTTACATCCTAAATTTTTTAATGGGAAAATGTCATTAATACTTAATAATAATTTGATAATAACCTTTAATCTTTGTGAGTACTAAAAGTTATAAACTTTTTTATGAGTTCTTCACAATTTAATTTATCTTTTCTAAATAAATGTCAATAACATTTACGTCAGGCTAGCTATATGCTGCATGATGTTACCTCACTAAAACATGAAATCATAGGCATTTAAAAAATGTTATGAGACAAAGAAAGTCAAGATGGTTTGGGAAACATTTTCTAAGTAATGATTTTTAAAGCTTCGACTACTGTATTCGACTATAACTTGGAGGTAATAATCTAAAGATTCTGGAACACTCTTCGGGATGTACCACACTAACAGAGGAGGCCACATTTTAACCGAGTTTCATAGCAGATCCTTGCCCTCTGCATGGATCAGGTTCTTAGATCCAGCATCAGAAGCTGCAAATCTAAAATTGGCACTTTCTCTATATATTTTCTCAACAAAAAGACAAAATTATAAAGTTGCTTTTGCCAAAACAAGGGTAATTAGTAATAGAGATAAAATTAGATATCAACTTTCCTTACTCCCCATAATTATTCTAAAGCAGGACTTTATTCTTTCCATTTGGTAACTTTTCTAATCATTACATTGGCCTGTGTGTGGTCTGGTGTAATTCAGTGCTTTTAGTACCCTGATCCAGCCATGAAGACTTAGCACAAGACCTGTGTTTATTCCTGAACATTCTAGGGTGAAATGAAATCAGGCTATCTTGTAAAAACAAATGAGGAAGAGTTCTGAAAAAAACTAAGAAATTCAGTCTCTTACATGTTATATTTTTGTCCTTTGAAGAAACAAGTAAGGGCTACAACCCGTTCAGTAGATGCCTGTTTACAAATGTGAACAGAAGGGAATATGGAAAGGGGTGTGGACATGCCAAGAAGTAAGCTGAGAAAGAAGAGGCATTATTAATGTAGTCAAGTAAAGCACATATTATATAGGCAACCAAAATATCTTATGGTTCTGAATTTTAAGAAATGCAAATGTAACCTTTTCTTAGACTTCAAAAATACATCAATTTCCAGTTACTGAGTTACCAAAGGATAACTATATATTATGTTGAACAAATTCAAGGTACGCTTCTGTCGTTCTGCAATTTTAATTGTATTTTAGATTCAGTAAATAGTCAAATTGTATTTTCATTTCAATAGTTAAATACTAAATAGTTAAATTTTAAAGAGGCTGTGTGTGATAGCTCACACCTGTAATCCCAGCACTCTGGGAGGCCAAGGCAGGAGTATCACTTGAGCCAAGGAGTTCGAAAACAGCCTACAATAAAGTGAGATCCTGTCTCTACAAAAAGAATACAAAAATTAGCTAGGCATGATGGCATGTGCCTGTAGTCCCAGCTCTTCAGGAGGCTGAGGTGGGAGGATCATTTGAGCCCAGGAGTTTGAGGCTGCAGTGAGCCAAGGTAGTGCCACAGCACTCCAGCCTGGGTGACAGAGCAAGACCCTGTCTCTTAAAAAGAAAAATTTTAAAACAGTTATCAATTACAGTTAATTAATACTAAAATACTATGTTATTTAAACTATGACTTTATTTAATTTCAACTTTTAAAAATTTCTAAAATGTGCCTTTGCTTACATTCAAAACTTAGATATATTTAGAGTTGAAAGTTGCTTATGAATAGCTTGTGTGCAAAACAGGTTAAAAGAAAATGTTCAAATGATTATTGCTTCTTGTTCTCCTAATTTCACATTTAAATCACAGAGTAACCACAGAATTAGTTCCATGTTAAGGCTGCTATCTTCATACAGTAAATATATAGTTATTGTTTATTGGATATTTTTTAAGCTTTAGAGGTCACATTGATTGTAACTGAGTAATTATATATATATACACATGCAATATATGTACACACACATATTTTAAAGAATATGTATATATATATATATATACACATACAAATATGTCATATATACACACATAGTATATATGAATGAATTTTTTGAGCCATGAGATCCTGGTAATTATAGCCTTATATATTTTTTAAAACCTGACTTAACTGTGCTTGACTTACTATTCTAAAAAGAACAGTTAAAATGAAACTCTAAAAAGTTAGGCACATCTTTTATCAATTTATATACTCATTTATGTTTCAAATGTCTAAGAAAACAATACCAATCATCAAAAAAGAATAATACGATTATATGGTAGGAAAATACTACGTCAAATACCTTAAATGTAGAGTATTCTGAATGTTAACTTTAGTTACAAATACATTTCCTTTCAAATACTTACTTAGCTCACAATCCTTAGGCTGGGTCTGCATGGAGCCACTGGCTTGGATGTTTTGATCCAAACCTTTTATCTTTCTTTCTTTTTTTTTTTTTTTTTTTTTTTTTGGCAACTGTTTATTCACCAAGAAAGAAAATGTTTTGAAAGGCAAATAAACATTTTTATGGTTAGACTTTTCTATGCAATGTAAGGCTTGATTTAGTGAACGCATCTTCCTCTATTCTGAATAAGAAATCTAGGAGAGAAACATGAATGGCTTAATGTTAAACATGTATTACTTAGTAATAGTTTTGTGTGTTTGGACATCTCTCATAAGTTTGCTGTGAAGGTTAAATGAGATAATATATAGAAGACATGAAGCATAGGATAATAAATTCTATAAATGTTAGCATAAAAAACGAGTGTCAGCTTCCTGTTAAATACGGGTAGTACACATGCTTCAAACTCTGAAAACTCCACTAAATAACAAAATAATTTTAAGTGTATAAACTTACAAGATGTAGAAAATGGGAGAGGACTAAATAGCAGGTGAGAACTGTCAAAAAAAAAAAAATCTGAAAGCTTAAAGTGGGTAGACAGGCTTAATAGACCTGAGGAAAATGAAACTTTGGAACATGGAAAAGTTTGGGATTGAAGGTTCCTCTGAAGAAAGAAGTCTTGTGTAGACTAAAAACAGGAAGATTGGTAAAAGGCATAATTTTATCCCAGTACCCTATCCAAACCATGTAGGCCATTAGCTACCCCTGTGCCATTCTGGCAAAATAGTATAACTTTACTTTGTGGAAAGGTGAAATAAAATGATCTCCAGTATTAGAAATCCTAGACACAAGTCCACCAGCATTCATTTAATAGACATTTCAGGAAAACAAACAAAACAAAAAACAGACAATAGAAATTTTCAAAATAGTCCAAGAACATTTTTCAAATGTAAAGGACAAGAACATACAGGTTGAAGTATTGTTATGAGTATTTAGAAAAATATTTCAAGATAGACCTTCAAAGAAGCATCACGAATTTTCAGAACTTGAAGTATAAAAAGAACAATAGTAAAAGTTTCTCAGACTAGGGGAAAAGTCACACAAAGGCTTAGGAATCATAATGTAATCGACTTGTCAACAGCAACATTTTAAGCTAGAAGAAAAGGTAGCAGTGCCTTGAAAATTCTGAGGGAAAATTATTTTTAATCTAGAATTCTGTATACTCAGCCAGATTATCAATTGAATAGAAGGATGACATAAACACATTTTGAGACATACAAGATTTTTAAAAATTTATTTCCCTTGCACCCTTTCTCAGAAAACTGTAATATCAAGTATATTTCAGCTGTAGCCCACCACAGGGGAGAAAAAGATGTTGTAGTTTGAATCCGTTCTAGTTAAGTGCCTATTTTTTAATCTTCAAAGGAATACAACAAAATCCAGAGTTCCTACGGTATGTTAGTCACAATATCTCAGATAAAACACTAGATTACTTAAAATCTGAAATAACAGGAAAACATGACCCAAAGCCAAGAAAAAATAGTCAATGGAGACTGATTCCAAGATGACACAGATGTTAAAATTAATGTACAAGGATTTTAAAGCAGCTATCATAACTATGCTCATCAACTAAAAAGGAAACTTTCAGATAATATGCTTTGCTGAAATGAGGAAGTAAATGAGGAAGGAAATGAGAAAGAGCAGAAATGGGGTCAAGAAAACAACAATCCAGTCTGGGCACGGTAGCTCCTACGTGCCTGTAATCCCAGCACTTTGGGACACCAAAGTGGGCAGATTACTTGAGCCCAGAAGTTCCCAGCCAGCCTGGTCAACGTGGCAGAACCCTGTCTCTGCAAAAAAATACAGAAATTATCCAGATGTGATGATGCACGCCTATAGTCCCAGCTACTCAGGAGGCTGAGGTGGAAGGATCTATAGTGCCTAGGAGGTTGAGGCTGCAGTGAGCTGTGATCACACCACTGCACTCCAGCCTGGATGACAGAGTGAGACCCTGTCTCAAAAAAAAAAAAAAAAAAAAAAGGATCCAAAGCAGAAGAGTAGAAGGGAAGTCTGGAGGGCTCCAGATGAGATGTCTCATCAAAAGCAAAACTGAAATAAATTCTGATACATTTCAAATTTTTCAAAAATAGTTTGGTATAACATAAACACTGTATATTTAAACAAAAATTATATTTCATAGGTAAAGTCAAGAGGAGAGATGGTCAAATTTGGGGTGTCTAAGAACACTAAATCTTTTTCACCTCTCATAATAAGTCATCTGATAATTTTTAAAGCTGAAAAATAAAACAAGTATTATAAGCTTATTTCAAATATGTTGGTAAATAAAATAGAAACAAGCTTAAAAAGTTAAAGGTGATTGCCACTGGAAGCAGAATTACAGATTCAGAAGAAGTGTGGCAAGGTATTCCTATCTGTCATAAAATTTATAGTATTATTTGACTTTTAATGTTTTATATATTTTTTAAATTAGATATAAAATTTAAAAGTTAAATATAAGACACATAGCACAGCACCTGGCACAAATTAGGGACACAATATATGGCCACTATTATTACCACTAAGATTATAATTCTACTAGTAATTAAAGTCATTGATTACCCATTTCAAATAAAAGAGAAACATAAACCCACAAATCTAGAGAACTTATTTGATGTATCTAAGGTTGTGCAATCACTTAGTGATGAAACTACACTGGAGTTTCCTAACTCCAACTTAGGAAATTTAACTCCAGGTTCTTTCAGTCTTATCATGGAGGATTTAAGAGAAGACCTTTGAGGTTATCTCTGGCTAGCAAATATGGTTGCAAGCAGAGCTGACCATTCATAGCCTAACCTAGAATCTGGCCTGATGGATAATGAGTGCATAATAGATAGACTAATAGAGGGAAAAATAAATAATTTTAAGCCAGGCGATAACCTTACCTAGGATTCTGCCTCTTCATGATACTAGCTCACCACAACTCCTACCGTTTACCATTTATCTTCAAAAAGGACAAATCCAAGGTCTTAGGCAAAACCTAAAAGAAAGAGCTGCAATGGAAGTCTCATTAAAATACTTTCAGTAGCTTAGTAATTGTGGAATAATCAACTTAATTCTGTTGTACATTTTTTTTTTTTTTTTTTGAGACGGAGTCTCGCTCTGTCATCCAGGCGAGAGTGCAGTGGCGCTATCTCAGCTCACTGAAAGCTCCGCCTCTTGGGTTCACGCCATTCTCCTGCCTCAGCCTCCCGAGCAGCTGAGACTACAGGCGCCCACCACCACGCCAGGCTCATTTTTTGTATTTTTAGTAGAGACTGTGTTTCACCATGTTAGCCAGGATGGTCTCAATCTCCTGACCTCATGATCCGCCTGTCTCGGCCTCCCAAAGTGCTGGGATTACAGGCGTGAGCCACCGCGCCCGGCCAATTCTGTTGTACATTTTAAACCTTTTAGAACTTTAGAGAAATCTTTGTGCTGAATTTATGTGGGCCCCAGCCAAATGCAAAAGGCCATCGATTTTACATAGCTTAACTCATTTCTGTTACATTTAAATTGAAAAACTGAAAATCATGGAGGGGAAGATGGATTGCCAACATTTAACAAACATTTATAAATTGCCTGTTCAGGGTCAATGGTTCTGGACCTACGTGTATAATTCAAAAGAAATTTGGGAGGCAGGAGTGTTACAAAACTTGATAACAAGTGCAATTAAGCTATTATGAACTGCATTTAAGTTTTCTATCTACGTTAGATGAGAAACACTGTTGTGTGAAAATAATCATACATCTTATTTTTCTGAGAAAATTATTTTAAAGCTCGTATTTTAAAGAAAAAGTGCCACATCTTATAAAGAATCAGGATTTTCTCATAATTTAACTATAGTACTATATTAGAGACCGGCAGTAAGTATGTGTGAGTGTGCACACCTGTGTGTATGAGAGAGATTTATGTATTATTATAAGGATAATAAATTATAATTATGCAATTATGGAGTCTAAGGATTCCCAAAATCTTCATTTGGCAAGCTGGAGACCCAGGAAAGCCAATGTGTAGATGTTTAGTTCCAGTATGAAAGCCAGCAGCCTCAGAACACAAGAAAACCTGATGTTTCAGTCTGAGACCAAAGGCCAGAAAAGGCCCAGTGTCCCAGGTTATGCATTCAGACAGAAGTTGTTTCCTCTTACTCAGCCTTTTCTGTTCTATCCATGTCTTCAACTGATTGGATGGGGCCCACCCACATTAAGGAGGACAGTCTGCTACTCAGTCTACTGATTGAACTGTTAATCTCATCCAGAAACACCCTCATAGTCACTCCCGGAATAATGCTTGACCAAATGTCTATGTACCCCGCGGTCCAGTCAAATTGACACACAAAATTAACCATCACAAGTACACAAAGGTAAAAAGAACCAAAATTATTGGAGCCTAAATGTAGAATTATATGAGAGAAAAACAATAAATATAATTAGTGGAAAGGCAGGGAAAATATGTGAATCATTCGAGCTTTAAAGACCACATTGAATTTAGATAACAGGGAATTATTAATCTTAGAGCAAGAATTCAGACATTATATTTAAGGGAGATTATAGTAGAACAAATATGGTGGAAATAGCACATTCAAGACCCCTGAGAAGATTAAAAGAAACAACAAAATAAACAGAAATTGGTGAAAATATAATACAGTGAGAAAAAAAATGAATGTCATGGATAGCAATGTGAAATTGAGAACAGATTTATTTATAGGGTCAAAGATGTGGCATTTGAGGTGACATGTAATAGTGTACCTTTTACTTCTCAACCTCCTAATAAAGTATTATAACATACTTAAAATGTAAACATGAGTTTTAATATTTTAGGGAGTTTTTTCCTAACAAAGTTGTTACAAGTTAATATTTTGTTTACTTTGACAAATAGAAGTAATATTAATCAGAAAAAAACAGAAATGCTATAACTGAACTGCTGTTAACACTGAAGTTTTGAGGAACATTTTTGATATTGGTTTCCCAGTTCTACTATTGTTTTCACATTAAATGCACCAATTTTAAGTTTAATGCCTGTGGAATTGGACTGCCCAGTTGCTCACCTGTTTTTTGTTTTGTTTTGTTTTGTTTTTAACTTTTATTTTAGGTTCAGGGGTACATGTGAAGGTTTGTTACATAGGTAAACTCATGTCACTGGGGTTTGTTATACAGATTATTTCATCACCCAGGAATTAAGCCCACTACCCAAGAGTTATCCTTTCTTCTCCTCTCCCTCCTTCCACCTTCAAGTAGGCCCCAGTGTCTATGTTTCCTTTTTTGTGTTCATAAGTGCTCATCATTTAGCTCCCACTTATAAGTGAGAACATGCAGTATTTGGTTTTCTGTTTCTGCATTAGTTAGCCTCCGACTCCATCCATGTTCCCACAAAAGACATGATCTCATTCTTTTTTGTGGCTGCATAATATTCCATGGTGTATATATACCACATTTTCTTTAATCTGTCATTGATGGGCATTTAAGTTGATTCCATGTCCTTGTTATTGTGAACAGTACTGCAGTGAACATTTGTGTGCATGTGTCTTTATGGTAGAATGATTTATACCCCTTGGGGTATATACCCAGTAATAGGATTGCTGGGTCCAATGGTAGTTCTGCTTTTAGCTCTGAGGAATCACCATACCGCTTTCCACAATGGTTGAACTAATTTACACTCCCATTAACAGTGTATAAGTGTTCCCTTTTCTCCACAGCCTTGCCAGCATCTGGTTTGTTTTTTTTTTTTGACTTTTTAATAATAGCCATTCTGACTGCTGTAAGATGGTATCTCATTGTGCTTTTGATTTGCATTTCTCTTAATGATCAGTGTTACTGAGCTTTTTTTTTCAAATGCTTGTTGGCCACATCTATGTCGTCTTTGGAAAAGTGTCTGTTCTTCTCCTTTGCCCACTTTTTAATGCTCACCTGTTTTTGAAGTTTGTATTGTTAAAGAAAACTTTCTTTAGTCTTTCTGGTAGTAGGCAAAAATTTGCAGGAGAAGTAAACCAATGCATAATAACACAGTTGACCCTTGACCAACTTGGGCTTGAACTGCATGGTCCCACTTATATGCAGATTTTTTTCAACCAAACATGGATGGAAAATAGTATTCCTGAGATGTGAAACTCCTCTATAAGGAGGGCTGACTTTTTGGATACACAGGTTCCATAGGGCTAAGTGCAGGACTTGAGTATTTTGGTATGGGGGTAGTAGATGACTTTTGTATGAGTTACTTTAATTAGCTAATAAGATTTCTGTCTTCACTTGGTAGAGAAGAGGAGGTCAGAGTTTGGGAGAGGTAATTTTGGGGTTTGGGACACATCCGGGATAGGCAGGCCTTGGTAAGGTAACATAGTGATACTTTCAGTTCCAGAGACATACTAACTAGGCAGAGGTCCAAGGCAGACAAGGGAGTGGTACCAATGCTAGTCCTAGTAAGGATATTATGTTGGTTGAGATAAATTAGAAAAACAGGTAAATAAAAAACAAAGATAAACTTTTCCTACTACATACGACAGGATAACCATGATATAAATTCCAGATCCTTACAGTGGTCATGTATTGGTTCTGAAAATAAAAAAAAAAAAAAAAAACAGTGATTCCAAATGTTCAACTCTTCTGTGTCTTTATTTTCTATTATCATACTTATCCTGGCTAATATGTTTGTAAACTGATACTTTGGAGAATGTTATGAATAGAGATTATTTATATGTAGTGTGCATAAACTGTTGATTAATTGAGAAAACTATTTAGGGATACATATTTCTCCTGATCCTTCTTAATGTGAGTAAAATTACATGTGTCTGTATAGTGTTTTTCAGATTTCAAATGATCAGCATTCTTCATTTAAGAAAATAAATTTACTGTGTATGTGTCCAGACAAATGTATATATAGCCCATATTCTTCTCAACACTGATTGCCTGTATTTTAGACTGTGATAGAAATATTTTTATTTGAAAAGCATGTGCACATATATTTCCCTCACTCTACCAATTTTTAGAAAAAATATGTTCATGCCTGCTGAAAACAGTTTCTGAGTAGATAACATCATCTTTTTAAAAACCTACCCCCCCACCAAGATTTCTTTTTAAATGGTTCACAGTTAAATTTAAATTTCTATATTTAGATAGGATAGTGTTTATATACCAACCGCAGTATCCAGGAAATTCAGTGGTAAAGCTGACACATAGCGAGTTTATAGTCTATTTTGTAGTCTGTGTATTTAGAGAAGGTTTGAAGCTTACTTAGCAAAAAGGATTAAACATTCAAGCAGAATTTCTTTAGCACAAATGTACTATTTGATTTCATATATTTGTTGAGATAATAGTGTGTCACATTTTAAAGATTAGTTCTCAAGAAAATGTGTTAGGTTTATCTTTTAAAAGAAGGATGCATTCAGGAACAGCTTTTATATGTAACTTTTTATAGTATTTCATATTGGATAGACTTGGTTTGGTGCAATCCGTAAGATTTGATCAAATTTGGAAGAAGTTACAGACACATTTTTATAGTGTTTTCTGTAGCATCTTTATTTTTTTCAGATGGGCGTATTTTATGTTGCTTCCAACTAATCAAAATAAGAAATTGAGTTTGCCTGTGCCAAAAAACGGAACTATCATTTTTCACATTCTTTTATTTTCCATGTCATTTTTAAGTAAGATTATGTTTCTAGGACTTATGAATTCCTGAAAAATCTTGACTTTGTAGATATAAGGGGCTAGATGAACATTTCAGGGGGAATCTAACTTTTAGTGCAGTAATGTTTTGTGTTGTATATTCCAGATACAGTTAACTTTTTGTGTGCATGTGATTAGTATGGAAAGAAATTAATGCAGTCCAGTATTATGATTTATGGACTGAATCCTTTACCCACTGAAGACTTGCCAAAACTAAACGTATTTTTTTTCCTTTGGATATTAGAAACAGCTACTGTTTTTGTTGATCTTTTAAAGTTCTGAATGGGCCTATTTCAAATCAGAGCAGCATGGGAGCTCAGATTAATAATATACTTATTCAACTAGTGATACTGAGTGAAACCATTGCTCACATGAGTATGAAGGATAAAATTTCATGAAATCATTTTCAGGTGCATTAATGCATTTCTGGAAGCTGTGTATGATTTTTCTTTTGCAAGAAAGAAATAAAAGATTTCTGTTTATTGTATTGGTTACAGGTGGGCTCATAAGTTAATTTAATTGCATGTTTTATATCTTAAAAACATAAGACATTTTACTCTTAAAAGCAGTAATGTGATTGCTGGATTATTTCCCAAAGGTTTTTAACTCTTAGTATATTTATCTCTTTAGAGACATCATGACTGTACTATATATAATTTGTGTTACTGAGAAAAATTTCTAAATTTTCATTATTGTTAGTTACAGCAAGCTGCTGAAGTTTCTCAGCTGCGGGGAGCAAGGGTAATCACTCCTGAAGATCTTCTGTTTTTGATGCGCAAAGATAAGGTAATATAACATAATTTTATTGTATTAAAATCCACGTTTTGTTTAATTGAACTTGCATGTGGAAACTATATATCCTTGTTATGTACCTTTCAAATTAAAATAATAACTATTGAACTGATGTTTTAGTCTTCATGGTTTGGACGACAAAATGTGTTTACAAAAGAATTGATATTTATTATGTGGACAAAAGCACTTATATAAAAACTGTGCTAACAGCGAACCCTCACTTATCCTTATGCGTCTATGCAGACACTTTCATTGCTACATGATACTCACTAAATACTGACTCTATGTTCTGTTGTCATAAGTGGGATATAACTGAATGGCATATTTATTTTTCTCCTCTTCTTACAGATTAACATTACCAGGATTATAGACTTTCATAGAGTAATTTTTTAAGCCTGAAATACAAAGTTTAGTCTGTAGCTCTACCTTATTGAAAAAAGTAAATTAATAAAGATTAATTTTCAGTGGGATAAACATATGCCATAATTTCTGTTTTTGAACAAAGGCCTACCTTTCTTACTCTTTGAAATCTGGTATTAAAATATTTAAGCTGATATTTGTGTGTCTAATTTTGCCATAATTATTTTTCATGAGTAGGTAGTCAAAAATATTCTCTAATATTTTACATGTTTCAGTTAATCAACTCTTAGATGATATGAAGAATATTACAAAATGAAAATCTTCACTATTAAGAAAATTATTATTTGGTATAGGGTATCTATATGATTTACTTGAAGAAGAATTTTAAGACTCATGAAACTTCAAGGTTGTATGATTAGATGGAGAGACTGTAGGATTTTTTAAAGTGAAAGTTTCTGCCCAGGGTGAGGCAGTCTTAGGTACAAGGCGCCAGATGCAAAGAAACTATTGAAGATATCAAATAATGTGCATCTAAAGAACTGTGTAAAATGCAGTATGTTTCAGCTATTAATAGAAATCTTGAACCTGAAGGTCAAGAACGAGTGATAATACATTCTAAGTGTAAGCATAGAACAAGCTACAAAGGATTATCAGTTACTTTAAAAATTAAGCAGCATTACGGTCTAATAAATCTAAATGCCCACAAGAGAAAGCAGGAAAGATCCAAAATTGACACCCTAACATCACAATTAAAAGAACTAGAAAAGCAAGAGCAAACACATTCAAAAGCTAGCAGAAGGCAAGAAATAACTAAAATCAGAGCAGAACTGAAGGAAATAGACACACAAAAAAACCCTTCAAAAAATTAATGAATCCAGGAGCTGGTTTTTTGAAAGGATCAACAAAACTGATAGACCGCTAGCAAGACTAATAAAGAAAAAAAGAGACAAGAATCAAATAGACATAATAAAAAATGATAAAGGGGATATCACCACCAATCCCACAGAAATACAAACTACCATCAGAGAATACTACAAACACCTCTACGCAAATAAACTAGAAAATCTAGAAGAAATGGATAAATTCCTTGACAGATACACTCTCCCAAGACTAAACCAGGAAGAAGTTGAATCTCTGAATAGACCAACAACAGAATCTGAAATTGTGGCAATAATCAATAGCTTACCAACCAAAAAGAGTCCAGGACCAGATGGATTCACAGCCGAATTCTACCAGAGGTACAAGGAGGAACTGGTACGATTCCTTCTGAAACTATTCCAATCAATAGAAAAAGAGGGAATCCTCCCTAACTCATTTTATGAGGCCAGCATCATCCTGATACCAAAGCTGGGCAGAGACACAACCAAAAAAGAGAATTTTAGACCAATATCCTTGATGAACATTGATGCAAAAATCCTCAATAAAATACTGGCAAACTGAATCCAGCAGCACATCAAAAAGCTTATCCACCATGATCAAGTGGGCTTCATCCATGGTATGCAAGGCTAGTTCAATATACGCAAATCAATAAATGTAATCCAGCATATAAACAGAGCCAAAGACAAAAACCACATGATTATCTCAATAGATGCAGAAAAGGCCTTTGACAAAATTCAACAACCCTTCATGCTAAAAACGCTCAATAAATTAGGTATTAATGGGACATATCTCAAAATAATAAGAGCTATCTATGACAAACCCACAGCCAATATCATACTGAATGGGCAAAAACTGGAAGCATTCCCTTTGAAAACTGGCACAAGACAGGGATGCCCTCTCTCACCACTCCTATTCAACATAGTGTTGGAAGTTCTGGCCAGGGCAATTAGGCAGGAGAAGGAAATAAAGGGTATTCAATTAGGAAAAGAGGAAGTCAAATTGTCCCTGTTTGCAGACGACATGATTATATATCTAGAAAACCCCATCGTCTCAGCCCAAAATCTCCTTAAGTTGATAAGCAACTTCAGCAAAATCTCAGGATACAAAATCAATGTACAAAAATCACAAGCATTCTTATACACCAATAACAGACAAACAGAGAGCCAACTCATGAGTGAACTCCCATTCACAATTGCTTCAAAGAGAATAAAATACCTAGGAATCCAACTTACAAGGGACATGAAGGACCTCTTCAAGGAGAACTACAAACCATTGCTCAAGGAAATAAAAGAGGATACAAACAAATGGAAGAACATTCCATGCTCATGGGTAGGAAGAATCAATATCGTGAAAATGGCCATACTGCCCAAGGTAATTTACAGATTCAATGCCATCCCCATAAAGCTACCAATGACTTTCTTCACAGAATTGGAAAAAACTACTTTAAAGTTCATATGGAACCAAAACAGAGCCCACATCGCCAAGTCAATCCTAAGCCAAAAGAACAAAGCTGGAGGCATCACGCTACCTGACTTCAAACTATACTACAAGGCTACAGTAACCAAAACAGCATGGTACTGGTACCAAAACAGAGATATAGATCAATGGAACAGAACAGAGCCCTCAGAAATAACGCTGCATATCTACAACTATCTGGTCTTTGACAAACCTGAGAAAAACAAGCAATGGGGAAAGGATTCCCTATTTAATAAATGGTGCTGGGAAAACTGGCTAGCCACATGTAGAAAGCTGAAACTGGATCCCTTCCTTACTCCTTATACAAAAATTAATTCAAGATGGATTAAAGACTTAAATGTTAGACCTAAAACCATAAAAACCCTGGAAGAAAACCTAGGCATTACCATTCAGGACATAGGCATGGGCAAGGACTTCATGTCTAAAACACCAAAAGCAATGGCAACAAAAGCCAAAATTGAGAAATGGGATCTAATTAAACTAAAGAGCTTCTGCACAGCAAAAGAAACTACCATCAGAGTGAACAGGCAACCTACAAAATGGGAGAAAATTTTCACAACCTACTCATCTGACAAAGGGCTAATATCCAGAATCTACAATGAACTCAAACAAATTTACAAGAAAAAAACAAACAACCCCATCAAAAAGTGGGCAAAGGATATGAACAGACACTTCTCAAAAGAAGACATTTATGCAGCCAAAAGACACATGAAAAAAATGTTCATCATCACTGGCCATCAGAGAAATGCAAATCAAAACCACAATGAGATACCATCTCACACCAGTTAGAATGGCAATCATTAAAAAGTCAGGAAACAACAGGTGCTGGAGAGGATGTGGAGAAATAGGAACACTTTTACACTGTTGGTGGGACTGTAAACTAGTTCAACCATTGTGGAAGTCAGTGTGGCGATTCCTCAGGGATCTAGAACTAGAAATACCATTTGACCCAGCCATCCCATTACTGGGTATATACCCAAAGGAGTGTAAATCATGCTGTTATAATGACACATGCACATGTATGTTTATTGTGGCACTACTCACAATAGCAAAGACTTGGAACCAACCCAAATGTCCAACAATGATAGACTGGATTAAGAAAATGTGGCACATATACACGATGGAATACTATGCAGCCATAAAACGTGATGAGTTCATGTCCTTTGTAGGGACATGGATGAAATTGGAAATCATCATTCTCAGTAAACTATCACAAGGACAAAAAACCAAACACTGCATGTTCTCACTCATAGATGGGAGTTCAACAATGAGAACACATGGACACAGTAAGGGGAACATCACACTCTGGGGACTGTTGTGGGGTGGGGGGAGGGGGGAGGGTTAGCATGAGATATACCTAATGCTAAATGACGAGTTAATGGGTGCAGCACACCAGCATGGCACATGTATACATATGTAACTAACCTGCCCATTGTGCACATGTACCCTAAAACTTAAAGTATAGTAATAATAAAATAAAAAAATAAATAAAAAAAAATTTAAAAAACAATTATAGTCAGGTACCATATGATGAACTGTTTTTCAAAAATGTACTGCAAATACAGCAGTAGTCCCATAAGATTATAATGGAGCTGAACAATTCCAATTATCAAGTGATGTTGTAGGTATCATACTAACATTGTAGTGCAATGCATGACTCGACTTTGTGGTGATGCTGGTGTATACCTCTGCACTGCTGATGGTATAAAAGCATAGCACATAAAATTATGTATAGTACATAATACTTGATAAAGATAATAAATGATTGTTACTTGTTTATGTATTTATAATACTCCATCATTATTTTAGAGTGTACTATTTGCAAAAAACACTTAACTGTGAACCACCTGAGGTTGTTCCTTCATGAGATATACCAATAAAAAAGCAGTTATCAAGGGAGCTGACAGTTCCATGCATGCTATTGCCCTTGAAGACCTTCCAGTGGGACAGGATGTGGAGGTGGAAGACAGTGATATTGACGGTCCTGACCCTATGTAGGCATAGGCGTGTGTGTGTGTGTGTGTGTGCGCGCGCGTGTGTGCATCTTAGTTTTTAACAGAGAAGTTTAAAAAGCTATAAGAAATTTAAAAGTAGAAAAAAGTTTATAGAATAAGGATATAAAGGAAAAACGTTTTTGTACAATTGTGTAAGGTGTTTGTGTTTTAAGCTAAGTATTACTGTAAGAGTGAAGTATTTTTTAAATTAAGTCTATAAAGTAAAATAGTTACAGTAAGTAAGCTAAGGCACATTTATTATTGAAGAAAGAAAAATTTTAAATGTAGTGTAGCCTAAGTGTACAGCTTTTTTAAAAATAAAGTCTGCAATAGCATGCAGTAATGTCCTAGGCCCTCAAATTCACTTGCCACTCATTCATGGACTCAACCAGAGCAACTTCAGGTCCTACAAGCTTCATTCATGGTATATGCCCTCTACAAATGTATCATTTTTTGTCATTTACATGGTATTTTAACTAATTTTTGTATATTTAGAAATGTTTAGATATACAAATACTTACCATTTTCTTACCCTTGCATACCAGTTTGTAGCCCATGAATAGTAGGCCGCACCATGTAGCCTAGGTGTGCATTAGACTGTTCCATCTAGGTTTGTGTAAGTGTATTCAGTGATGTTCACAAAACGATGAAGTCTCCTGAGGAGGCATTTCTTAGATCCCCTTCATTAAGCAATGTGTGAGTATTGTGATTCTGGAACATCCGAATATTTGTAAATGAAAACTGCTTTTTAAAAGACTTGTATTTTAGCCTTTGTGTTTGATGACTACCTTTTTATGTCATAGCAGTATGCTAAGGATTACTTTACTTTCTCTGATATCATGGGGTACAAGTTTATTAAATTTGGTTATAGTAGTCTTTAATCAGTAAAGTGAATATATGTATAGGTTTTCTTATTTACTTATTTTATATTTTTAATAGAAAAAACTTAGAAGACTGCTAAAATACATGTTTATCCGAGACTACAAATCAAAGATTGTCAAAGGCATCGATGAGGATGATCTTCTCGAAGGTAACCAAAACAAAACACAAAACTAAAACATGAGCTTATGACACATGTGTGCTGGATAACACATTTATGCAATTCCAATGTAACTGGAGAACTAGTTAATTTTGTTTACTGTCAACAAATCAAGTGGAATACCCTTGCAAAAGTATATATTTCTGATAAAACATATTATACCGTGTTACCTATTTAATATTACTACACTTCTCATAGATTCTAATTCTTGAAAAATAGTTCTGCAGATGAATTGAAATGTTTCTTTTTATGGAGCACATAGTGAATGCAGACTTAGAGTAAAACAGACCGGAATTCCAATCAATACCAGTTCTCTGCTTTCTTTGTGTGACCTTGAGGGTCAGTTTCCTCATTTATGTGGAGGGAAATTATATTGTGTAACACGTGGAGTGCTTAGGAGAGTTTAGCATAATATATGAAAAGCACTTGATACCTGCCTGCCACTAAATGAATGATAGCAGTTAACACCATGCTTCAGACACCATGAAGTTTGGGATGGTAAGAGTAATATTCAGTTTTGCTAAACCATCATATTAGTTTGATGTCCTCTCATTCATTTCAAATCTTCCCCCTTATCTTCATTTGTATGTTCTAATTTTGTGTGTCTTACAAAAAGCACACTAAAACTTAAAAAAAAAACAGTTGATAGAAATTATAAAGTAAAATATTCAGGTAGAACACATCTAATCTTGACGTGGGACTTCTGAAATGGCTATGTAAGGATGGCAGAGTCTCTCCCCAGTGAAACACATTTAACTGGTAAATTTTTTTTGAAATAATCATTTAAAGTCTGTAGAAATTGTCCTAAGCACGTACAGCAAGCAGGGCAACACATATTCAAGATCAACTAAATCTTGTTAAGAACAGTATTGAGAGTCTGTTGCATTTAAACCATGACCTGCTCACATGATCACTCTTCACCATTCTGCCACCTTAACTCAGTGTGACAGAAGCTCTACTCTGAGTGAGTGTAGCTTGCCCCTCCAGTTCTTATTCTAGGGCAACAATTTTACCCCAGAAGGGGCAAGAGGTAGGCATCTCTCATCTCCCTCAGCCCCATGTTGCAAAAGCTTTATTCTAGGCAGGCACAGCTGAGATGACTGGGGCTCCCTTTTCTCACTTAACCTCAGCTCATAGGATAAAAGCTCTACCTCAGACATGGTAGTCTGAGAATACTGGGCTCTGATTGCCACCACCCTAGCTCTCATAGGGAGCAAAGCTACATACCAGAATAGACAAGCCTAGAAGTCTAGGGGTTGCTTCCCTTTCCAGATCACCATTCTCAGATCCAGGGAAGTCTTTCCAGGAGAAGTTAATTGCAGGTCCACCCTCAGCTTCAGTACAGTGGTACAGATGTTCGGCTCAGACCTTAGGAGCAGAAAGCTCTGCAGCTCTTCCACGTCACTGCTTGGAACAGAGTGTGTGGAAGTTCATACCTAAGTTCATTGTAAAAATAACAACAACAACAATGAAGATCCTGGTGATGAGTGATTAAGAGGGGACTGGTAGCTCCATGATACTGGTAGCAAAAAGCAAAACAGTGGGTCAGCTAGATGTTAAACAAAGAAAACAAGGGAAAGAGATAGTTAAAAAGAGCCCTCCTGCAGTCAGAGCAAAACTTAAAGGCTGGCAACATTTCACAGGGGCCCAACATTATTTAGATCAATCAATCTCTGGAGCAATTTATGCCCAAGGGTATTATCAGAAACAGTGGAGCAAACAGCTGTCAATTAGTGGGGGCTAACAGCTGTATGTGATAACAGTAGAGGCAAAACAGCCAGAAACTTAATAGGGAGATCAGGGAAGGTAACAGCCAAACACCCCCTGACTAAAACTACAGTCATCTCTGGTTATGGAGGAGATTGTTTGCATACTCAAGGCTGCACCCTCTGAAGAACAACATCAGAGGCTGCATACTGCAAGGGAAGAGACTTCATTGTACTAGTTCAGCCAAGTCATGAAATAAACAATGACAAGCCCCAGGGAGGGGAGGGAGTTGTCTAGATTTGCTACACTGTATTATCTAAAGTGTCCCTTTTCAACAACAACAACAAAATACTAGATATGCCAAGTAATAGGTAAGTGTGAACAATAAAAAGGAGACAAAAAAAAAGTAGACAATAGAAACTGCTTTTTGGGGGCCCAGATGTAGGACTTAGCAGACAAAAACATCAAAGGGGCTATTATGTATGTGTTCAAATAACTAAAGGAAATAAAATTTTTAAAAAAGGAAGATATGATAATAGCGTCTCACAAAGTAAAGAGTATCAATAGAGACAGAATTTATTTTAAAAAATAGAAATTACGGAGTTCAAGAATACAATTACTGAAATGAAAAAATTCAGAAGGGCTCAATAGTTGTTTTCAGCTGGCAGAAGAAAGAATCTGAACTTGAAGACATCATTAAAGAGTTTACAATCTGAAGAAAAAAGTGAAAAAATAATAAAGAAAAATTAACAGCTTCAGAGAAATGTAGAGCACCATTAAGTGTGTAAAAATACACATAATGAGAGTATCAGAAGATGAGAGAAAAAGTAGAAAAACAAATATTCAAGAAATAATGACTGAAAACCTCCCAAATTTGATGAAAACTACCAGTCTACTAATTCAAGCATATCAACAAGCTCCAATTAGGATAAACATAAAGAAATCTACACTAAGACACTTTTACCAAAAATGTGGGAAAAAAAAAAACAGACAAAAAATCATGAAAGTCACAAGAAAAAAGCATATACAGGGGGACCCTGACAATATTTATGGCTGACTTCTCATCAACATAGCAATCAGAAGGCAGTGGGATGATATATTCAAAGTGCTGAAAGAAAAAACTTCTCCACCGAGAAACTTATATCCAGCAAAACTATCTTTCAAAAATGAATGCAAAATACATTCCCAGATAAACAAAAACCAGGAGAATTTCTTGCCGTCAGACCCATGTAAGAAAAGTTTTTAAGGCTAAAAGCAAGCTGCACCAAATAATTTGAATCCACACATTTATAAAGATAATTAAGTACATAAATATAAGAGAAAGTATAGTTGTCTAAAAGCAAGCTGCACCAAATAATTTGAATTCACACATTTATAAAGATAATTAAGTACATAAATATAAGAGATAGTATAATTGTATATTTCCTTTTTAAAATTGATTTATAAAGCAGCTATATAAAACACTATGTATATAAAAATTGTTATGTTGGGTCTGTAATGTTTGGAAATATAATATATTTGACAGTAATGACACGAATGAGGTAAGTGGTAATAATGCTGTACTGGGGTAAGGAAATGGCACCTCAAGTTATAGAAAGAAATGAAAAGAACCAGAAGTGGCAAATAAAATGGTTAATATAACAAACTATATAAATATACAGTTGGTCTACTATGAAGACACAGACCACTGAAACTGAATCAAGAAGGAATGGAAAATCTGAACAGGACAATAGCAAAAGGTTAAATTAGTAGCTTAAAAATTTCCACAAAGAAAAGCTCAGTCACAGATTATTTCACTGTTGAATTCCACCAAATGTTTAAAGAAGAATACCAATTATTTCCCAACTAATTCTATAAAGGTAATATAGATTGAGCCTGATATGAAAACCAGACAAAGATATCACAAGAAAAGAAAACCAGACTGCAATGTTTTTTAATACAGATGCAAAAATCCTCAACAGAATGCCATTAAACTGAATTCAGCAAGTATAGAAAGGATTATAAACCATGACCAAATGGGATTTGTCATAGGGATATAAAGTTGTTTTAAACTTAGAAAACAATTCATGTAATGCATCAAATTAACAGAATAAAGGAGAAAAATCACATGATCACCTCAATAAATGTAGGAAAAGCATTTAACAAAATTCCAAAAGTGTTTAATGAGAGGGACATTCAACAAACCAGGAAGAGAAGGAAACCTCTTTAACTTGATAAAGATGATTGCATGGACTGAATGTTTTTGTCCCTCCTCACCCTCTGAATATATATGTTGAAGCCTAATTCCCAGTGTGGTAGTATTTGGAGATGAGAATTGTGGGAAGCATTAAAAATTAGGTCATAAGGATGGAACCTTTATGATTAGGGCATTTCTGAGAAGAGACACAAGAAAGTTTGTTTCTTCTGTTTCTGCTGTCCACCATATGTGGATACAACAAGATCATGTCATCTGTAAGCCATGAAGCAGGCCTTCACCAGACACTAAATCTACTGGCACCTTGATCTTAGACTTCCCAACCTCCAGAACTGTGAGAAATAAATGTTTGTTGTTTAAGCCTCCCAGTTTATGATGTATTTGTTGTAGCAGCCTGAGCTAAGACAGACATATATGGAAAACCCACACCTAACATCATAGTTAATGGTAAAAGACTGTATGCTTTCCCTTATAAGATCGGGAACAAGACAAAGATGTCCATTAATGGCACTTATATGCAATATTGTACTGAAGGTTTTAGCCAGGTGTTTAGTCAGAAAGAGAAATGAAGGGCATCCAGATTAGAAAAAAAGAAGTACAACTACCTCTGTTTACAGATAACATAATTTTGTATATAGAAAATTCTAAGAAATTCAATAAAAACTATTACAACTAATAGACTGGTTCGATGTGTTTGCTGGATATAAGAGAAATATGCAAAAATCAAGCATATTTTAATATATCAGCTATGCACACCTCAAAAATGAAATTAAGAAAACAATGCCATTTACAATAGCATCAAAAAGAATAAAATATTTTGGAATAAAATTACTAAAGACCTGCAAGATTTATGTACTGAAAATTACAAAATATTGTTGAAAGAAGGCCTAGATAGTAATGGAAAGACATCCTACGTTCATGGATTGGAACATTCAGTATTATTAAAGTGTTAATACTCTCCAACTTGGCCTACAGATTTCATCTGCTTTTTTGTAGAAATGAATACACTGATTCTACCAATCATGAATACGCTGATTCTACCAATCATATAGAAATACCAGATTCTGATATGGAAATGACTCATCTAGGTCGTGAGGGAACTAGAATACCTAGAACAATCTTAACAAAGAATAAAGTCAGAGGACTCATGCTTACTGATTTCAAAACTTACCATAAAGCTACAGTAATTACGATAGAGCAGTACTGGCATAAGTGTAGACATATTTGTCAATGAAATGGAATGGAATGAGAGTTCAGTAATGAGCATTTAGGATCAGTTGATATTGACAAGGATTTCAAGAGAATTTGATAGGGAAAAAATAGCCATTTTGACAAATATTGCTGGAGCAACTGGATATCCACGTCCAAGAGAAAGAATTTGGGCACCTACAACAACACAGTACACAAAGTTAACCCAATATGGATCATAGACCTAAATACAAGGGCTCAAACTATAAAATTCTTAAAAAGAAATACAGTAATAAATGTTGATGACTTTGGAGGAGGCAAAGCATTCTGAATGTATGACACCAAAAGCACAAACAGCAAAAGAAAAAGGGAAAATTGGACTTGATCAATTATTTCAAAGTCAAAACAATGACTAATAAATTAACTGATCAATTTTAAAAGTTTTATGTTTCAAAGAGCAACATCAAGAAAGTGAAAAGACAAACCACAGAATGGAAGAAAATTTTTCTTATATATCTGATAGGGTACTTTTGTATAGAATATATCAAGAATGCATGCAACTTAACAATAAAAAGACAGTGGCCCAATTTAAAAATGGGCAAAGGGTCTGAATAGAGATTTCTACAAAGAAGATTAACTAATGGACAATAGACACTGAAAAAGATACTTAAAAATCATGCCTATAAATAATCCCAGCACTTGAGGAGGCTGAAGCGGGTGGATCACTTGAGGTCAGGAGTTCAAGACCAGCCTGGCCAACATAGTAAAACCCCATCTCTACTAAAAATACAAAAAATGAGCTGGGTATAGTGGTGTGTGCCTGTAATCCCAGTTACCTGGGAGGCTGAGGCAATAGAATACCCTGAAACAGGAGGCAGAGGTTGCAGTGAGCCGTGATTGTGCCATTGCACACCAGCCTGGGCAATAGAGGGAGATTCCATCTCAAAAAAAAAAAAGTCATTAGCCATCAGAGAAATGCAAATCAAAACCACATTGATATAATACTCCACACCCACTAGGATGACTGTGATCAAAAAGATAAAAACAAGGCCGAGTATGGTGGCTCATATCTATAATCCCAGCATTTTGGGAGGCTGAGGCAGGAGGATCACTTTAAGCCAGGATTTTGAAACCAGCCTGGGCAACAAAGCAAGACCCCATCTCTAGAAAAAAAAAATTAATTAGCCAGTCTCAGTGGCATGTGCCTGTGGACCCAGCTACTCAGGAGGCTGAGGTGGGAAGATTACTTGAGCCCAGGAGTTAGAGGCTGCAGTATGCTGTGACTGCACCACTTCATTCCAGCCTGGCAACAGAGCGAGACCCTATCTATTAAAAACAAACAAACACACAAAATGATAATAACAAGTGCTGTTGAGGACATGGAGAGCTAGAACCTTCTTAAGTTGTTAGAGTATAAAATGGTGCAGACAATTCAGAAAGCATTTTGGAAGTTCCTCAAAAGGGTAAACATAGATTTACCAACTGAACCAGAAATTCCATTCCTAGCAAAAGAAGTGGAATAAGATAAATGAAAATATGTATTCACATAAAAATTTGTACATGAGTGTTAGCAGCAGCATTCATGATAATAAAAAAGGAAATAGCCCAAATGTCTATCAGTGGATGAATGGATAAATAAGTATGGAATATTCATATAAAGGAATATTATTTGGCTATAAAAAGGAATTAAATACTGATATATGCTAAAACATGGATGAACCTTGAAAATATTAAGCTAAATGAAAGAAACCAATCACAAAGACCAGATATTTTATTCTATTTATATGAAATGTCTGGAATAGGCAAATCTAAAGAGATGGAGTGTAGAGTAGTGGTTGCCTAGAGTTGGTGGAGGGGAAGATTGAGATAGGGAATCATTTAAAATCCCATTAAAATCCTCCACTCAAACCCTTACCATTGATTACATTACAACTGAATCCCATCAAGCAGCAAAAAAAAAAAAAAGTGGGGGGGAATACTTAGGGTGAGGGGAGTAATGCACCAACATAGAGGAAGCTAAGACAGAACGTAATATCTGCCAGCAAAATAGTTGGGATTAGATGACAACTTAAATTTTAAAAAGTAAGGAGAACAATAGTGGGACTCAAATGTAGCACAAAAGAGATTTTCTAGAGTTAACACACAGTAATTCACAACTAAATGATTTTTTGTCAAAAAGTCACTCTTCAGACCTAATTAGGGAGAATAAAATGCAATAGTTATCTCAAAGCACATAGAAAAATGTAAAGATATGAAAATTATGAGGGAAAAAGGTAAGAGATATAGAGGATAAATTCGGAGGAGTTAAGATGCATATGATAGGCATTTCAGAAAGTAAAAGTAGGAGATGGAGGAGAGGCAATTATTAATAAATTATAGAGCTAAGAATAATCCAAGACTGCAGAGTAAAAAAAGTTGAGTAGATAAACACCTGGAATGTCTTAGTAAAATTCTTGATCTCTAAACATAATGAGAAAATCTTACAAAAGCTCAGCCTCCTCTACCTCCAAAAAAGGAATTATTAAATGAATCACATTATAATTGGACTTCTCATGTATAACACCGGAAGCTAGAAGGCACTAGAATCATATTTATCGATTCATGAGAGGAAGGGACTGCAATCCAAGGACTTTATACCCAACCAAGATAAGATATCTGTCTATAGTGCTAAAGAAACATATTCGACAATATGCAAATATCAAGTGCAGAAAGTAAATGCAAATGCAGAAAGTAAATCATCCATAGATCCCAGTGATAAACTTCAAAGTTAGAAAAAGGAAGAATAGGAAAGAAGTATGTTGAGTAGTTAATCTTGTTTGGACTCAGTATTTATCTCTAATGATACAATATGTGAGAACATGCAATATAAGCGCTAAATTTCTTAAAATACTGGTGAAATTCTGTTAATACTGTAAAAATAATACCCCTTTTCATCGGAAAGCCAAAAGTTTAGAGATGGAGAAGGGGTGAAGTAAAAATTTTTCAAAGGTCTATTGATAGGAAGCTGAGATAGGGAAAATGAAAGTGTTCTGAAGGTCTCTTGATACTGGAAAGGGTGAAACGTTAGAAGAAAAAGTTACTTGATTGGGAAAATGTTACCTCTTGGTAGGAGTATAATTGATATCTTACTTTAAATAATAATGGAAACTGTTGTCTAAAATATGTTCAAGCAATGTGTCCAACCAGAAAAGAGCGAGGTAAACATTAAAGAAAATGGAAAAAGGGGTGGTAAACGTTAACAGAATAGAAAAGTATATTACAATTTCAAATTAACAATGAGAAGAAATGGAAGGACTATCAACATGGCCAAACCATTAAAAATGAAGAAAGGAAAAGGAAAAAACAAGAATATGAAATAAATACCAAATATAAAGCAAGAGAAAATAATAAAAATGAAATATA
This sequence comes from Homo sapiens, assembly GCF_000001405.40. Taxonomy (NCBI): domain Eukaryota; kingdom Metazoa; phylum Chordata; class Mammalia; order Primates; family Hominidae; genus Homo; species Homo sapiens. Next base: position 45,006,300 of record NC_000006.12, on the reverse strand, counting down.
TCGGTCATTGCACTAATTATGAAATGGATTAAATTCTTACATTGAGACATTATAAACAACCACAAAAATAAAACTTGAACATAAAGAAAGGTTATAAATAATGCGATGAACAAATAAATGGTAAATAAATGCATACACAAATGCAAAGAAAGCGGAAGTGGCAATATTAGCATCATGCAAGCTATAATTTAACATTAAAAGCCCAAACAGAACAAAGAGGAATATTTTATAGAAGGATAAAGGGTAATAATAATAATAATAAAACAGGATAAAGAGGAATAATTATAGAAGACACAATTTTTAACATAATAGACCCATAAGCACTAAATAGTAAATCAGCAAAATAGCAAGATATGCTTCGACCTGTATTTATCTGGAATAGAGGGTCTATGAATTTTTTCAATATATCTACAGAACATTTACAAAACTTAATTGTAAAATTGGCCACAAAGTAAACCTTTACAAATTTAAATAAGAATAGATATCTGATAGGATCCATTCCATCTGTGTGAGTGGAGAGAAGTCATCTCAAACAAAAGTTATAAAAGAAAAAATGAACTTATTTGACAATATAGAAATTAAATTTTTTTTTTTTTTTTTGAGACGAGTTTTGCACTTGTTGCCCAGGCTGGAGTGCAATGGAGCAATCTCGGCTCACCACAACCTCTGTATCCCGGGTTCAAGCGATTCTCCTGCCTCAGCCTCCCGAGTAGCTGTGATTATAGTAGACACAGGGTCTCTCCATGTTGGTCAGGCTGGTCTCAAACTCCTGACCTCAGGTGATCCGCCCGCCTCAGCCTCCCAAAGTGCTGGGATTACAGGCGTGAGCCACCACGCCTGGCAAATTTTAAATTTTTTAGTGGCAAAAGATGCTTTAAAATTCATAGGCAAATGAAAGACTAGGATAAACATTTTTAACTTAGATAACAAAGGGGTAATATAAAAGAGCCCTTTGAATTGTTAAGAAAAAGGCAACCCAGTTGAAAATGGGCAAAGGATAAAACTAGACAATTAACAGAAAGGCTTATTCAGATAGCTAACAAACATATGGGAAAACATGTTTAGATTCATTAGGGAAATTAAATATTTTAATCACAATGATGTATCACTTTACATTTATTAGGCTTTTCTCATGGAGAGACAAGGCATTCCTCATTAGTCTTGGAAACTTGAAGGTTAATGCACTGGTAAACAATCTCTTAACTTCCATTAAAATGTTTGTACCTTTTAACTCAGTAGTTCCATCCTTGTGAATCTATGCCATAAACATTAAGCCAACCATACAGAATGCCATATGGATGGGATGTTCATTACTGCATTTCCCCTGGGTAGCAAAAACCTGAAACAAAGTTTATGCCCATCAATAGGGGATTGGCTGGAAAGCTGTGGTACATACATACTGTAAAATATTACACAGCCGTTAAGAAGGAATCAGGGCTGTACCAGTTGACTTGGAGGGATTTTTCTTCCTAATTGACGAAGAAACATGAAGTGCAAGACCAGAAAGAAATAGAAGGAATATCATAAGAACCCTTTTCTAGAAAATATAAATGAATAAAACAGCTCTATAAATGAATGTATTTTTATGGATATATGAGCATGGAGAATACATATTGGGTGGTGTTAATATGAGTTACAAGATTTTGAGTTGGAATTTGGCTGATCATGTAAAAGGGAAGGAAATGGGAAAGAGTAATCAAGCAAAAATGATATGTGATATTTTAATATATTTTAATTTATAGATGTTTATAAAACTTTTTGATTTAAAAATTTAAAAGAAATGATAAAAATGAAGAAAAAGATCTATGGACCTAAGATGATAATATAGATTCTTATATGTATATAGTTGTTAATGTGCTTAGAGATATATATTTTTTAAATCTTCTGTAACCTTAAGTTGTCAAATTTAAAAATATATATATTCAGATATCTCACAATAATTGTGCTTTTTAAGATTTCCTTTGTGTTATTCATTTTGCTATTATTTTGTTACATAAAAGTTTATGGCCGTTTAAAATTCCTTTTATTACTAGATAGTATTTCACCCTGTCTCCTTTAGTGTTTTTGGTCTTGAGCTGTATTTTCTAACGTTAATGTTACCAGTTCTGCTTTCTTAGCTTGTATTTGCCTAGCATATCCTTACTCATCATTTTTTGTATTGTCATTTCATTTCAGAGGTGTTTGTTATAAATACTATATAACAGTATTCTTTTTCCAAATCTGAGCACACCACTCTCTCCTTTTTATAAGGGATTTAATTAGCCCTTTCACACTTACTTTGATAATTGATCATTTGGTTCTATTCTTTCATTCTAATTTGTGACATGAAAAATTATTTAATTCTGTATGACTTATACTTTTATTTTGAATGCAAGAATTTTTTAAAAGATTATTTTCAGAGAATCCCAATTCTGAATTTGGTATACTATATTTAATACATGTAATAATTAGTGCTGATGTAAACCTATTGAGAACATTTCTTTTTTTCTTTCCCTTGACTTCATGAAGACAAATTGAGTGGCAGCAATAATGCGAACAAAAGACAAAAGATTGCTCAGGACTTCCTCAACTCTATTGACCAGACAGGAGAACTTTTAGCAATGTTTGAAGATGACGAAATTGATGAAGTTAAACAAGAAAGAATGGAGGTATAGTACATTCTTCCCTTTTTACAGAAATAGAACAATCATTGCAGTGCCTATGCTGTTTGGTCCTATTCTCATGTTCTTTAAATGTTGTCTGAAATCTCTAAGTCAGTGGTTTTATGTCTGATGGCAGCGATGTGCAGAGGATCAGCCCCTGAAGTGGGAGTCAGATCTGCCTTCAGCATCAACTTTGGGAAACAACTTCTGTTTTCTGTTTCCTTATTTCCCGTTTTGAAAATGATTAGGTTTCCCTACTCTGGATCTGACATTTACTGATTTTATTTTATGAAGCTAATTTCTAATTAAATATTTACCTTTCTTGTTTCAAATCATCCAGTTTTATTTGTAAACAAAACTAATTCTTACTGCTTTTATGTTGGCATATATAGTGTGAAGAGCTATTCTTCTGGCTATAGTTGCAGGCTCTGATTGGACTTACTAGCTAGGGTAGTACCCAGGGCAGTTACATGCTTTATATCACTGCAAGACAAAATTAGTGACATGTATTTGGATTCCCTGGATATGTCTTAACAATGCATTTGAAAATTATATGTCTTCTTTTTACCTTAGCTATCTATACATAAAATTATTATTTCTTTAAACACTAAAGGAAAAATTTAAAGTAAAATGATTTATTGCATTTGAGTGCCTTCCAAATTACAAGACAGTATTTTCACAGTTCATATTGCTATTATCATACTTTCACATATAAGGAATCTCCATTTTCCCCTTCTCTTTCAGTTGGGCAATGGAGGTAATTTCAGAATTGCAAAAGATGTGCTAAGTGCCAACTTTTTTATAGTTTCTATGCATGCTGAAGATATAATTATTTTATGTTAAACTTTGGAGGAGGTCCAGTAGACATACATGCTTTATAAACTTCAACAACCTTTAAAGAATTAGCAGGCTTGGATCATGAACTGTGATCTAAAGGCAGTGTTCTTTTAGGTATCAATTACTTTAGAAATGTGTGGTTATCTTGGTTTGGTACAACTGCAAATAATTTTAGTTCAACTTTGCCTTGGGCCAAAAACATGCTAAGTTGTCCAAAGCAGATGATAAACATGTATTTCTGATGTCATCATTGCCCAAACAGGATATGGTTGTTTAGTGGCATGGTTTCACTTATGATGCATTACACAAAGAGCAAATATTGTTTATGCTTTATTTTTTAAATATTTTTATATTATAAAAATGGCCACTGAGAAAGGTTCATTAAGGAATAAAGCATAATACATAAAGCATTAGTAAAATTGAACAGGTAACTTTTCAATTTTGATGGGAAGATCTTGGCTAGCCAAACCTGTTACCTAAAAGGGCATTCCACAATCAAGAAGAGAAGAAATGGAACATTTTGTAGCTCTATAATAGCAGGCTACTGTAGACCTAGAAAACTGGGGGTCAGCAGGGTACTAAAGTCAATAAAATATCTGGAGATGCAGGGTAGAAAAAGCTTGGGTACTTATGCAGTCTGTACACTTCTTCTTTATAGTTATGTATTACATACTGGTAACCAGGATAATAAAATATCAGAAGTTGATAAAACTAGTTACAGTGAAAATCTTCATATGTACAAATAAACATGAGACTGGCAACTTCGTTAAGCTTTGTATCATAACAAAAATCTTCTCTGGCCAACATAACAGAGTAGCTTTTATATTCTACTCATCCAAATAACAGTTTAACTGAAAAAAATATGCTGGGCTTGTAGACATAACTTAACTGTAGACAGTAGAAAGTGGAACTGTTAAGAGCATAGGCCTTGCCTGCTTCTAATTTGATAGGTTATAGTTTCAAGAGTTAACCACAACTGTGGCAGTTCATATGAAACCACTTTGGACTCAGAGACTGCAATCTCTTGCTTTTAAAGTTCAGTAGAATAATCAGTCCTGGCATCATTCAATGACTTAACTTTCCTCCAAGCATCACTTATGGTTGCAGAAACTTTGTTTACTACCTTCTCCCCTAGCATGTATGAAAATGGTATAGACCTACCAACAGGCTTAATTTTAGTTTTCTTTCTTCTTTATAGATATAAAAACTCACTTGGTATTCTAGCTTCTTCTCAAAACATTGAGCAAACATACAAAAAACAGCCTGAGTTCTTTCCTATTGTTTTCAGCTGATGTATGTGTGCTTGGCTTTAGTTTCATCCATAATTTACTTCATTACTATTAGTTTATGTGACTTGAAATATAAAAAAATCTGAATTTTTACATCCATTTTGCCTTACTAGTTCATCATCGTGATAGTTAGCTAACTCTTACACATTTATTTTTCTCTAGCACCAGATTCTAGCACTTGGGCATACCTATAGTAGAGATCCATGATCTCAGAACATCCTTTTAAATGATCAAATAAAGATTAAATAATGCTCAGAGTTGCTTTAGTGTATTTGAGGGACTGAGAAAGAAGAGCAGGGAAATACATACAACTATAGCTTCCCTCCAACCCCACCCACCTCCATCCTAAAATAAGGCAGGTGTGTCTAAGTGTAGCTAATGTTTCTTTCATTCTAATTTTTTCATCTAATCAAATATTGTCAACCAAAGACCAAAATACAGTCACTGAAAGCTTCAAATAGCTTTGAGTTTTCTTGTCAGTGAGGAACTGTGGTCACCCACAGAAGAGCTGTGCCTAAGAACCTGCTTTGCTGCTTGTAGAGGAACCTGAGAAGCTCAAGTTTGTCAATAATCAAGTAAACTATCTAGTCTTGTAAGCCCCTAAGTTTGTAAAGAGATGTAAACAATGGGTGCTTAAAAAGTTGAGAGAACTCTACCTTCAGAGTAATCCTCAAATTGATAAAAGTAAACAAGAGAGCAAGGATTAGAGCTTACCAGAGAGAGCAGCTTTTAAACAGTTTGGGGTGCAGAAAATCCCTAGTGACTTTTTATCTTGTGTTTTCATATCAGAGGCTTAATAGTGGAATCTAGAGAGAAAGCAGAGTGATATACATAACATTTAAGGCAGCTTAAAATTTGTTGATAATAAGCTTTAAATTAAATAAGGTGCCAGGTAGTCATCTGAATTTGCTTAACCTGAAATGAACTGACCATAGATTTGAAAACATATAGTTTCTCATAAAGACTGAATAATAAGAGAAATCAGATATATCATTCAGTTGTGCCCAAGTGTGGCATGGTTATGATGCCTGGAGATTTTGAGTCCCAGGGTTATGGTTTTTGGAGGTAAGTGGACTAGAAAACTCATTGAAGAAGAAATAGGTGGATGCCTGTAGAAGTTGTCCATCTCCTGTTTTTGAAGTCTTTCTACCATTCCCATTTCTACCTATCATGATTTATTTCAGTTATAAGGAAAAGGAAAATAAAATGTCTGTAAAGCTAACAGTCCAAAAATATCTTACATAATACTTAACATAAAAGAAAAAGGCTAATCCCAGTAAGATAAACATTCACAAATACCAGAAAAGTTTAAAAAGTTGAGTTAAAAACTGAAACTCTTAAATATGTTATAATATATGGGACTGTGAAATAAAGATAGAATTATATACTACAAAGATATATGTAGTTTACATATGTACATAATAAATACATGTATGTATATATCTGTGTATATACATTTATATGTGTATATACATTTACATATGCAAATTCATGTACATACATGTATACACTATGCCCATATATACATATATAGAAATAGAAATGTAATTTTTCTAGATTATTTAAAAGGTAAAAGTTAAAGAACAATCAGAGGTATATCATACAAACCCTGTAATACTGGGGGTTACAGTATTAATTTCAGAGAAAAGAGAATTTAAGGAGAGAAGCTTTAAAATGGAATAAAGGCAATAATTTTATGTTACTAAAAGATACACCTATAGTGAAAATATAGTAGGTGCAAACTGTTAATCATCAAATTCCAGAGCATTGAAAGCTTCTAGTATGTGGAGAGAGGTCAGAGAAAAACATTTGTTGTGGAGACTAGAACACACCATCCCCATCTTTGACTGATTAATTCAAGGGAAAAAAAAGACTTTAATAAATATCTAAGTTTATCTAATAGATGCATATATAATGTTTTATAAATGAGCAATAGTCTTAAAATCGTACAACTCCAAGGATTCCATGGGTCTCTTCAGGGAAGAGAGAAGAGGTTTGGTGGGGCTGTAGCCTCCATCTGCCCTCACACCTTCAACCAGCACATGTTCAATTATATGTAATGGCTGTACATATCATCAGTGAAGAAAGTGATTCACTGTTTTTTAAAATCGAAAATCGTTACAAAACACCACCCTTCAGGTGCACGTGGTGGTGTACGCCTGTAGTCCCAGCTATTCAGGAGACTGAGTCATTTGAGCCTAGGAGTTCAAGTCCAACCTGGGCAACATAGCAAGACCTTGTCTGTTAAAAACGAAAAACCGAAACACTATTCAACCATCCATGAAGAATCAAACAAAATCTTTCTCTGTCTCTCACACCCACCTTCACTCTCACTCTCTTTCTTACTGTCGCTTTCTCTCACACACATACAGTCAACAAACTCCAAAAATGCAAAAATTTATAGGGCATATTACTTTACCAGAATGGAAAGAAAACCTAGAAAGTAATAACGGAAGTTAAACTAACAAACAAAACCTTGACTGATTGAAAATTAAAAAGGGAAAAAAAATCACAGAGGCAACTAATGAACCAAAAATAAATTTAACTGTACTGTCACAGACTGTTTAGATAGTAACAACGAGAAAAGTCCATATAAAATTAAACAAGTGTAGACAAAGCTTTGTTAAAAAGAGAAGCAACTTTTTTGCTTTTAAGTCTTTCATTATTAAATTGGAAATAATGAAAATAAACCAAACATTCAACTAAAGCATAGAAATTTTACAATAAAATAGAGAAGACAGGAAAAATGAAAATACAAAGATAAGCAGAAATAAAAAGAAGACATATAATTAAATTTATCAACTTAAGAAATTCTTTGCAAATATAAGAACAAAGTGGTAGAATGAATCTGTGTCACCTCTAAATAAGAAAAATAAAAAATAAGTATTAGGTTGGTGCAAAAGTAATTGCAGTTTTTGCCACTAAAAAATTTAATTCTAGAATGCCCACTGTTACCACTTTTATTTGCCAGAGTTCAAGGAGCTCTCAATAAAAGGTATAGCTATTGACAGAAGACCACAATTTATCATTTTGCCATTTAAAAAGGCAAAAACCGCAATTACTTTTGCACCAATCAATACTAAAAATTAGCAGTGAATAATGATATAGCCATAGATGCTCGATAATTTAGTAACCAATTTATTTATAAATCTTGATGAATGAGTGTTTTTCTAAGAAAATATAAATGTGTAATTTTTACTCATCAGGAAGTACTAAACCTGGATAAATCAGTAACTCAAAGAAATGACAAATTTTTTTAAACAGTTGTATGCTCAGAAGTCTCTGAATCTAACCCAGTTTATGGAAGAGCTCTTTAATTCATGAAATAGTTAATTATCATGCTATCCAAGCTATCTCAGAGCATAGAAAAGAAAAAAAAAGGAGAACTTGTCATTAAATTTTAAAAAGCAAGCATAACTTCAGACAGAGCTCAAATGAATGAAAATTATCATAATACCTTCCTTAGGAATATAGATGCATAAATCTTAAAGTATTAGCAATTTTAATTTGAAAGTATATATAATGAAAAATGTATCACAACTGAGTAGGATTTTTTCCTTGAGTTCGAGTATGCTTCAATATTAGAAAATATATTACTATCATATATCAAATAGCTAGGTCAAATAAGAATAACCATATGATAGTTTTAATTGGTAATAAAAAGAGATATGACAAAATTCACTTCCTAGACTTTTTAGAAAATCTTAATAAACTAGATATAGAAAAGTCCTTCTACTTCATGATAAAAAATATCTCACTTAAATGAACAGACATCATGATAGTTTTAAAAATATTAAGAGTTCTGTCAAATTCTGGAATGCCCACTGTTACCACTTTTATTTGCGAGAGTTCAAGGAGCACTAGGCAGTGCAATAAAAGGCATTGCTATTGGCAGGAGACAAAAATTTATCATTATGTACAGATAACATAATTTATTAATTTTGGTAATCCTTGAGCATCAATGTAAAAAGTACTGAAGCCAGTAAAAGTCTTCATTAAGTCAGATAGACACTGACCAAAATTAGGAGCTTCTTCCATAATTCAGTAATACTCAATAATAAATTCAGTAATATTCAATAGTAGAATTGAGAAAAAAGACAGTGTCAATCAGAATAATACAAGAAAAAAATTATTTGGAGATGAACTTTATATTAACAAAAAATGTAAAAGAAATATGTAACTCATTTTTAATAATGTACTGAGACATGAGTGTATAAATGAAAAAGCACTATGTTCCTGGATATAGACTAAATGTTGTAAATAGCTCAGTTGTTTCCACATTAATGTATTGGCTTAATGTTGTTTAAACAGAAATCTCAGCAGGATTTAAAAAAAACTTTATAAAATGATATTAGACTTCATCTGAAGTTATAAAAAATTAGGATAGCCAAGAAATTTTCATTAAAGAAGAGTAGGAGATTGAGTTTAATTTAATGGCAAAACCACAATTACTTTTGCACCAACCTAATACCACCAAATAATATAAGATTCCATGAAACTACGACAGTCAAAATAGTGTGGTACTAGTGTAAAACCCACAGGCACTCCTGTGAAGAGAATAAATGATACAATTAAATATAAAGAAGAATTAGTCACAATAAAGATGGTATTAGAAATCAGTGGGAGAAAGATGCCAAGACAATTATAGAACTACTGAAAAAGAAAACATAATGATAACTCTTAACCTTACACATGCATCAAAATACATTCCAGAATATTAAAAAATTGGTATAAAAAGTAAAACCATTTTTAAAAAATACAAATAACCACAGGTAATATGGAAGGACTTTCTAGGCTTTTGTTTCAAAGCTTTTGAGAAATGCTGTTCCTCAAGATGTTGTCAAATACACTGTGGGAGTAGGGAGTGGTCTGTTTTCAAATAAGTTTGTGAAATGCTAAGTTCAAACTTTTAAGAAGTTTCTTTTAGGAATTTTCAGAGGGTTTTGTATGCTAAATTTTGTGAATTTTTCAAGAGAGGAAATAGACTCTATTAAAATATTCTGAAAGGTCACTCAGAGCCCAGTTTGGGGGTGAAAAAATCACAAAGGAAGTGACTTTTAAATTTGATCTTATAAAAATTATGTCTGTTTCAAAAACACAAAAATTATTAAAAGGCAAATGAATAAAAATATGACAAAACTATCAGTATCATTTATATAGCTCTTTTAAAATCAGTAAGAACATTCTAGTAGGAAAATTGGCAAAGGATATGAAAAACAAGAAGAAATAAAAATAAATATATAAAGTATCTACTTACTGGTATTGAAATAATGCCATTTTTGTATATAAAATGGTCAAAAGTAAGATGGGAGTGGTAACACATTAACTGTGGAAATGTAGATTAGTAAAACCGAGAAAGTATTTTAAAATATCAATTCAGTTAGAAGCATTAGAAGCATTAATATACTGCAGCCTAGTAGACCTACATTTGGTAATTTCTCTTTAGATATCAGGAATTTTGTTCATGTGCACATTCATATGCACAAAACTATTCATCACAATGTTTTTCATAGTATTGGAAATGGGCTGAGAACCCTGTTTACCTGATGATAAGGGAATATTCATGTTTCGCAAACACATTGAAATTAAGGCTGCAAGGAGAAATATACCAACATGCTAATAGTGGCTGACAGTGGAGGATGAGATTTACAAGTTTATTGAATTTATAAATTTATGCTGTTTTGAATTTACATATTTACCATCTCTGTTATGTTTCTCTTAATCCTCATTTGATTTCCTTTGTTCTGCAATTTCTCTTTTCATTTTATTTTATTTTTCCCATCAGAAGTATTTACTTTGTAAGTGGTGCTGAAGGATATGCTTTATGAAGCAAATTAAATAGGCTCTTTAGATGCTTGCAGTTAAGACTGAACAGATGAATGTATGAAGCAATATACACATATAATATGCATGTAAATACAAGTAAATGCATGTTGTGCAAAAAGATGTACCATTGATTTTTTCTCATCTAGAGAAGGCGCTTGTTGCCAGATTGAAATACTAGCAGTTAGAAACTCGTAAAGTGTCAGTTAAATTTTAGACATAAGAAAGTATGGTGGTTTAGTTGTGATTTGCTAAGTAAGCAGTTGTTTCTTATGCATGTTTTTCCTTTTAATTGTCCCTTGTTTCTAGATGCAAGACAGTTTAAAGAGGTAGGGAATAAAATAGATCTTTAGGGAAGAAAAAGTTGTCTGTGAATTGTCATACTGAAAGTAATAAAGTTTATTTTGCATTTTATTTGAGACATGATTATATCAGGAAGATTCTAGTTTCATGGGTATTTTTGTATAAATGCAGTAACATCTATTAGATGCTCTCAATAAATAAATATCAATAGATATTAATATTGGTGTTTATTTTTAGTCCTTTAAATGTTTTATTCAGCTATAGTTTGAGTTTAGATTCTCAAATATTTCAGAAAGCTGCTGTTCCAATTTGAAGATGTATAGGTATAATATTACATCATATAATTGAAGAGTAGGGGACTATAACCCTACATAGTGTCATACAGACCATCTTCAGAGCAGTAATAATGATGTAAAAGTTGAAAACAGTTAATATTTTTGCATGATGCTATTGATTGCAGTTAATTAAAAAAAAAAAACCAATTCAAACAAAATTAAGCAGCTAGGGAAAGGTTTTGTTTCAGATAACAAAGCCCAGAGGTAGATTTGGCTTCAAGCAAGGTTTGATATTGAAGTTCACAATGTACATTGGATTTCTAGCTCCAATTCCCTATTCTGCTTTTCCTGCCCTTTTATGTTTTTGTTGGCCTAATCTTCAGGTCATATTGAATATTTATTTCTCACATAGGAGCACAAATGACTATAGAAGTTTTAGGTCCAGGTGGAGAGAGAATGCCTTTGTCCCAAGATTTACTCTTAAAAAGGCTTGGGTCACAACATCTCCCCAGTCCCTGCCAGTGGCAGTAGCTAGTAGGATGAAATGTCCTGTCTGGCTTACCCTAAGCTGTATGCTTCATCCCTGAAGTTGAGTGTACAGTCAGACTTCAGCAAAACCCTGGATCTCTGGAACTTTAGGAAGAAGTAATGGGTGTGAAAAGATAGCCACAAAGGTCCTTCAGTGTAAAGGTCTTTAACATTACGGCAGTGTGAATTAGTAGAATGATGTCTTAGAATCTTGGCGCTCTGTTCAACTCTCTAGGAAGTTTTCTCTAAGACACAACGTGGTAAAAATGAATGCAAATCTTTTTCTTTGGAGTCAAGCAAATCGTCCATCCATGCTTTCACTCCTTTATTTATTAAACATTTATTTATTGAGATTTTTTAAGTCAATCACTGTTCTAGGTCCTGAGGCTGTGACTATTAAAAAAAGATAAAATATGGCCTTTGCCCTCACAGTCCTAGAGTAATAACTGACCAATCAAAAGTAAGTATCTAGTAAAGGTGAATACAGCCTCAATAAATGGGTTACTATTCTAATTATTACTATATTTGTTTTTAATTTTGAACCTTCTTAATGGATTATTGGTTTTGTTTTTGAGCCATATATTTTCTACTTGCTACATAATTTGAAATTTAGTTTATTCTGACATAGGGCACATTACTTCTTTAAGACATTTAGGCAGGGTCATTGAATTAGCTTCAGTGTGGTTTGCAAAATAAACTTGAAAAGGGCTAGGGTGCATTGAAAAACATGAAACAATGTAATACGTCAAGGTTAGTTCCTGGAAGAGTTTCATTAGGATAACTCATTGTTATGTTTATTAAAGGTTAATTTTTGTTCAAACAATTTCAAAATACTTATGAAATTATTCTGAAGGGAGTATTAGTAGAAATACCAACAAGATACCTGTGGTAAATCTAGCTGCACAGTGCAGGATTAATGTCATTCAGTATATGTTATTCTGGCATAGGAACTGTAGACGAGGTAGTATTATTTGATTTAGAAGAACCCAAAATAGATGTAATATGTAGCTCTGAAAGTGATTTCCGTCTGTGACTTTTTATACTATCAAATTACATTTTACCCATAGCTATAGCTGTACTTTTATGATATAATGGTAAAGAATTGTGTATTTGTTGTCATAAGTGCTTGTCTAAAATTGGGGAAAGTGCCTTCTGGAGAAGGCATTTTTCAGTTAATGAAATAAAAAGCAAGTTACAGATCTATAAAAATGGAACTCTAACCTAACTCTTACCTAGATCCCTATTTTTCTGTAGCTTACTATATCCAATTTGAAGATGGCTCTCAAGGGATCTTTTTATGCTTTTCTTAACCTTGTGAAATATGAGCTTCAGCTGAGGGTGGAGTCTGACTTCTGCTTTGATGATTAGAGCACCTCACATACAGGTGTGAAACTAGAGTGGTTGTGTTTGTTTTATTCTGTTTTTGTTTTGTTTTGTTTTAAAGACAGAGTCTCCTTCTGTTCCCCAGGCTGAAATGCCATGGCCCAATCACAGCTCACTGCAGCCTCAACCTCCCAGGCTTGATCGATCCTCTAGCCTGAGCCTCCCAAGTAGTTGAGACTACAGGAACGTGCCACCACACCCACCAAATTTTCATATTTTTGTAGAGACAGGGTCTTACTATGTTGTCCAGGCTGGTCTCAAACTCCTGGGCTCAAGCAATCCTCCCATCTTAGCCTCCCAAAATGCTGGGATTATAGGTGTGAGGCACCAAGCCTGGCACTGTTTTTTAATCATTCTCTAACATTTCTGGATATATAATCTCTTACAGTTGTTGCTTTGCTGTAGAGAAATTTTATAGCAGGATTAATCAAATGACTGCCATCTTTTTAAAAACAATATTAGTACCATTCCCATTTGTCCCCCACCCTTGGACCTATTTAGATTCTTTACTGTTAGTTTTTGGATGAAATTTAAAAGTTTTCTTCCCCCTATTCCTTTCTTTAGTCTGCAGGGGAGCAAAATACATGGTGGCAGCATTGAAACCATACTCATAGTAATCCTATTTTCCCTAATCCAGATCAGAATATATTATCTGATATTCACAAGTATCTTTTGTTATGGGGACATGATATTTTCTATCTGGATTTGGTAGGAAAGCATTGGAATAATGATTGCTATTTATTTCCACCTTTCCTACATCAAGGGAAGTAAAACAGAGTCATTTATTTGGGTAAAGATAGACATCAGCACTGCACACTGTGAACACTCGTGTCCACTGTTGGTGATGCATGATGCAGGCCTTACCGGGCTGCTGTTTTTAGTCTTGCCTAAACGGATATTTGACTGCCACATGGTGATTATACTGTTCAATTAAGTTTTTTATAGAATCACTCAATATTTTCTGTCTCAAGTAATTTCAGTTTGTTCTTTTTAAAATGAGATCCTTCTCTTTTAAAAAATACTTTTCAAGGGTTTTCTTAGAGATCAGTCTTCTAGCTTGTTTGTAAAACACCTTGGCAAAGATGAATTTTAAAATATCATTGAATTTAAGAACACCACAAGATTTGCCACTAATTTACATTTAATGTTTATAGTTCTCAAATTGTGGTTGTTGTAATAACCAAAATATTTTTGCCTTGAATATTTTGTGGATTATATTTCCCTATTCTTTCTCCTTACCCACATTCCCCACAGTAGGTGGGCAGATGGTTGTTACATAGTTTGGCCTTTATTTATCTTTATTGGTTTAATCTCACCAAGTTAGTGTTTCTAAATATGAAAACAAGTGTATTCTCTGGCAAGATTTTTGTCTTTTTAATGTTTCAGTTTATTTAGTGGAATTAACAGATCATTATTTGTTTGGTATAGATAATTTCCCCCATTTCTTTATGTGCATCCATGCTGAGGAGCTGCCTTTAGTTTAATTCTTATTGTTGCCACTACTTTATAGAAAATGTGCAAATCAAGCTGTTTAATGTAATTCGATTTTTTTCTATATCATTGTGTTCCTCATTTAGAATTAATAATTTTGGATTAACGCTTGAACCCACAAGGCGGAGGTTGCAGTGAGCTGAGGTCGTGTCACTGTACTCCAGCGTAGGCAACAGAGGGAGACTCCATCTAAAAATAAATAAATAAATAAATAAATAAAAAGAATTTTGGATTAAGCCATAAATATTTAGTGATTAGTATAATCTATTGTATTAGCATATCCGTTTGGAACTTTTCATAGCATCAGTCAAAAAGGCAGATCAGATCCTACCAGGCTTCTCCTTTTCATGATTCTCCATTTTCTAGAGAGCAGTCTTAATTCCTTAGCATGGGATTAATATGATTATTACTGTCACCACTATGGCACTTAATATTCAGTTACAAAGGGCAGTGTTTTGCATTGCTATAGAAATTCCGAAAATTTTTACTCTCACAATTAATAGCCATGAAATAAACTTTTGAGTGTTTAATTTTCAGATAAATAATAAGTATTAACAATTTGGGCATTTTATCTCATTTTTTAAAAATATTTATTATATCTTACTTTTACATGTCCTACCTTGAAGAAAGGACTTTTATTTCCTCATTATTCTCACCTCAAATAGTAGAAGACAGTCATGACTAATGGATTCGTTGAGCTGCTCTCAAATATAGAGGTTAAATTACAAAAGTGGCCACCTTTAGGAAAACAAACTTTAGAAAAATCCAAAATCACTGGGTAATTGTTTTCATTTTGCAAGAATACTTGTATTACATAAAAGTATAATAATTATTTTAATAAATAACTTGTTTATTAAAATAATAAATTTATTTTAAATCATTGTTCTTTTAAGTAATTTAAAATAAGACTTTGCCAAAATTTAATACATACACAAATATCTGCAAAGAATACTACCGTATACCTTTACTGTAACTGTAGAAGTTATTCAAGTGAGGGAGAGACAAAGAAATGAGGTAGGGGAAGAAAAAGAGAGAGATGAATGGATGAAGAAGTGAAGCCTTTGTTCCTAGAGAGTAGCTCTGTGTAAAGTTCCATTGTCTATTCATGATGGGCTTGCCCCCATGATCCAATCACCCCCAACCAGGCCCCATTTCCAACACTGGGAATCACATTTTAACATATGATTTAGAGGGGAAGAATATCCAAACCATATCAGCAACCTTGAGAAAGAACAAAGTGGGAGGCATCACACCCTGATCTCCAATTATGTTACCAAGCTATAGTAATCAAAACAGTACCCTACTGCCCCCATGATTCAATCACCTCCTACCAGGCCCCACCTCCAACACTGGAAATCACATTTTAACATGAGATTTGCCATAAAAACAGACACAGAGACCAATGGAACAGAAAGCCCAGAAATAAACCTACACGCATGTGGTCAACTAATCTTCGACAAAGGTGTCAAGAATGCACAATGGGGAAAGGATAGTCTCTTCAATAAATGGTGTTGGTAAAAGTGAATATCCACATGCGAAAAAAAAATGAAATTGAATCCTTATCTCTCACCGTAATTAACTCAGATGGATTGAAGATAAACATAAAAGTGTAAAACTCCTAGGAGAAAACATAGGGCAAAGCTCCTTGACGTTGGCCTTGGTAAGATTTTTTGGATATCACACCAAAAGCTCATGAAGCAAAAACAAAAATAAACAATTTGGACTATATCACTCTAAAAAGCTTCTGCATGGCAAAGGAAAAAGTCAACAATATGAAAAGGAAACCTGTGGGTTGGGAGAAATATTTGCAAATCATACATCTGATAAGGAGTTAATACCCAAAATATATAAGGAACTCACACAACTCAATAGCAAAATAACAACCCAATTAAAAAAAGGAACAAAGGACCTGACGAGACATTTTTCCAAAGAAGACATAAAAATGGCTAACAAGTATATGAAAAGATGCTTAACAGTACTAATCATCAGGGAAATGCAAATCAAAGCTGCAGTGAGATGTATCACCTCACACCTATTAGGATGGCCTTTATTAAAAAGACAAGAGGTAAGTGTTAGGGCGTGGAGGAATAGGAACCTTTGTACGTTATTTGTGGGAAAGGAAGTTTGGTACAGTCATTACGGAAAACAGCATGGAAGTTCCTCAAAAAGTTAAAAGTAGACTATCAGATGATCCAGCAATGCTGCTTCTGGGTATATATCCAAAAGAAATGATCTTGATACCTCAAAGAGATGCCTGCATTCCCATGTTCATTGCAGCATAATTCACAATAGCCAAGATAGCCAAGATGTGGAAACAGCCTACCTGACCTGTCAGCAGGTGAATGGATAAAGAAATTGTGAAATAGATATACACACATATATAATAAAATATTACTCAGCCTTCAAAAAAGTGGATATTGTGCCATTTGTGACTACATGAATGAACCTAGAGTATATTATGCTAAGTGCAGTAAGCCAGACACAGAAAGAAAAATACTACATGATCTCACTTATACATGCAGTGTAACCAAAGGGTGATGGGTTATTTTGGTGGCCTGGATTTTATTTCCTTGGGATATCAGTCATCTCAAACTCATCAGATATTTTTAAATATTCTTTTAATGTCTCATGTTATTATAAATCATTCCATCCACTTGTGTGGGACTTGGGTACTTTCACATACAACTATAGGCCAAATGTGTGTTATTCAAAGAATTGTGGGATCTCTGAGGCATGAGACATCTATAAGAAAATTTACAATTCATTCGTAATAAATTCTAATAATATTGAATCTCCCCACCCCAGAAACCAAATCAAAACCAGGAAGAAAAGAAGCCACACTTTATTTAAGCTAGAAAATGTAATTTGTTTAATTTGTACCAAGAATTATCCAGTGTTTGCTTGGGTGTGGAGAAATAGACAATCTCATATTAGTGGAAGCATATATTGATACAGCTTTCTGGAAATACATGTGGCAATATCTATCAAATACATGTTAAAAACCATTATATGTTATTTGATGCAGAAATTGCATTTCTAGGTACTCTCCTAGGGAAATAATTTTACAAATATGTTTTAAAATCAAATGTAGTCTTTTTTTTAAAAATAGGAAAATTTTTATTTAACAATAGAAATATTAGTGTTGTAAACTTTCATCTTAATATTGCTTTTGGTGTAGCCCATAAATTTTTTTTTTTTTTTTTTTTTTTTATTTAAGCCTTTCATACATAGTCTGTAATTTCCCTTTTGAATTGCCCTTTGGCCTAATTTACTTATAATATTTAAAATATATAGATATATATTTTCCAAATGGCTGGGTGTTTTATATGTTTCTTCCTTTATTAGGTATTTTAGTTGTTTTGTTGCATAGTAGTTAGATTGTTAGATATATTAGCATAAGGAATTTATTAGAATTTTCTTGGTGACATTGATATGTAGTGGCTTTTTACAACTGTTCCGTGGACAGGTTAGGAAGATTTTCAAGTATCTTCTAGATCATCAGTATTAGTAGTACTTAGTGCTTTTTCATCCTTAGTCTCCGAAATTTTTTTTGACCACAGACCCTCTTCAGTAAAAATTTGAAAACTCACACTGCACCAATGCCTGCCCTAGTAAAACCCCAATCCTGGTTAGATCTCACTCTTTGCCCATTTCATAGCTATATTATGTCTATTCCTCAGTAGCAGAACACAACTGGAGAAAAATAAGCAGACTAATCTTACTTTCTTACTTCACTAAGAATCTCAAATACCCTTGGCGCTGCCCAGCAATCCTAGAACATTCCCTAGTGTACCCATTCTCCCGTGGTACTTAATGATTATTTAAACCTTTTCCTCTCTTCAGACTTTTTGCACTTCTTCCCTTTTCCAGCTTCATTCCTAGTTCACTCATTCTCCAGATTCACTTCATCTTGTTGCACTGAGAAAAAAGAAGTAATCGGAAGAGTACTTTCACACGCTACCAGAGCACCGACATACATTATTGGTTAATTTTTATCAGCACAGAAAAATGTTATAATTTCCCCCATCTTAAACAAACAAAAAAAGCTTTCAACTATATTTTTCTGCTCTCATTCAGCATAAAACTTCTCAAAAGAGGTTACATTTCCTCTCCTTCCATTCTCTTTAGAACCCACTTGAATCATGCTTTCATCCTCAGCACTCTACAAGAAATTACTCTTGTTAAGGTTGCTACTAACCTCCATTGTTGCCAAATACATTGGTCAATTCTCCATCTCCATCTTTCTCTGGATATCAGCTCTCAGTGGCCCTGAACTGAACCAGCACACTGCCACTTCCAGAATTTTGCATGTGCTGTTTTCTAGCTCTCTCATTTTCCTCAGATCTCTACTCACATATCATATTTTCAGAGAGATTTTCTCTGACCATCCCATAAAAAGGGGCTATGGACTGAATTGCCCTCTTCCCACCCACCCCCCGCCCAATTTATATGTTGAAGCCCTGACTCCCAATGCCCAGTGTGATGGTATTTGGAGATGGGACCTTTGGGAGTTAATTAGGTTTAGACTAAGTCATGAGAGTAGAGTTTCATGATGGGATTAGTGTTTTGTAAGAACAGGAAGAACCTCTAGAGATCTCTGCCATGTGAGGACATAGGGAGAAGACAGCTATCTGTAAGCCAGGAAGAGAGCCCTCACCAGAACCAGAGTGTGCTGGCACCCTGATGTTGAACCTCTAGCCTTCAGAACCGGGAGAAATATATTTCTGTTGTTTAAGCCACCTATTCTATGGTATTTTGTTATGGCAGCCCCAGCAGACTGACAAAAGGAACAGTGTACTTCCCATATATCAATCCTTTTCTAAATCCTTACTCTACTATATTATTCATGGCACTTATCATCCGTGATCTTTTATATGTTGTTTTTTTTTCTGTCTTCCTCTACTTGAGGAGAAAGCTCCAGGAGACAAGAGCTTCATCTATTATGTTCACTGCAGTATCTCCGGTACCCTGAACAGAGTGTAATAATAGTAGATGCTCAATAAATATATTTTATATAAACAAATAATGAAAATATCTTTAGTATGTGATTCTGTTCAGAAATTTCATAATAACCACCTTTAATTACTTTAATTACTTTGCTTAGAGCGAACCAGTGAACCTTTGGGTAGGATAAAGGATTTTGACATTCATTCTGCATCTCAACTCAAAGTATTGTAAAGATTTCGACTACTGATGGTATAATTTTAATTGACCATAGCCAAGACATTTCCCTCTACCAAGTGCAATAAATTGTAGTGTCCTCAATAGTATTAGTAGTAGTAGTACCAGAGTCATTCATTGCACTTACTGCATGCCAGATACTGTTCTAAACCCTAATATATGTATTATCTGATGTATTCCTTTCTTCACAGTCTACCCATGGGATAGTTTCTGTTACCCTGTTCACTTTATAGTTGGGGACACTGAAGCACAGAGATTAGGTAACTTGTCTAGGGTCACAGTTACAAAGTGAAAAGTACCAGGAAAGCAATCTCCTCTGTGCATGCACTATCTGGAAAAGGAAAGTATTGGGAAAGTTTTATATTTCTTCCATTCTGGTCTTTATCTGGAAGAAACTTCTCGAGTTTTGTTATGTATAGTTGCTAGGCTCCCTAATTTTAAGGCTGATAAAGATATTTTACTTTTGCTTGGCCATGTCAATTTCTGAACAGAATCACATATTAAAAGATAATGGACTTATCATACTTGGTTTACAAACGTGAACCCTCATTATCTTAAGTCCACAATTTATAAAACCATAGTTGATAAGAGATTACTTTATCTTCTTTCAAAAATTTTAAAAACACATGAAGGGCCAAGGACACTCAGTTATTTACATATTAGTGTGAATCAGATTGCTTACCTCTTGATCATTAGCTAAGAGGGACTTTAAAGAATTTTGTTTGGCAAAGAGTAGAGGTAAAGTAGTTTTGAACCTTAAAGAGTAGGGAATATTAAGTGAGGTGCTGTACTTGTTGGAAGGAGAAAATTCTAGAGAGAGATGCTAAGAAGTTGAGAAGATTTCAGAAATAAAGTGAAAATATGTCAAAGACCAACTTTATGCTTTCAGAATTTTGCGTAATACTGGTACTTGTAGAAAGAGGACAAAATTTTCTTAAATATGTCCCTTCTGATTCCTGCATAAACTGAGTATGTCCAGGTGCATATGGGTTAAAGAGGTTTTTGTAGATTACTTGGGAACCTAACCACCATTTAGGACAGTGTTTCTATGGGAAGATGGATTTGTTTAGGATGTTGTACCCTAAACAGACTTTTAGGATACAACGTATTTATGAATTGGGAGATTCTATATCTTCTTTTATTTTTAACTTTTTGGATAAAGAGTCTCACTGTGTCACCCAAGCTGGAGTGCAGTGGTGCCATCGTAGCACACTGCATCCTTGAACTGAGCTCAAGCGATCCTCTTACCTCAGACTCCTAAGTAGCTGGGACTACAGATGCGTGCCACCATGCCTGGCTATTTTATTTATTTATTTTATTTTATTTTATTTTATTTATTTATTTATTTATTTATTTATTTATTTATTTATTTGGTAGAGATGAGGTCTTGCTTTGTTAACCAGGCTGGTTCTGAACTCCTGGCCTCAAGCAGTCTTTCCATCACAGCCTCCCAGAACACGAGGATTACAGGCATGAGCTGCCATACCCAGCCTATATTTTAGTTTTGAATGTGACTTTTTTGTGATCACAAATTTTCAATGACACAAAACTGTCCGTCATCCCCCAAAACTCTTTCATCAAGCTTGTTTTCTCTGGGAACAGAAAACTAGTATTACAGATGAATACTGAGCAAAATTTGGCACCTCTACCTGATTTATTATGGGCTATTTAGGAAGATAATATTTCCTACTATGTAAAGGACTTTGTGTTGATCTTTTGGCCTTTATGTAATTTATGTTTATGTTTCTGGCAATGCCCTGATGGTTAATGTCCTTATGGTAATTAAAACATGTATATTAATTAAGTGTGCTACTAGTAATAAAAGTTAGTTACATATAGGAAAGAGGTCAGTTTTGTCAGGATGCTGAAGCAAAGTTGCGATGGGAGTTTTATTTCATTGGGAGTTGCTACTGTTCTTCCTGCAATTGGTGACAGACTATACAGAGATCATGGATTCATGTAGAGACTGGGGATCGCAAAGATGCTAAATATATATTCACTTATACTCTATTTGACATGTTGTTTGGAAAAATAGTTAACTACATAGACAAATTTCTCATTTTATAAGGATGTGTATCTTCTAAGCAACCTACAGATGGGTATACAACTGGGCCTCAAGAACTACAACTCAGACACCAATAAAATAAAAATTTTATTCACTATTTCTGATCTCCACTTCTCTCTACATAGGCTTAATTTTTCTCTCCTTGTTGAGCTATGCTTTATACTTAGAGGGTTACATGCCACCAGTAGTTCCCAAGTTAGCTTCATCACCTTGAGAGAGGCAGGCCCAGCTCACTGGATTACCAATCTTAAGTCTCAGGAAATGGCCTCTGTTTGATTCAGCTGTGTCTAGTGTCCAGGCCTGGACTTGGCACCATCGCTAGAAGGCAGGATCCTGTTACACCTCTCTCACATAGAGGCTTCTAGGCAACCTTGCGGAGATGGAGGCAAGAGGAGGCAGACAGTGCCTTAGCTCCTTACTAGATTAGACCCTCTATTCATTCATCCACTCAACATTTATATTCATAATATGCCATATATATGCTAGGTTGATCTTGAGACTGTCGGTATTTTATTTCAAAAATGACTTTTGTCATCTAAATTTTCTTTAAAAAGCTACAGAGCATACTGTACAGTTATCTTAGACTTACAGGAAAATGCCTAATGAAAAAGTAAATAGAAAACCTCACTAAAGTTCACAGAATGACAGAGAGAAAGTAAAGTGTACTTCCAGTCAAGCTCTTTCAGTTAAAAAACATCCTCACTAAACCTGTAAAACATTTCAATAAAAACGGTTCTTTGAATGTTATTTTAAATACTATATTACTTAAGCAAATATTTAAATACTATATTAGTTTCTCTGCATTCTTTACTTGAATTTAATTCTACCTGTCTGCCAAGTATGTCAAAACCCCAAGTCCATTTTCATTTGCCAGGTTAAATGTTTATTTTGTTTTCCCACATAATATGCTCTTTGAAGTGTCATAAGCATACCAAGCCTGATTTCTTTTTAATAGGGACATGGTAGGGGATTTTTTTTCTTTCTTTCTTTCTTCAGTTAATGGGATAGGATATGCTTTTCTCAAAGAATATGTAAAGGTATGTTCACATTCCTTGCCTACTGAAGGTACACACTGCCTTCATTAGCTATTAGAAAATGAACTTTCACTTTCTTAAAATGTGTCCAATAAATTTAATGTAAATTTTTGAAGGCTCACTTTATCTCCTTATTATCAGAAAACCAAAGACTTTCTTGTAATCTAGAATGTCCACTTTTACCTAACAAGTCACCCTGTATAGACTAATATAGTGGAAAAGTATGAGGCTATGGTGATCTACAAATAACTGACATTATTTGATTTGGGAGTTTACATTTGCTTCTGCTCATCTATGCTTATGTGACTCAAACATCCATTTAGAATTTTTTACACTTATTTTCAAAGAGCATTGACATACATTTGAATACCATAATCTCTTAGATATACTTCTCTCAAAAACAACTATTGATAATAGCTTTCAACATATATTTTATCTTAAAAAGACAGATTTAATATTTAGCCTCTATGTGAATCCCATGGTGATTGGTACCTTTTGCAAAGTTCTTTAGAACATCTTCTTAGATTTCTTGTGTTGGACCTAATTCACTATACGAGCATCTCTAGGAGGAACTATTTGAAGCCAGAGTAGTGGTGTTTTTCCTATCCTTTTATTTTCTTGACTTTAAGAAGTACCTGAATTATTTTTCCATTCTCTGTTATGAAAGTACAGATTCTTACGAATGCCATAGTCTGTCTTTCATTATCACTATCACAAGGCCTCTTCATTCTCTAAATCAGCAAAAAATTCTTCTGTGCAAGATAGAGGAGAGATAGGAGACTAATACAAAGTTGATACAGGAGAGTACATAGCTGTATCTTTGATACAAGTGAAGTGATTCTAACACACTCATAGTTTTGAAGTATCTGGATGTTTACCAGAAGTTAGGACCCTTATGGCTTCTTCCAGTGACATTTCTTCTATATAAAGAATCGGGCTGGGCATGGTGGCTCACGCCTGTAATCCCAGCGCTTCAGGAGGCCAGGAGATTGAGGTCAGGAGATGGAGGCCATCCTGGCTAACACGGTGAAACACTGTCTCTACTAAAAATACAAAAAATTAGCCAGACGTGGTGGCGGGCACTTGTAGTCCCAGCTACTCGGGAGGCTGAGGCAGGAAAATGGTGTGAACCCAGGAGGCAGAGCTTGCAGTGAGCTGATATTGTGCCACAGCACTCCAGCCTGGGCGACAGAGCGAGACTCCATCTCAAAAAAAAAGCCTGGGTGACAGAGTGAGACTGTCTCAAACAAACAAACAAACAAACAAAAAGAATCATTGCAAACAGCTTGAAATTTTCTCAGTGTGGATTTGGCCAGGTTGTCTTATCTCTTAAATCTTAGAACTATGAAATATTTCTTTGCTTTTTAAATTTCTTTTTCTTTTCTTTTGTTTTGCTTTGCTTTGTTTTAGACACAGGATCTCACTCTGTTGACCAGGCTGGAGCACAATAGTGAGATCATTGCTCACTGCAGTGTCAAACTCCTGTGCTCAAGCGATCCTCCCACTTTAGCCTCCCCAGTAGCTGGGACTACAGGCACGCACCATGGTCCCTAGCTAGTTTTGCTTTTTTTTTTTTTTTTCATGTCATGTAGAGATGGAGTTTCACCTCCCAAAGTGCTGAGATTACAGGCATGAGCTACCATGCCCAGCCAAAATGTTTCTAAGGCTTTCAGGAGTTCCCTGAGATAAGAGAATACACGTAGAACCACAGAATCTCAGAGCTATATTAAAGAAGAGAGAACTCAGTCACAGTGAGATGAAGCAACTTAACCTAGAGAGTCCCATCTTGTGTTAGAGGTAAAACTGAGACCTAGAGTCCAGATCTTCTGATTCCCAGGTAAACATTCCTATTACCACTCACGCTAATCTTTTTCTAATGGTATAAAATGTTTCTCAATATTATAGAAGAATATTTCAAAATATTTGGGTTATGATTAAAACTCATTTGCCACTGAGTTACAACACTTAAGCACTGTTGATATACAGAATGTATTGGGATTGGGTTGGAATCGTATTTACCCTATGATGTACCCAGTCCATTCCTTTTCAAATATATCTTAAATGTCATTTGCTTTATTCATATCTCTCTCATCAAAATAAAACGACAAAAATGTAATTTCATGCTTTTTGTTAACAAGTGAAGCAATATTTTCCAGGTATATGACTTCTTCATTAAAATCCATCCTTCATTTATTTATACCCAGCTCTGCAAATATTCTCTGTTACTTTCAAGTTCCTTGTTCTTGGAATCACTTTACCCCTCATATCCTGTAGTGTATTTCTCCCTAAGATGAAGTTTGAGATGGATAGCAGCTATAGCTGGGCTTCCAGTAAAGAGTTAGAGTAGAACATGTCAGTAGCAGTGATCCATCCCACCAGCTGGCATTTACGCAAAACGGCAAAGCATTTAAGTAGGCATTGGAGTGAATCATTTGTCAAACCCCTTTTCCTGTCACTTGCCTTCCTTGAGGAGTTGTTATGCTAACTCTAAGGTATGAATAGATTAAATGCCACTAAATCTACTTCTTCAGACGTGCGCTTCTTAATCTTTTTGGAATTAGGACAGTTATTAGACATGGTTATTTGACTTAACTTTGCCTTCTCCTTATCCTCTGAAAGTACTCTAGTGAAGTTTAAAGCTACATAAATTGCATTTAAAAAAATGTTTGTAAGTGATGTGAAGGAAGAGAATCCTCATTCTTAAACTTATTAGAGGTTCCTATGACTGCTAAAAATCAGTTCTGGAAATGATTATGATGGGTCACATAGATGTAATGAATTTTTAACCTCAGTCATATACCACCATGTAGACACAACTACTTGCCACTCAGTATCCATGTTCTCCTTCCTTTGTAACAAAACTGATTTGTAGCTGGGTATTTTAACATCTAGACCAAACAAGAAGAAAGAAAGAAAATCTGCATTTCTCTTACCCTCAGCCACGTTTGGTCACACGACTGAGTTGTGGCCAATGAAATGTAAGCATTCTATGGGAATCCTTAGTACAATAAGCCCTCACGTAACATCATTGTACAGCAGGCCCTCAACTTCCTTTCCTTCACTGTCATTTTGTTATAACATTGATGAGGGACAAAGAAAAAAATGATTTTGTTATATGTTGTTTCACATAAATTTTCAGTTTCCGAGAACTTATCAATGAGATGAAGTGAGGACTTACTGTCATTTTTTCTTTTTTTTTTTTTTAGAGAAAGGGTACACTCCCTACCCTTTCTGCATTTGTCTATTTTATGCAGATTCAAGGCTGGAGCTTTAGAAGCCAAGACATTCTGAATCACAAAATGTCAGAGCAGATACTGGAGGAGATTGAGGCCCTGGAGACTTCAGTCAGTGTTTGTGTAAAGCCTGAATACCTATCTCCAGAATTCATTTATGTGAGGAAAAATAAACTTTGATCTTGCCTAAGCAACTATAATTTTGGCTTATATATGTAGCCAGAAATAATCTTAACTAATAAAACGTGAATGAGCCCCCTGGATTGATAAGAACGTACTTCAAGAAAATAATTAGTGTCTTAAGGTAGACCTGGTCTACTATAAAAATTGTTTTAGTTAACAGTTTGGTAAATGGAAAGAACTTAATAATTCCAATCTGTTTGACAGTAATTGCGTTCTGTTTTACCTGATGCTTGAAGAAATCCAGGTTATCTCATAGTCTTATTTCTAATTTGTGCCAATGAAATGAACTCGTAAGTTCATAAGATGTAAAACGAACTTTTTTTGTCCCATGTCATGAGAGCAGATAATTCTTGGCTGTCACACAAACTCATCACCTTTTAATGGGTCAAGGAGGCTGTAGAGATTACTCATCCTAGCTTTTGTGTGGGCTTTCACTGTCAATTCCAAAGCTCCACTTAACCTTTTACATAGAACATTGATTTCCCCCCCCCACACACACTTTGTTCATTCTTTCACAGATAATTGATAAAAACTGAGTTTACTTTTTGTATTGAAAGAGTATTTTGTCATGGTTTATGATTTTCAAAGAACAATCATAACCATAGGCCAAGTGTTAATATCTTAACATGTTTTAGCCTAAGACTCATACTAATTTGAAGAATTTTGTTCATTGAAACCTATCAACCTATCAAATGGTTGAAGAAATCATTCAGTATTTATTAGTATGTTTCTTGTCTCTTAAATTCTGAAAGAAAATGGGAGGATTTGATTTTAGGCTTTTTTGTTAATCAAAATATTCGTTCTGCGACTTGAGAAATTAAAATACTGTGCTACAGAAAAATAAGTACCATCTGGGCTGTGTGTTTTTCTACCTCTAAAGAACATTATGCAAAGGAGGGTATGCAAAGTAACAAGGCGTGTTCATTTAACTATATGGGATACCTGGTGTGGTACAATAGGAGTATTACTTAAGAATTGTATAAAATCCAATTTAGTTTATCATGTTGTAAATGTACCTAAAAGGCACCAATAGAAAAGAATATTAACAGGATTGCTTTTGTGCTTTGAAGAATATTAATTTATTATTTTGGCAAGGACATATTTTCATTGTGTGGATTTCTGTTACTTATTTCAATGTTGTCCATGTTTTGTTTTGTTTCTAATCTGCATACAACGTTTGGGCAATCTGGTCATGAAACCTGTTGCCCCAGTGATTATAGGGTTTTTAGCCTGTTCTGACAGACCAAACTCTCTCCCTACTTTCACCCTCACCCTAGTCCTCCCATGTGGATCCTTCATGTTGCTTCTTACTCAATAGAATAACTATTATTCTATTACTTAGAACGAATAGAAAGGAAGGATGACCTTCCCAGACAGATGAGACCATGCTATGTCACAACACTGTGTTCCCACTTAAAGCCTACAAACTAATGAAACATACACAGTATGCATATTCTCATTGTTTAGCAAATCTATCTCTTCCCTCTGCATCATTTTCTTTATTATAGAATGACAGTTTTTATCTTTTACCAAACTGTTTGTAGTATACTTGTCTTTTTTCTGATACTCTCTTTAGATTGTATGGTATTATGACCAGAGCATGGGCTTTGGGGTCATATAGACCTACATATTAAAATCACAGTTCCATTCTTTATCCAAGGTATGTTACTAACCTGGACAAATTACTACATGTTTCTGAGTCTCAGATTCCTTTATCTGGACCTGCATCTTAGAAGTGTTGGGAAGGATTTGTGATAACATATGTAATATACCTGGCTCAGTTCAGCACATGGGTGTTTAAGAAATGGTAGCTGTCATTGACAGAATCTTCTTTATGAAAATATATAATATAGCAATATTCCTATGGAATTTACTTTAGAAATAATCTTCCCTTCATAGTGACTAGAATCAGAATCAAAGGATTTGCAGCATGCATAACATCAAGTTAGTGGAATATGTAATATTTACTACTACCACCGAGTAAAATGACTCAGAAAATGTAGTCTGAATATTCAGTAGGCACTATGATAATTCCATGACATTCGTCCACTTATATTTCATTAAGCAATGTATTCATTTTAGAATACATTTCTAGATCTTATGAAAACTGCATGTAGCGCAATCTGAGGGTTTCAATTCTATAAAACAAAACCAGTTTCTTATCAGGGCCACTACAGAGCATTTCACGTAGAATTTTTTAGATTATTGCAAATTTTATACATCTCTAAAGTTGTAACATGTAGTAGTAATGTCAAGTGAACTGCATAATTTTACTTGATCAGATAGAAAATTTTATATCTGAATAAGGAGTTTTGTGTAGAAGTCAGTAGTATAGTAGAAAGAGCACTGATTTTGGAATAGGAATCTTAAACTCTTTCTAGCAATATATTTTACCTTGGTGAAAAACCACAAAACTCTCATCCAAGTACTAAACAAACCTGACCCAGTTTAGCTTGTGAGATCAGATAAGATGCATGTAGGGTGGCAAGGTGGGGTGAAGAGTATACAGGAACTCTCTGTACTATTTTTGAAGTTTTTCTGCAAATCTAAAATTAGTTCAAAAATTTTTTTTAAAAAGTATTTTTAAAAAATCCAGAGAATCAGTAAGTTTCAGTTTCTTCTATAAATGGAAATGTAATAATAGCTTATCTTTCTCCCTGACACAGCTGTTGAGTGGATAAACATGTAAATAAGGCAGTATACATAAAACTTTAAAATACTGCTGTTCTATGCTGTGATTCTTCCTTACTTGACTTTACCCATTTTACTGATCTTCCCTTCCTCTTGCTGCCAAAATAGTCCTTTGCTTCTTTAAAGCTTTTGTGGTTACTTTATTTAAGGTGAAACACTGCCTCACATCACCAAGTTGCAAAAACAATTCTCCTTTCATCATCTTTCTTTGTAATCATTCCACACCCTCTGTGGCTTGCCTTCTTTAAGCTTCTTGCTTATGAACTAGGCCTGGTGGCCACTGACATTTAATCAAATAACAGTTATAATACATTTACTCATGAGTAAAGCCTGAATAAAATGTGGGCACTGACATCTAAGAGAGTGGAAATTTCATCATCAAATATCTTAACAGAAACCATTTTGTTAAATAACCATAATTACAGGTTTTGCACTTATGATTGCAGAGGATTTTGCTCTTCTGCATTCTTAGAAGCTCAAGGGACAGCCATTGTGTTCAGGCTACTTGAAATACCTATACTGAATCTAAGTATAGCCAAGCCTTCTTCAAGAGAAAAGTCCCTGCAAGACTTTATAATTCAAAGATTTTCACACCCACAATTATTTTAAAGATTATTTCTGTTTTTAAAAAATATTTTTAGTTTAGGTAAGTAGACTTTTCAGATAAGAATTCAAAATATGGCCGGGCGCAGTGCCTCATGCCTGTAATCCTAGCACTTTGGGAGGCTGAAGCGGGCAGATCACTTGAGGTCAGGAGTTTGAAACCAGCCTAGCCAACATGGTGAAACCCCGTCTCTACTAAAAATACAAAAAATTAGCCAGGCATGGTTGTGGTCACCTGTATTCCCAGCTATTCGGGACGCTGAGGCAGGAGAATCTCTCGAGCCCTGGAGGCAGAGATTGCAGTGAGCCAAGATTGCGCCACTGCACTCCAGCCTGGGCAACAGAGTGAGACTCTGTCTCAAGAAAAAAAAAAAAGACATTAATTTTCCAAATGTGTAGACATTTCTGCTTTTTCTTAAGTATTTAGGAATTTACGTTTACTACATCTGAAGCAAAGCATTTTTGATTGTTATGATTATTCTTGTATCTTCGTGATAGTCATACTTGGTAAAGACTATCATTTTCTCCTTTTCTTAGTGACTAAATCTTGGCATTCTCAGGAAAAAAATTTTCTTCCTTTTGTTTTATGTTAACTCATGCTTCTAGCTTAGATCAGTCTCTGTGACAGATTTCTATTGATGGACTTGCTCATTTCTGATTCGTGAAAACAACTCAGCCAATTACAAGAAAGGAAACTTTAGCATTAAGATGATTAAGAACGTTCCATTTAGAGGAATAAATAATTTAATTTTGTTTGTTTTGTTTCTAATCTTAACTCAAATGCTATCCAGTTATAAAAGCCTATTTTTCCTCGAGAATTTTTCCCACACTGGTGGCATTGTTTCCTTACTGGAGCATGACATACTCAGCATGAGTTTGCTTTTTTCATATTTTCTTTTTTTTAATAATGAGCTCATCATTTTACTTACTCTGCTTATCAAAAATCAGAAGTAATTTGATGTTTATATTATTAATAGGACTCTTTCCAAGTATATTGACATTTCAATTTTTTTCCCAATAGTGTTTGAGGAACAGGTGGTTTTTGGTTACGTGTATAAGTTCTTTAGTGGTGATTTCTAAGATTTTGGTGCACTGTAACCCGAGCAGTGTACACTGTACCCAAGTGTAGTCTTTTATCCCTCACCCCCTCCCACCCTTCCCACCAAGTCTCCAAAGTTCCTTATATCATTCTTATGCCTTTGCATCTTCATAGCTTAGTTCTTACTTATAAGTGAGAACATAAGATAATTAGTTTTTCATTCCTGAGATAATTCACTTAGAATAATGATCTCCAACTCCATCCAGCTTGCTGCAGATGCCATTATTTCATTCCTTTTTATGGCTGAGTAGTATTCCATGGTATATATATACCACATTTTCTTTATTCAGTTGTTGGTTGATGGGCATTTAGGCCCAACTTAGTTCGTTAGTTAGAATACTTATGGTTTTCTATATAAAGAGTCAACTTTTAAAATATTTATAAACTGGGAGAGTGAAACTAAGAAGATAAATTACAGATAGTAAAAGCTATAAACTGGTCGTCTTTTTTGTTTGTTTGTTTGTTTGTTTGAGATGGAGTCTTGCTGTGTCACCCAGGCTGGAGTGCAGTGGCCCGATCTCTGCTCACTGCACCCTCCGCCTCCTGGGTTCAAGTGATTCCCCTGCCTCAACCTCCCGACTAGCTAGGATTACAGGCACCCACCACCATGCCCAGCTAATTTTTGTATTTTTAGTAGAGACGGGGTCTTACCATATTGGTCAGGCTGGTCTCGAACTCCTGACCTCAGGTGATCCACCTGCCTCGGCCTCCCAATAAACTGGTCATCTTAATACATCATTGAGCCAGTTATCTCTGCTACTCATTAACATTTCTGGCAGCAGTAGGGTAGCTTTCACATAGGGTATAGAATTTTTATCAGAGGTGAAGAGAGGTCTTATTGTATTGACTCAGGGAAGTTAAATATAGCAACATTTGTTCTAGTCTGTTTTAGGAGCAGTTTTTCCTAAGTGCTTTATAGATAGCCTGTCATTTTTGCAACAGACCATGATGTCAGGACCAAGGAGGGTTTTGATAGAAATGACACAGCATGATTTGCATTTTTAAAAGGTCACTTTGTCCGGTGTGTGGGGATTACTTTTTCCTTTGGTACCATGATCTTCCTGTGAAATGGCCTCTGTTTTGAAACCAGAAGCACAATGCTTACTCCTTGAAGGGACGGCAATGTGTATAGTACAGTAGTTTTCAAGTTGTGTTTTGCAGTTTTTGGTATTTCATTGAGAAGTACTTTGCAGAGGAGAAAGAATATTGGAGGACTGTGAGTCTTCTTCCCTCACCTCTATCAAAGCATCTCTGGTTTCAGCACCTTCATTTATGAGGGTTCCATAAGGTATCTCTTAAATTACACAAACACAAACACACACAATTTATACACACACATTATACATATATGTGTGTATATAGTTATACAGACATATATATATTTATATATACAAACATGTATATATGAATATATATATACACAAATACATATTTTCAAATGTTC
The DNA here is from genome assembly GCF_000001405.40 of Homo sapiens. Classification (NCBI taxonomy): domain Eukaryota; kingdom Metazoa; phylum Chordata; class Mammalia; order Primates; family Hominidae; genus Homo; species Homo sapiens. The sequence continues at coordinate 44,974,196 of NC_000006.12, read as the reverse complement.
ACATACACCTACCCCACCCAGCATATACACACGTAGCCAAACCCCTTTTGTAGTAAAAAGAGCATAAACTTTAGAGTAAGACAGATCTCATTTCAGATTGCAGCACACATTGCTTAGCAACCTTGGACAAGTTACCTAATATATGTGAGCCATAGCAGGAAGACTCATTAGGAGTCTGTTATAGCAATTGATACAGTTTGGCTGTGTCCCCACCCAAATCTCATCTGGAATTGTAGTTCCCATAATCCTCACGTGTCGTGGGAGGGACCTGGTGGAAGGTAATTGAATTATGGGGGCTGTTACCTCCATGCTGTTTTCATGGTAGTAAGTGAGTTCTCAGGAGATCTGATGGTTTTATAAGGGGCTTCTCCTCTTTGCTGCCACCATGTGAAGAAGGATGTATTTGCTTCCCCTTCTGCCATGATTGTAAGTTTCCTGAGACCTCCCCAGCCCTGCAGAACTGTGAGTCAATTAAACCATTTTCCTTTATAAATTACCCAATCTCTGGTATGTCTTTATTAGCAGTGTGAAAACAGATTAATATAGGAAATTGGTACCAGGTAGTGGTGTGCTGCTGTAAAAATACCTGAAAATGTGGAAGTGACTTTGGAAGTTGGTAACAGGCCAAGGTCGGAACAGTTTGGAGGCCTCAGAAGAAGACAGGAAAATATGGGAAAGTCTGAAACTTCCTAGAGACTTGGAGGGCTCAGGAGACATGAAGATGTAGGAAAGTTTGGAAATTCCTACAGACTTGTTGAATGGCTTTGACCAAAATGCTGACAGTAATGTAAACAATGAAGTCCAGGCTAAGGTGGTCCCAGATGGAGATGAGGAAGTTGTTGGGAACTAAAATAATGGTGACTCTTGCTGTGTTTTAGCAAAGAGACTGGCAGCATTTTTTCCCTGCCCTAGAGGTCTGTGGAACTTTGAACTGGGGAGAGATGATTTAGGGTATATAGCAGAAGAAATTTTTAAGCAACAAGTCATTCAAGAGGTTCCTTGGGTGCTGTAAAAAGTATTCAGTTTTATGTATTTACAGAGACACTTTGGAATTGGAACTTATGTTTAAAAGGGAACCAGAGCATAAAACTTTGGAAAATTTGCAGCCTCGTGATATGATAGAAAAGATAAACCTATTTTCTGAGAAGAAACTCAAGCCTGCTGCAGAAATTTGCATAAATAATGAGGAGCAAAATGTTAATTGCCAAAACAGGGGAAAATGTCTCCAAGGCATGTCAGAGGTCTTCACGGCAACCCCTCCCATCACAGGCCCAGAGGCGTAGGAGGAAAAAATGGTTTCATGAGTCAGGCCCAGGGCCTTGCTGCTTTGTGCAGTTTTGGGAATTGGTGCCCTGTGTCCCAGCATGGCTAAAAGAGTTGTGGCTTCAGAGGGTGCAAGTCCCAAGCCTTGGCAGCTTCCACATGGTGTTGAGTCTGTGGGAGCAAAGAAGTCTAGAATTGAGGTTTGGGAACCTCCACCTAGACTTCACAGGATGTATGGAAACACCTGGATGTCTAGGCAGGGGTGTGTTGCCGGGGCAGAGCCCTCCTGGAAAACCTCTACTAGGGCAGTGCAGAAAGGAAATGTGGGGTTGGAGCCACCACACAGGTCCCTACTGGGGCACTGCCTAGTAGAGCTGTAAAAGGGCCACCATTCTCCAGATCGCAGAATGGTAGATCCACTGACAGCTTGCACTGTGTTCCTGGAAAAGCCGCAGATACTCAACACCAGCCCATGAAAGCATCTGGGAGGGGAGCTGTGCCCTACAAAGCCACAGGGGCGTAGCTGACAAGAGGCCCTGGGACCCCACCTCTCTTGAATCCGTGCGACCTGGATATGAGACATGGAGTCAAAAGAGATCATTTTGGAGTTTTAAGATTTGACTGCCCCACTGGATTTTGGACTTATGTGGGGCCTGTAACCCCTTCATTTTGGCCAATTTCTCCCATTTAGAATGGGTATGTTTACCCAATGCCTGTACCACCATTGTATCTAGGAAGTAACTAACTTGTCTTTGATTTTACAGGCTTGTAAGTGGAAGGGACTGGTCTTGTCTCAGATGAGACTTTGGACTTGGACTTTTGGGTTAATGCTGGAATGAGTTAAGACTTTGGGGGATGTTGGCTGGGCGCAGTGGCTCATGCCTGTAATCCCAGCACTTTGGGAGGCCGAGGTGGACAGATCACAAGGTCAGGAGATAGAGACCATCCTGGCTAACATGGTGAAACCCCGTCTCTACTAAAAATACAAAAAAAATTAGCCGGGTGTGGTGGCAGGCGCCTGTTGTCCCAGCTACTCGGGATGCTGAGGCAGGAGAATGGCATGAACCCAGGAGGCGGAGCTTGCAGTGAGCCGAGATTGCACCACTGCACTCCAGCCTGGGCGACAGAGTGAGACTCCGTCTCAAGAAAAAACAAACAGGCAAAAAAGACTTTGGGGGATGTTGGGAAGGCATGATTGGTTTTGAAATGTGAGGACATGAGATCTGGGAGGAGCTGGGATGGAATTAATATGGTTTGGCTGTGTCCCCACTCAAATCTCATCTTGAATTGTAGTTCCCATAATCCCCATGTGTCATGGGAAGGACCCATTGGGAGGTCATTGAATCATGGGGGGCAGTTACCCCCATGCTTCTGTTCTCATCATAGTGAGTGAGTTCTCAGGAGATCTGATGTTTTTATAAGGGGCTTTTCCTCCTTTTGCTTGGCACTTCTCCTTCCTGCCATCACGTGAAGAAGGATGTGTTTGCTTCCCCTTCTGCCATGATTGTAAGTTTCCTGAGGCCTCCCCAGTTCTGTGGAAATGTGAGTCAGTTAAACTTCTTTCCTTTATAAATTACCCAGTCTCAGGCAGTCCTTTATAGCAGCATGAGAACAAACTAATAGAGCAATCCAGAGGAGAGTTGATGATGGTGGCTTGGACTAGAGTAGTATCAGTGACCCTAGAAGGTGATGAAAGTGGTTTATTTTAGTTGTATTTTAAAGATAGAGCTGATTGAAAATGCTTAGAGGGAATTAACTGATGACTTAATCTGCAATAAAAATTTTTATTTTCACATGTTTAGAAAAAGTCCTTACTGAAAAAACTAAGATAAATCACATAGTAGCAACAAAGGGAGATTGCAAGCAGGGCTCCTTTGTTCTTTACAGAATTCTGTGTATCCTTGGGGAGGATGGTGAGAGCCATGCTGCACTGACAGGCTTCCCTTTTCACAAGATTTTACCTTAAAGATGCTAGACTTTTATTCTATGTAAGTAAAGCCAGACTCCATAAAGTGTGCATATTTGACTACTTGAGAATTTGATCTTGCCTAAACCAAGATGGAAAGATCTGCAGTTCTAACTCAGGATTAAAGAGAAAGTATGAACTAAATTTTATGAATTAATGGCTTTATATATTTTTCAGGCAGTATTCTAAAGTTTTACCCAAAATGACCAAAATATTTAACCATATCCCTATATGCTTGCTGTACTGTAAAGCCTTTCAGCTCATCTAGATATTATGTAAACCTCTGAGAATTTTTAAGAATGTTATTCAAAATGCCTGAAGATTTTATACATATTAAACTAGCATGTTCACTTTTTTATATATAGCCAAATAAAAATCACCAAAAAAAAAAAAGGGTTGTAACATCCTTAATCAGGAAAACAAAAAGTCAAAGTCAGTGTTCTATTACTTAAAAGAAATAGTTTGGGCAGAAACTCACATGGCTTTTTATGTTATTTGCCAACCGAGTTATTCCAGAGCATATTTACAATTTTAAGGAAACATTAGCAAAAATTGGTACTAACACTAAACACTGGGATTTACAACTTGACAGGTAATTAGGTTGTATGGCACTAGGTTGTTTTAAAATGATACTTTTCTTAACACACATTTTATCCCAAGATGGGAAATATTTTATTACATATGGTTTTTTTCCCCATTACTGGCTTAATAAATTTAGATTAAAAATTTTTAATGGGCATTAAAACATTTTTAAATTTATTAGTTTGATTTTAATAACTACATTTTTCATTATATAACCAATTAATGCCCACTCTTGATAGTTTAAAATGTATGAAAAAGGTAAAGCTCCTATGATGACATTAATTAATATATTTAGACCCATAGGATATAGATAAAAAAAACTGAATTCAATATTTTGAAACAACTCTATTATGTCATAGTAGCACAAATATCTTTTTGTGTGTTTCTCAATCACTGATGCTTTGTACTTGCTGAGGATTACTCACTTTCAGCACAAAATTTCTTTTAAATCCTTTGAATCTTCTAGGGTCTACAGCTCTTTCTTTAGGAAACTTCATATAATTACTGTAAGACATTCTTAATACCTTGGACATGTAAAATTGGTATATTATGAATGCCACTCTGGGGAAACAAATTAGCACCACTGGAAACCTATTTTTTAAGGCTGTGATATAGAAAATATACTGCATTTCTATTCAAGTCGATGTAATTCAGTGAAAATTGCAGGTCAAACCTAAATGAACTTTTGGTTTCTACTTCATCAGTCAGGATTCTGAGTCGGTCCCTTAAATATTGCATGACGTTCTCCTTTGTGTGCGTATGTGTGTTTTTGTTTTTTGATTTTTTTTCTAAAAACATATATTCAAGCCTCTGCTGTTTCTCTGTGATTTTCTGCCTCTTGGGTAACTGCTTTGATTATTTTTATGTGTGCACAGTTAATGACTTCCTGTAAGTCAAGTAAAATTAACTCAAGAGGAAAGAAGATTTCTTTACTTTTGAAATGCTTTTTCTGTTTGTAATTCACTGTTAAAAAAAAAAATTACTGAAATGTGTCACTGAAAAGTTAAAGTTACCTATAATTTCACCTCCAGAGATAAATACTATCAAAAGTATAATGTATATGCTTCCAGACTTTCCGTGTATTTGCAGACATACACGTGCATATGTGTGTGTATGTTCAAACATAAATGGAATTAAGGTACATGCATTCTAGTATGCAACTTGATTTTTCCATTAATAATACATTCCTGCAGCTAATCTTTGAGGAGAGACAAAAGTAGCACACATGGGAAAGTGCAGGAAGGGGTATAATACTATCTAGAAGAACAAATAATTTCAGAAGAGAGAAATCAGTGTAAACTGGACAAACTTCCCAGAGGAGGTGGGACCTACGCAAGACCTTGAAGAAAGGGAATGATTTAAATGACCCTGAAGATGGGGAGGGGTGGCCAGCACAGTAATGGGGGAGTGGCAGGGTGGCAGCAGTACATGGCACATATGACAAAGGGTGACCTAACTAAAAACAAAGAATAAATTTGGTTTTAGTGAGAACAATGTGTGCTGAGGTAGAATGGCCGAGATTATGTCTGTAATTAGAAGTCAGGCATTTGAGCTTAAATTTGATGCAGTGCTTAGTTTAGAGCCATTTGTTTATGAGTCAGAGAAAAGAAAGTGATGTGGGGACACAGGACAGCCTACTACAGTGAATCTTACAATGTACGAGGGCCTTTTCTCCATGTTTTTATTTAAAATACTAGTATGCAGGATAGGTTGGGAGAGGAAAGGTCTGTGAAAGCTAGGAAGCTGTTGCAATACCCCAGGACCAAAATGATGACTTTTGCAGTGGAATAAAAAGAAAGGGTGCTTTACCATGTGTTTTGAGGGAGGCTTACTTAGCTTTTGGGTAAGGAGTCTACCAAATTACAAACTGACCCAGCAAGCAGAATGAGCACTCACTGGGGTACTGGATTGCCTCTGCAACCATCCCAGTAAATCCTTTAACCTTTCTGGACCTCAGCTTCTTTACCTACAGTGAGTTAGAGATATGGTTTCTTCGGCATTTTGTGGTATTTACTGACTTGTTAATATTATCCTTCTGCAAGTGGACCACGTTATACATATATAAACATGCATACACATTTCATAATTTACATGTTGCCGCATTGCTGAATGCTGCTGCCAACCACTCCATTTGAAGTTTTCAAGTTCAACAACCAATGCCTATTGAACATGAGATTGTTGGTAGATTACCATTTTAGTAAAAGGCATTTTGCCTTTTCCATGCAAAAAGGACTCTGCATTTCAATTGTAAGACTTTTAAGAGTAATCAGAATAAGATTAAAAAAAATTTTTTGGCCAGGTGCAGTGGCTCATGCCTGTAATCCCAGCACTTTGGGAGGCCGAGGCAGGAGGATCACTTGAGGCCAGGAATTCAAGACCAGCCTGGGCAATTTTATAGAGATCTCATCTCTATAAAAATAAGAAAACAATTTGCCAGGCCTGATGGCACACACCTGTAGTCCCAGCTACCCAGGAGGCTGAGGCAGGAGGCTCACTTAAACTGGGGAGGTTGAGGCTGAAGTAAGCCATGATGGTGTCACTGCACACCAGCCTGGGTGACAGAGCAAGACCCTGTCTCAAAAAAGAAATGAAAAAAATGTTGAAGTAGAAGTGAGAGCAGATACTCTCATCTTGGTTTGAAAGTTATGCTCTGTGTTTTTGTGTTGCTGAAGAAAGTTAAATGCCATGTGCCTTGAGAAGCTGCCAAGAGATATGCCAGCACATAGCTTCCATAACCTTTAAAAATGCTTCAGTGAGAGCACATGGAATTTAAATGCAACTGCATGCTGCATAAGTAATCCAGCCTTACACCTCAAAGTGGTATAGACAGGGCAAATGATGATTGTCCGTACTGAAAGTATTTTTCAAAGGCACAATCAACTTCACATTAATTGAAATAAAAACTTTTCACTGAAAATTCAGATTAACAAATATGTACCGAGAGTTTGTTGTATTCACGATATTGAACAAACAAATTATACTAGGCACTGTATCTGTAGGGATATTAGCATTTCTGTTTTCATTTAAGTAGGACGCAGAAAGTGAGTTCATCTAGCATAAAAGTCTGCCTTCTCTGTATGTTTTACAATAACAAGAAAATGCTGTAACTTCCCGGTAGTGAGAAAAGCAACTAGTCACCAACTATTCTGTTTTACCTTTTTAAAAAGCTATTTCAATTAAATTTTAAAATACTGTTGAGTATTTGGAAAACTTTAGGAATAATTCTTTCACAAGTAGTTTCTCCACATTTGTGCCTATGTTATAATACTTAGCTATATTGTAATACTAGTAAGATTTAATTTCCTAAAATCCTCTAAGTATGTTGCATATTTTATGAATGTTCAAGAATGCTGTTGATGACACCTAAAGAAACCAGGGAGTGGGTGGAATTGACAGATTAAGCAGAAGACATACTGGACTTGCAGATACAAGAGTATGACTAATCCAAAGATGACCTTACATTCATGTGGCCGTCTGAGATAGGAGAGCATTGTGTAATTTGAGAATGTTCAGTATGAATAAAAGCCATGATAAATCATCTGTGATTATTCAGTGACTTTTATTTCAGAGATTTGTGTTTTCAGTGCCTTTGACAATGATATGATGTCTTTTTTGTTATAGTTTAATGACTATACGGAATAGCCAAAGTAAGTCTTTTAAAATTAAGTTTGCATTGTAATATTTAGTTCAAAAGAAACTAGAGCCTAAAGGGAGTACAACCTTCATTACAAGTAATATGATCTAGAATAGTAACTGTTTTCTGAGAAACTTTGTATACCTTAGAGGTAGGTATTTAGGACCCAAGTTTTACTTCTAGTTTTGCCTCTTTATTAACTGTATGCTTTTAAAGTTTTCCTTTAAGTTCTCTAAATCAGTGTCTTCATTTGTAAAATGAAACTAATAAAACTGCTTACTCTTTATTGAGATGGTTTTACTTTATAAATATTTTAAATATGTAAATAAATATAAATATTTTATAAATTTTATTTTATAAAACCATCTCAAAGAATAAGCAGTTTTATTAGTTTCATTTTAAAAATAAAAAAAATTATGTTCATTTTAAAAATAAAACCATCTCAGTAAAGAGTAAGCATTATTCTGATCATGATGTTTTACTAGGCTTATGATATTGTCCCCTTGAATCTTTTTCCAAAGATTTCTTAAAGGAATAGAAAAGGACTGCCAGTGTATACTTTAGTATGGATCAGAATGGGTGATCTGAATAGAGGCAGAGGAGAAGGTAGAATTAGGGCACCACAGAAAATAAGAGCCACACTTATTTAATATTTGACCACTGTCTTGATTTTTTTAATGGATTTTTGTCTTTAAAACTGCCTTGTCTCCCTGGGATTTGTAAAATTGGATTACAGTTTGATCCTAATTCTTACAGTTTCTGGTCTTAGGCCGGTCAACACGTACTTAAACGCATTTCTTTTGTCCTAGTCCATCCATTCATCTGTCCCTTGATTCAGCTAGTGAGGCCCAGGCAAATCCAAGCAAAGCATTGCCTCAGCACTCTAGAAGAGCAGCACGGTTCCTGTATTTGGAGAACATACAGTTCATGAAAGTTAGATATTTACTCCCTTTCTCAGTATTTAAGATGATAGTGGAAGGACAGGAGAAAATATAATACTCAGATGTTGAATTATTTGGATCATATGGCCAAAATTTGTTCCTTTTTTTTTGTATCTTTGAAACAATTCTGGGGGAAGAGAGGAATAAACAAAAATTAGGTGATAAGCATATCCAAATCATCTTCATCATTGGCCAAAATTTGTTCCATTTTTTTTTTAAACAATTCAGGGGAAGAGAGAGGAATAAACAAAAATTAGGTGATAAGCATATCCAGATCATCTTCATCATCCTCAAATCCAAGTCAGTGCATATATAGCTCAAAGAATCTCTGATTTCATGAACTCCCTTGACTATGCTGTGAATACCATTCATGTGTTATATCATATAATATTCAAGGACATTAGTATTAGTACAGTGCTTCCAGTCTTTCTCACATCATGGCACACATAGAAAATGATAATATTTTTATCACCCACCAAGGTAAATGGACAAGGCAGCTGGTAGCAGATACCAGCCTAGGGGTTCTGCTGCCTCAGCTTCGTTCAGCATCCAGAGAGTGAATGGAATCAGTATCTCTACACACCTGTGATGTGCTTGCACTATCAGATACACTACAGTTTCTACACTCTTCATTAGATTACCCCCAGCTTGTACGTCATTTGCTGACCCAGGGCCTCGCTAATTTCTTTTTCTTAAGAATAGTTTGAGCATGTTAATTGTAGGAGCTACATGACATGTTTTAGTAAGACAATATATGAAATTTAGAGCATCCCAAAGGAAAACATTGGAATAAAAAATTACCATTAGTTGAAGACAGCTTTTTATAATGAAAATAGGCTGACTTAGGAATTGGGAGTCCTGAGCTTGAATTCTAACTTAGTCCACCTTTGACAAATCACTTCTCTGAGCCTCAATTCCCTTTGAATTGAAGAGATTTGAACAAGATAAACTTTAAGCTGCCTTCTATCTCTAAGCCATGATTTTGTATTGTCTATAAGTCTTTGCTGTTGAGTCAGCTGCTTTGCGTGGAGTGTTTCCTGTGTGCTAGGCACTGGATAAATGGCTTCTTATATATACCCTAGGGTCAGATTTGTGGGGCTCCTCAGATCAAAGTTTACTGCTTCGATGCTGGAGGAATTAAAAAAGAACTAGGATGCTTAATGAAGAAAAGAGAATAGGCATTGGAGAGGGTGTCTGAAAGGAATGAAGCTTGCCATAATTTAGTCTTTCACATGTTTATGGATATCTTTGAAATATTGTAGCTGGCAATCCTGGCAACCTTAACCTCTGACGACAAATTTTGCTACCTCTCATTTCTAGAAACACTTATTGCGAATACATCAGCTATGTAAGCATATATGCAGAGGCCAAATCTTGGTTGTCCAACTTGGTGGAAGAAAAAGTTAGTGTTAAGAATCCCTTTAGGAACATTCTTTTTCCATAGTTATCCAAATCTTTTCTGTCCAGCCATTTATTGGTTGGAGGAGGCTACCAAGCTGGAGAGCAGCAGAGATGGTATGTAGGAATCATTAGATAATCATTCTCGATCTAGTTTCATTATGGTGATAGTCATTTGCCCTGTGGAATAAAACAGTCGCATTTGTTCATCCAACAAATGTTTATTGCTTATTTACCATGTGTCAGATATTTTCCTAGGAGCTAGAAATTCAAACGTGAGTAGTTCCTGCTATAGTGAGACACAGACAAACAGATATATATACACAAACATACGTACATAGATACAAATTAACGTTAGTATTATCAGTCTTAGAGAGTTTATTTAAATAAACACATTAACAATTTTTTTTTTTTTGAAACGGAGTCTCCCTCTGTTTCCCAGGGTGGAGTGCAGTGGCGTGATCTTGGCTCACTACAACCTCTGCCTCCCGAGTTCAAGCGATTCTCCTGCCTCAGCCTCCGAGTAGCTGGGACTACAGCCGCATGCAACCACACCCGGCTAATATTTTATATTTTTAGTAGAGATGGGGTTTCACCGTGTTAGCCAGGATGGTCTCAATCTCCTGACCTCATGATCCACCCGCCTCAGCCTTCGAAAGTGCTGGGATTATAGGCATGAGCCACCGTGCCCAGCTGCAACTTTTTTTGTAATGTTCAAAACACATAAATAAATTCTCCCTTTCTTGCTTCCTATTTTCATCAGGAAACATTTATTGAGTCATGTGTCAGATACATTAAAAAGAGGGCTAAAACTAGATCATGCATTTAAATATCAAAAAATACTTCCAAGTAAATAAAAATTAACCCAATAATATACTCTTAAGGAGACGTGGTTGTGTGGTTGTTTGTTTGTTTGTTTGTTTGAGACGGAGTCTCACTCTGTCACCCAGGCTGGTGTGCAGTGGCGTGATCTCAGCTCACTGCAACCTCCACCTCCCAGGTTCAAGCAATTCTCCTGCCTCAGCCTTCCAAGTAGCTGGGATTACAGACCCATGTCCAGCTAATTTTTGTATTTTTAGTAGAGACAGGGTTTTGCCATGTTGGCCAGGCTGATCTCGAACTGCTGCCTTCAAGTGATCCACCTGCCTGGACCTCCCAAGTGCTGGGATTACAGGCGTGAGCCACCACACCCAGCCGAGACGTGATATTTCTGACACATGCACAAGAAGATGTTTACATACATATATACATATATGTGTGTTTGTGTATATATATAAAAAAAGAAATTTATGTGTATATGTGTACATATATAATTTATATATTTATCTTTATATGTGTATATATATACACATACATATATACATTATATGTGTATATATATAAAATGTTTGTATATGCCCAAAAAGTATACTTGAACCTAGTGGGTAAATAACCAAGATAGACTTGGATTTGTGAGTATGTGGATGTGTGGGAGGTAAGGAATGAAGGAAGGGAGAGAGGGAGAGAAAGAAAAAAGGGAGACAGAAAATAAGGAAGGGGAAAAACAGTCATTGGTCTTAGAAGGAACCACGGTAGTGACTAGTAATTTTTACCTTAACTCCTACTGCCCCATCTATATTCTCTATTAAGCTCCAGTTAGTACACCATTATTCATTCCATCAACTGACCTATCATTGGAATTGACTACTCACACAAATAAAAGAAAAAAGAATAATTTCTATTTCAAAAATACAAAAACATCCACAGACATTAGAAGAAATGGTACTTATGTGCTCTGACAACGATGGTAAAGGTAACTTGCTGAAAGTTCTTCCACAACAGAAAAAAAAAATTAAATCTCAGGGATTTTTTTTTTTCTTCGCTGGGCAGAAATTCATTCCAAGAAGTACCAGCCTGTCTCATTTCAAAATGCTCTCCTTACCAAGGAAGCGGAAGTGGTCATATTCTTTCCCACCAAACTATGGATGAATTATAATTATCCTACCTCTTGTGGGACAGTGAAGCAGTAAACATCTGCTATACTGAATCAAAAACTCCACAAATGAAACTATACCAAATGAATCATACCTGGACTCAGATTAAAGGATCTGTATTGTGTTTACCTTTTTCTTTATTTTCTTGCAATCTAAAATATGGATTTGTCAACTGTGGCCCCAGATTCTGACTGAAAGGGAATATATGGATTCCATTCACTGATTCTTGTTTAACATTGAACATCACAGCTTTAAAGCAGATTGACAATAATATTTGTAACAGTTTTTCTGTTTGGTTTATTATTCCCTCATCATTTTCTTTTTCTTTAAAAGGATGATACAAGTCAGAAAATTTAGACGTGAGGTCCTTTAGTTTTAGTTTCAATAACAAAGGAGCAGAAAGTAATATTTAAACTTTATTTCCAAAAGACACCAGCTTCACAACTAGTGTTAGTTATTGTGATTTTATGTATCGTGATCTATGTGGTAGTACTACCCTGTTCACCTGGAATAAGGAAAGGAAAATGGTACTTCAATTCTAAGTTTAAGCTGTGAAAACATATATAATAATCTGCTTGCTTTAAAAAATGTTATGTATTTTTATCTTTTAGAGAGCAGAAAGACAAACTCGAATTATGGATTCAGCTCAATATGCAGAATTCTGTGAAAGTCGACAATTAAGTTTCTGTAAGTAACTATTTAACTTTGCTTAATTATATGCATAAGAGATTTGTGTTATAGATGTACTAAAGTATGACAGGATCTGTTTCTTAGAAATTGGTGGATTTAATATATGTGTAGTTGTAAGTGCTATACAAACAACGTCTACATTGTGGGGAGCCTATAAATGATTTTCCTACATTCTACTGCTTTGCAGTTAATAACATTAAGAGGTCTTAAGTGGTGCTGGTAATATACAGAGTGCTATGGTAATTATTTACAGTACTTTTAATCATAAAAATTCCATTGTCTTAGTATTTCCATTTTAATTTCTAGTTTCCTAGTCATATTTACACTAGTATTTCTGATTGCATTTGATCCGTAATGGACTCTAATAGTAGTCATGACATTTAAAGGACCCTAATATTAATTATTTTCCTTTATGTATACTCATTACCACAAAGGAACATATCACTGGTCTCTTCCATTTTTGTCTAACCTCCTACCGTGGCATGTATTCAGTGTTAGCCAAATTTATTAGTACATGCTCTAGTAACACTAGTAACCTCGTGGTAAAATTAGTACTTTCACATCACTGCACATCAGCTTATTGAAAGTGTATAATGACTCGTAATAGTGAGCTAGATTGTGTAGCAAAACATCCTTACAGCAAAGTTTCAGTTGTGACTAAGGCTCTCGGGGTAAAGGTCAAAGAAGAAAGTGTGATGAAAAGTCCAGTCAAAAATATGACAAAGTAGCACATGACCATGGTCTGAGGGATTATAGAAACAATGGTGTCTTTAAATGGAAAGCTATTATGTGGTCCCAATAACAGCATATTTGATTTGGAAAAAGAAAGGGAGAGCTTCATTTATAGATTATAAAGTGCAAATAAATGACACATTGCATAGTATCCCATGTAAATGTCAGTAAAATATAGGAAAACATGTTTTGGAAGATTTTTTTTTTCTGACTAAATATACTTTCCAATTTGACTAACAACTTGGCATCATACATCTGTGAAGCATTAAGTAAATGGCACTTCAGATCATGGCAATTTCAGCAAATGAAAGGTTTTGTATTGTAATTTTTAGGTTTAAAAATGGCATTCAAGTCTTTATAAGTATCAACCTCCAGTTTATAAAGTAACATTTAGTGCAATTGAACTATTTTTTTAAATTATATTTTAAATTTAATTCACTTAAAGGAACAGACATACTACTTTCACACTGAAACTCATAATCTTAAAGTCTCCTAATATGCCTTCTCTTTGAAAATCAGATTTTCAGTTACTTCATGTTTTTTTGTTTGTTTGTTTTTGTTTGTTTTGTTTTGCTTTTGTTCTTTTTTTTTTTTTTTTGAGATGGAATCTCACTCTGTTGCCCAGTCTGGAGTGCAGTGGTGCGATCTCGGCTCACTGCAGCCTCCTCCTCCTCCTCCTCCTCCTGGGTTCAAGTGATTCTCCTTGCCTCAACCTCCTGAGTAGCTGGGACTACAGGCGTGCACCACCACACCCAGCTAATTTTTGTATTTTTAATAGACACGGGGTTTCACTATGTTGGCCAGGGTGGTCTTGAACTCCTGACCTCAGGTGAGCCACTGTGCCCGGCCCATGTTTTGTTTTTAACTCAATAATAAACTATAGTAGATTAAAAAATAATATTTTCCCTTTCTGTATAAAATAACTATAGTATAAACAGTGTATTATGTTTAATTTTCTTTTCTTTAGAGTGGAAGGACTTGGTCATTTAAAACTATTTATATATGGTGCCCATAGGTGTTTTATTATGAAACCTTGGTGGGGAAATCTGTTTTATATGGCAAAATACTGTGGTTGAGAATGCTTTAATCCACGTGGGTCAGCAAATTCAGAAGCTATTCCTGCACTCGTCAGAGTGTTATGCTCTTTTCATTCTTCTCCTTCTAATAAATTACCAAGATACAGGAATTGTGGTCCTGCCATATGTATCTTCTTAAGTATTTGATCATAGCCATCCCTGGAATTACTGGTACATTTTAAAATAATGAGTCTGTAACTTTATAGGCTGAGGGTAAGCTGTAGCATCGGCACACTAATCTAATTCACAATTCAGTCTTTTGTTTTCATATGTATATAAGTCAGAGAGTTATTTCTCTTAAAGTCTTTTAAAATCTGATATTAATATTGACACACAAAGCTCATAATCATAAAGAATAATTTATAATAATTTAAATCATTAAAATTTATAATCTATAATTAAAATGTATAATTGGTAAATTATTTTCCAGTCCTTTACTTTCAACTTTTTATTTTATATTTGGTTTTATCTAGATTTTGTTTGTAATCAGAGAGGCTCTGTGTATTTTAATTGATTAATTTATATGGATTTAATTACTGATATTGTATATGCTGTCTTGTGTTTTAAATTTCTGTGCTTTTTAATTTGCTTTTTCTCCTCCTTTTCTATGTTGTATTAGATTGATTGGGTTTTCTTCATTTCTTTTTCCTCTGCAAGTTTGTAAGTCCTATATTCTCTTTGTACTATTTCAGTTGCTATCTTTTTTTTGATATACATCCATGACGTAAAGTTTTTAAAATTGTTAAATATTTGGCTAGGCACGGTGGCTCACGCCTGTAATCCTAGTGCTTTGGGAGACCGAGGCAGGTGGATCACCTAAGGTCAGGAGTTAGAGACCAGCCTGACCAACATGGTGAAACCCTGTCTCTACTAAAAATACAAACAAACAAACAAACAAACAAGCCAGGCGTGGTGGTGCATGCCTGTAATCCCAGCTACTTGGGAGGCCAAGGCAGGAGAGTCACTAGAACCCGGGAGGTGGAGGTTGCAGTGAGCCGAGATCGCGCCATTGCACTATCAGCCTGGGGGACAGGGTGAGACTCGTCTCAAAAAAAAAAAAAAAAAAAAACCATTGATAAGTACTTAAACTTTCCTTCTTGGCCTAATGTCATTTTTTCCTACAGCTCTGTACAAGCTTAAAAACACCCATTTTTTTTTCTTAAATGTCTTTATTTTGCCCCCATACTTAAATGATTGTTTAGTTGGGTAGGAAATGGTAAGCTGATAGTTAACTTGTTAAGACATGATTCCCTTGTCTTTTGGCCCCTGTTGTTGGTAGAAGTTTGCTGTCAGTCTACTTATTATGTATGTTTCCTGTGGAAGAAACTAAGAGAATGAAGACATTGACGCCAGGTCCCCCCTTATATGGGGAAATGAACACACTGGCCCAAGTAGTTGCCCATAAATATGTATAAAGGAAAGGAATAAGGAACTCCTGCTAGGGAAGTTTCCAGGGAAAACCATGCCCTCTGAAGAAGGCTATTTTCAATTAGGTTGAAGTTGCAAAGTAGTTTCTTCTGAGTGGAATGAGCATTCCAGAGGACCCTAAGGAAAGGACTGGGAATGGAAAGACTGTTGGGAAGGGATGGGATAGAAATCACTGAATAGTATGCAGGCATGAGAGAATGGAATATTGCAAGAAACTTAAATTTTGTTAGTGATCATTGATAAGAAAGATAAAAAGTATGTGAGATTAACCTTAAATTTCCATATGAAATTATCATGTAAAATTGCTTTTTAAGTTCAGCGCAGGCTGAAAATCCAGGTAGTATTACAATGCTAATAATCCTAGGAACTTTTGACCATTGCTCAGGATTCTGTTTGTTAGTCAATTTCCAGGTTATCGTTTCTCCTGATACGTTGGGAAGAGGGGCGAAGGAGAAGGAACTTGTTTATTCTGAGGCCCCTCTCACCTCTTGATGAAAACAAACTGTCTTAACTACAGGTATCTGTGCCTCTTTTGCTGGAACCAACAATACCTTGGAAGGGTGAGGCTCTAAAGCCATCCTTCTCCACATGACAGGGAAGGAATTAGCTCTCAAAGAATCTCCACCACTTGGTGGAACAGCAATAACCCAAGTGGTTTTTGGACTTCTATGCATGTCTTTTGATGAATAGAAAAGTTTGGACTCTACTCTTTTATTTAAAAAATACTTCATTCATTTATTCATTTCTTCTGGAAATATTTCTTGTGAGTCTGCTAATGCCAGGCAGTATTCTAGGTGCTAGGGATACAGTTGGAGATATATGGTCCTTGTCCCTGCATTCTCGGTGGTTACAATCTAGCAAGGAAGCTAATTCTGTTATGTGGATAGATCCAACTGAATATTAATAATGATCCTTTCCCTCACTTTTAAAATCAACTGTTTAGAGCACAGTCACAAAATATCTGTTTCTGTCCTAAAGATCTGTCAAGGAGATAAGTGATTAATGTACATCTCATTGATCTTGCCAAATTGCTGCCTGTTAACTTTAACTTTAGAAGTATTCCACAGATGTTAAACAAGTGTTTGTGAGCTATCGCAGCATACTAGTTAGATGGAATGTTGCATGTCAGAAAGTATTTGGAAGATTTGTTACGTTGGGGAGATAGCTTTAAGGGGGATTATCATAATTCTGCCATATTTGACAGCTTTGGGTATATGCTTCGATAGCAGGACTTAATGTTTTCCATGATTTATTTAAAAGAGAACTCTTCTGTATGTGGAATCCTGAAGATTCTATATAGAAGGATCAAAATATCATGCTTTGAGTTACTATTAAGTGTTTTATAGACCCGTGGGGCCAGATTAATCAAAAGAATAATCAGTGGATTATAAAGAAAATCTTACAGATTTCATAAAATCTTCACTATCAATCTTTCCCTCTAGGTTACTAGTTAAATGAATAATGTCTAATGAAGTCCCTATATCAAATTAGACTGCTTAGCACTGTGGCAGTGTAGAGATATTTAACTAAAGGTTACATACGCGCTTGGTTCTGTATATGCTTGGTACTATTACACATGCAGAGACATAAGGCATGGTCTTCTCCCACAAAAATTTGTAATATGGCTTAAGAAATTATAAGCATTTGTGAAAGAATATCTGATGGTATCAGTGTTCAATAAATGGCTAGAGTAGGGAAGTATACCTTTGGCCTGTATGATCAAGATTCATATGAATGAAGAAGAGTGATGGCAGAGCATTCCATGGAAGGAAAGGAGTAGGAGTAGACACACAGAGGAAAAGACTCAAGGCCAGGTGATGGTTTAATAGGGAAATATCTTAAAGGCTGCTTGGAATCAGTCTGGATGGTTTTGAGTCAGGCTTAAGAATTTAGACATCTTCATAACCGGAAAAAATGTAACCACAGGCTTAGATTAGACCAGATGTCAGTTTATTTAACTTTAAATTTACAACTTTGAGCCATTCTGGTAATAGACACTTTTTTTTTTTTATTTTTATTTTTTTTTTTTATTTTTTTTTTTTTGAGACAGTTTCGCTCTTGTTGTGCAGTGGCGCCATCTCGGCTCACTGCAACCTCCACCTTCCGGTTTCAATCAATTCTCCTGCCTCAGCCTCACGAGTAGCTGGGACTACAGGCACGCACCACCACGCCCAGCTAATTTTTTGTATTTTTAGTAGAGATGGGGTTTCACCATGTTGGCCAGGATGGTCTCCATCTCTTGACCTCGTGATCTGCCCACCTTGGCCTTCCGAAGTGCTGGGATTACAGGCGTGAGCCACCGCGCCCGACCTAGACACTTTTTTTAAACGTATTTATTTAGTAGGTTTTTTGGGGAACCGGTGGTGTTTAGTTACATGAATCTTTTTTTTTTTTGAGACGGAGTCTCGCACTCGCCCAGGCTGGAGTGCAGTGGCTCCATCTCGGCTCACTGTAAGCTCCACCTCCCAGGTTCACACCATTCTCCTGCCTCAGCCTCCCAAGTAGCTGGGACTACAGGCACCCGCTACCATGCCTGGCTAATTTTTTTTGTATTTTTAGTAGAGACGGGGTTTCACCATATTAGCCAGGATGGTCTCGATCTCCTGACCTCGTGATCGGCCCGCGTCGGCCTCCCAAAGTGCTGGGATTACAGGCGTGAGCCACCGCGCCCAGCCTACATGAATCTTTAGTAGCAATTTCTGAGGTTTTGGTGCACCCATCACCCGAGCAGTGTGTATATTGTACCCAATGTGCAGTCTTTTATCCCTCACCCCCCTCCTACCCTTTCCCCTGAGTCCCCAAATTCCACTGTATCATTCTTATGCCTTTGCGTCCTCATAGTTTAGCTCTCAGTTATAAGTGAGAGTATAGGATATTTGGGTTGCCATGAGCTGGAGGCAGGGTTAGGCATGTCTGAGCTCAGACTCTTCTTGGGCGGGGCTTGCTGTGGCTGTTGTGGGGGATGAGGGTGTGGCTTCTAGAACAAGGGAGTTACCGTTGCCAGGGGCATTATGGCTGCCTCTGTTGCCCCACGCAGGTCGCCAGGGAAGTGGGGGAAAGCCAGCAGCCGCAGGCCTCACCCAGCTCCCATGCAGCCCACAGCCCGAAAGGCCGGTCTCACTCCACCATGCCCTCTGCCCGTAACAGCACCAACTTTATTTCCAGGCAGCTGGTGAGCAGGGCTGAGAACTTTCCCCAGGCTACCGGCTTCCTAGCTGAGAAAGCAAGCCTACTCACAGTTCCTCTGCGTCCCACAGAGCCTGCAGTGGTGATCCACCTCCTTCAAGGGGTCTGTGGCTCTTGGCTTTCCTGGTATATTCCTACGGTAGTTCTTGGAGCAAAAGTTCACAGTGTGGGTCTCCACGTGCTGCTCTACCCATCCAAGTGGGAGCTGCAAGTTAATCCTGCCTGCTATGTGCCATTTTCTTCTGAGACTAGAGAATATTTTTGAAAAATATTAGCAATAGTTTCTGTATGTTTCTTTTTTCATCACAGGTTCTTTCTTGCAAGATTTTCTTTCTATATGAGTAAATTAAGGTTACATCAGACAAGAACATCTTCTGACTTCTTGTTGTAACATGAGCGGTAGCCAATGGTAAATCTGACAGTGTGAGAAGTATTAAACATTAAATGCTTTAATATACTATGTCATATAGCATAGGTGTAAAATAAAAGACCCAAATACGTAAGAGAGTTGTTGAAAACAACCATTGTGTTGCCTTATAACTGAGAGTTAAAACTTGGATTTCTTGGGGCCAGAATATCTAGACATTAATTATGCATTTTATGTGCATTATTTTTTGTGTACAATTCTGAGTATACTTTTTTAATTTTGTGATAGTAATGTGCAGTATTAAAACACTTTAAAAATTAAAATTTCTGCACTTGTTTTTTTTAAATGGCCAGCCAAAAAAGCTTCCAAATTTCGAGACTGGTTGGACTGCAGCAGTATGGAGATAAAACCCAATGTTGTCGCAATGGAAATCTTAGCATATTTAGCGTATGAAACTGTGGCACAGGTAAGAATTCTAATCTGTCATATCGGGCCACACTGGCTGGTTTTTCTTTATCTCTGCCCATGATCAATTCTTCTTCTCCCTGCTGCTCTACCAGTAATAACAGCCATGAATTCTCTCCTGTGGCATTTACATCATTTTCTAAAATTTAGTTCAGTTATGTGTCTCTGCATCCTCAATTCAAGTGGATGCTAGGATAAAAAAGAGTTCTTGTACCTTTATCTTAATGAGAAATGGAATCCCTGCATGCTTTTTCTTGACATTGAACTCAAATCCACATCTGCCTTGTTTAGAGATTATTTTTGAGCTTTGAAAAACACCTTTCTACGTATGTGAGAATTTAGGAGTACTTACCAAATTCTGGGTCTGGAATCTCGCCCTCTAAAAGACTTTCTCAAGATGTGGTCTTTAGACCACAGGCATCAGCATCTCCTTGGTTCTTGTTTAAAATGCAAATTCTGGCCAGGCGCGGTGGCTCTTGCCTGTAATCCCAACACTTTGGGAGGCCGAGGTGGGTGGATCACCTGCAGTCAGGAGTTCAAGACCAGCTTGGCCAATATGGTGAAACCACATCTCTACTAATAATACCAAAAAAAAGTTAGCCGGGCATGGTGGCGGGCACCTGTAGTCCCAGCTACTCAGGAAGGCTGAGGCAGGAGAATCATTTGAACCTAGGAGGCCGAGGTTGCAGTGAGCTGAGGTCGCACCATTGCACTCCAGCCTGGGCAACAAGAGCGAAACTCCATTTCAAAAATTAATAAAATAAAATAAAATAAGCAAATTCCTAGACTATATGCTTAAAACAGACCTACTGAATTAGAATCTCTGGACTTAAAGCCCAGAAATTTGCACTAGTGACTGTGAAATAAATTTTGAGAACTACTCTCCTAAAAAGTCAGAATATATCATGACTAGGTCCATTCACCAGTCAATGAAAGTGTGTGCTCATGTCTACAATATAGATTTTTAGGCAAGCAGGATTATCAGTAACATTCAGAATGTATTGCTTTTAGGTTTGCCACTTCAGTGGCATTCATGATTATTTCTAGCTATGTGACTTTCATTCTTCTGGTCTTCTAGTTAGTGGATCTGGCTCTTCTTGTGAGGCAAGACATGGTAACCAAGGCAGGGGACCCCTTCAGCCATGCCATTTCTGCAACCTTCATTCAGTATCACAACTCTGCTGAGGTAAGTACAAAAAAAATCTGTCTTAAAACATTTGTGAATTTTGACACATATCTGGTATTTACATTAGTGATTCTTTAATAAAGATTATGCAGGAGTGTATAACCTTCAGTCAAAGAATCTTAATACATTAGACATTCAAATAAGTATTTAATTGAGCACCTACTGTGTGCCAGGCCCTGACAGTCCACTTAAGACAATGACTTTTTTCACGTTTTTCTTGCTTCACTTAGCTTTCCTACCCCTTCATTGAAAGGGATAGTTGCAAGGCATTTCTTATTTTTATGGGAGATGAAAAACTGGTTTAGGTAATGTTGGAAAAGTCATTTATTTCTTTGTGCTTCAAAAGATAAGAGGGTTATCATTATTATTCACAAAATAATCCCTGGCATTTATTGATAACTTTCCATTTCAGTTATTGATTCATCTCTAAAAATGATTTAAAGAAGCTTGTCTTCATTCATCTTGAGTTTTTAGATTGCCCCTACTATGTGAAAATTATATTCTTTTCTGATCTGGCTTTGCTATGGGAACCGTAAAGTTTTCTTTCCAATTTTAAGGCTCTGTATAATAACTGTGCACCACTTTTAGTATACAGAATCTCCTCTGTAAACAGCATCTACCTCAAAACCAGAAATGTATTGCAGTGTCTTGAATGTATTTGCCAATATTCGACCCTTTTCACTAACAAAAACAGCAGTTTCACGTAATTCAATCGAATATCCATAGATAAGACAGCAAGAAGGTTAAGTTCGCATCTACATGTAGAGTTGTGAAGTACGTTTTGGATCAAGTTGGTTGAAATATATAACCTGAAAATGGCTAAGCTCTGTTTTATAGCCATACCTTGATTACACATTTCTACTCCTTGTTAAATATCTATAGGCAAGGATAGTGGTTCAAATCATTTCTAAGAAGTAGTTGTAATCTTCTTTAGGTCACACACCCCTTTGAGAATCTGATGAAAACTATAAACCCTTTTTCTATAAACACATTCACAAATTTTGCCTACAGTTTCAGATTGTTCAGAGACATTCTGAAGCCATTCTATGGATCCAAGGGATCTGTGAACCCTATGGACCCTAGGTTTAAATTTCTCTGCTCTAGGATACATAGAAAATATGTTAACATATATGCCCATATAGCATCTTATTACAAACAAAAGGACAATTCAACATTTTCTTATGCCCCTTGGAAAATCAAATTGGCTTGGAAACCAAATAGGGATTAAAATGTTTATGCCCATTAAAAATCCATTTTTTTCTTAGAAAAGGTCATACATCATTATCAGTCAACATACAAAAGTCCCTAAAGCTTACTTAGTTGATTAATCACTATTTGTTTTCTTTATGTTACAAACCCAAATTATGATGTCAAAAAACCCCCTTTAAAATGTCTTTGATGTTTGTTCACTTTATGAATATGTGTATAAGTATGCTTTCCATTAACATCAGACAAATTTGTTATAACATTTCTAATTGAGAAAATTTACTGTGAACACAACGGGCCTAGTTTTCTTTTAACATTCAAGTGATTGCTTGCATGCCTAGGAAAACTCTTTATTTCCCCTCTTTTCTTGGTTCTCCAGGGTGGCCAAGCTGCCCTAGGCAACTGCTCAGCAACCGCAGCCGCTGTTCCCAGCTACCCAGCAGTTGAGAGGAATATCCTATATGTGCTGGATTTCCTGGGCTCTCTGGGAGGTGGGAGCATGAGTGTCAGAGAGCCTCCTGACAAAATATGTTAGTATAAGCCTCAAACTTTTTTCTGGCTGGCAGACACCCCTCCCCTCCTGTGACTGGTAGTCAAGATGAATATTCAGAGACTGGAAGTCTTCCTTCCTGCCCTTTATCACTTGACAAAATCAGCAGCTAACATCAAGGGCCTGTACATCAAATACTATACCAAATTGAGTCCAAAGTGGGACTCTGGAGACTGATGTGATCTCTGTTCAGGGAGACAGGATATTTTGTAAAACAAATAAGCAAATAATTGAACAAACAGTTTAAGATGGCATATACTGGTTTCCAAATGAGTGACTCAGACAGAAAATACAGAAGTTTAAAAAAAAAAAAAAAAACCTTCTCTAGTTGCAGTCAAAGACTTTAGAGAGAAAGCTAAGGTTAAAAGAAAAATAGGACTATGATAAGGTAGAAGTTAGGATAATACTCTAGGACTCAAAGACAGCATAAGTACCATTTTAGAAGGAGAAAAACCCAACGCTGTTTAAAATATTCAAGGATTAAGGTTCATTAAAGAGGAATAGTAGGCATTTGGATTAGAAAATTAAGGCTCAGATTATATAGAGTCTTAGACTGCTAGAGTTAGGAAGGAATGAATTGTTGATGGTTTCTTGGCTGAAGGGTGAGGAGTTCAAAAGGGTGTTTTAAGATCCAAATGGTATAACTAACCTGCACAATGTGCACATGTACCCTAAAACTTAAAGTATAATAAAAAATAAAAAATAAATAAAAAATAATAATAATAAAAAATAAAACAAGAGGAAAAAAAAAAAAAGATCCAAATGGTAGTGCCATGTACAGTGGATTAGAATTGGAAACTCAAGATGTGGGTTAATACACAGTGCATTTTATTTTAAGGGGTATCATTCTTGAGCACTAACCATATAAGGAACTGGGCTGGTTAAGCTTGGGTTCTTACTAGATTAGCAAGTTTAATATTAATTCAAGTTAACTTTCTAGATTTTCTATGTTGCCCAGGCTGGAGTGCAGTGGCTATTCACAGGCATGATCATAGTGCACTACAGCCTTGATCTCCTGGACTCAAGCCATCTCTCTGCCTCATCCTTCCATGTAGCTGGGACTACAGGCACACCACTATGCTCGGCTATTTTTTAAAATACATTATGAAGAATTGTGGGCCAGTAGTGCAGTTGGTATGATTGATGATGAGGAAAATGTAGATTAATAATACCATACATTAAAATGATTTTGAGATTTTTATTTGCCTGTGAATTTCTTAGGAGCCAATACTGTGATGTGACTGATAAGGAATTTTTTTAGTATTGGGCATCATCCTATAGAATGGACATTGACACAGTGGAGCATGTCTAAAGGAGAGTAATGGGAAAGGGGGCAGGTGTCTGAAGAAACTGAAAAACATTTCTTGTAGTAACTGCTGGGATGAACTTGAGGTGTTTGACCATTAAAGAGAAGAGGCTATGAAAGATAAGTCTTCAACTATTTAAAAGTACTTCTCCATAAAGAAAGAACAGACTTCCTTGAACATATCAGTTTATGCATTCTCATGTTGGTGAGTATCTGGACTGTCACCAGTTTCTGAGGTATTATGAATAAACCTGCTATGAATATTACTGTACAAGTCTGGAAGGACAAATGCTTTTGTTTTTCTTAGGTAGATGGCAGTGAATGAAATTGTTGGGTCATAGAGTTAGGCATGTGTTTGGTTTTTAAAGAAACAGACTTTTTTTCCAAACAGGTTGTACCATTTTATACTTCCACCAACAGTGTATTAGAGTTCCAGTTGCTCCACAGCTTCATCAACATTTGGCATTGTCATTTTTACTTTTAGCCATTCTAGTGGATATTTTCTGATAACAGTTTAAGTGTGTATTTCTCTGATGACTGATAAGGTTGAGCACTTTTTAATGTATTGATTGGCCATTTATGTATCTTACTCTGAGAAGTGTCTCTTCAAATCCTTTGCCCATTTTTTTTTTTTTTGCAGGCAAAGGGGCTGACTTTTATTACCAGTTTGTAGTTCTTTACATATCTTGTGACAACAGTCCTGTATCAAACACATATTTTTCACATATTTTTCTCTCAGTTTGTTAGCTGAGAAATTTTAAGTTTCTGATGAAGCCTAATTTATCCAATTTTTTTCTTTTTTTTCTTTTTTTTGACAATATTCCGCTTGCATTTATTTATTTTTTTAATTTTTTGTTAATTATACTTTAAGTTCTAGGGTACATGTGCACAACCTGCAGGTTTGTTACATATGTATACATGTGCCATGTTGGTGTGCTACACCCATTAACTCGTCATTTACACTAGGTATGTCTCGTAATGCTATCCCTCCCCATTCCCCCCACCCCACAACGGGCCCTGGTGTGTGATGTTCCCCACCCTGTCTCCCAGTGTTCTCATTGTTCAAATCCCACCTATGAGTGAGAACATGCGGTGTTTGGTTTTCTGTCCTTGCGTTAGTTTGCTCAGAATGATGTTTCCAGCTTCATACATGTCTCTACAAAGGACATGAACTCATCCTTTTTTATGGCTGCATAGTATTCCATGGTGTATATGTGCCACATTTTCTTAATCCAGTCTATCATTGTTGGACATTTGGGTTGGTTCCAAGTCTTAGGTATTGAGAATAGTGCCACAATAAACATATGTGTGCATGTGTCTTTATAGCAACATAATTTATAATCCTTTGGGTATATAGCCAGTAATGGGATGGCTGGGTCAAATGGTATTTCTAGTTCTAGATTCTTGAGGAATCACCACACTGTCTTCCACAATGGTTGAACTAGTTTACAGTCCCACCAGCAGTGTAAAAGTGTTCCTATTTCTCCACATCCTCTCCAGCACCTGTTGTTTCCTGACTTTTTAATGATTGCCATTCTAAGTGGTGTGAGATGGTATCTCATTGTGGTTTTGATTTGCATTTCTCTGATGGCCAGTGATGATGAGCATTTTTCCATGTGTTTTTTGGCTGCATAAATGTCTTCTTTTGAGAAGTGTCTGTTCATATCCTTCGCCCACTTTTTGATTGGGTTGTTTGATTTTTTCTTGTAAATTTGTTTAAGTTCTTTGTAGATTCTGGATATTAGCCCTTTGTCAGATGGGTAGATTGTAAAAATTTTCTCCCATTCTGTAGGTTGCCTGTTCACTCTGATGGTAGATTCTTTTGCTGTGCAGAAGCTCTTTAGTTTAATTAGATCCCATTTGTCAATTTTGGCTTCTGTTGCCATTGCTTTTGGTGTTTCAGTCATGAAGTCCTTGCCCATGCCTATGTCCTGAATGGTATTGCCTAGGTTTTCTTCTAGGGTTTTTATGGTTTTAGGTCTAATATTTAAGTCTTTAATCCATCTTGAATTAATTTTTGTATAAGGTGTAAGGAAGGGATCTAGTTTCAGTAACCAAAACAGAATGGTACTGGTACCAAAACAGAGATATACACCAATGGAACAGAACAGAGCCCTCAGAAATAATACCACACATCCACAACCATCTGATCTTTGACAAATCTGGCAAAAACAAGAAATGGGTAAAGGATTCCCTATTTAATAAATGGTGCTGGGAAAACTGGCTAGCCATATGTAGAAAGCTGAAACTGGATCCCTTCCTTACACAATTTTTTTCTTTTATATTTATTGCCTGTGTCCTAAGAAACCTTTGGCTACTCCCATGTCATGATGATATTGTCCTGTGTTTTCTTCTAGAAGCTTTATCTCTTTGGTTTTTGTATTTAGTTCTATTAATCTGGTCAAATTAAAATCCATTTATTGTATGAGTTGAAGCCAAATCCAATTTTTACTTATGGATATCTAGTTATTGCAGAACTATTTGCTGAAAGACTCTTTTCTCCCATTGGATTGCTTGAACAATATATCTAAATGGATTTATTTTTGGAGTTTCATTTGTGTTTATTTGATTATAATGTAAGTCTTCAAACTCTGTTATTTTTTAAGCTTAATATGGACATGCTGTGTTCTTCGCATTTCTATGTAAATTTTAGAATCAACTTGTTAGTTACTGCCAAAGAAAGAAAAAGAAAAAAAAGAAAAGCCTGGTGGGATTTTGAAAGGAATTAGGCTGACTGCTTACATCAGTTTGGGATATGTTTTAGCAATACTAAGTCTCACAATCCATGAACATGGATTTTCTCTCTTTTTTATATTTATGAAATATCTCTTTTTATTACTGAAAATGCTGTACATATGAAGTCTGTTTATGTGATTGATTTAGCCATTCCAGCCATGTGATTGCTGTTTACATAATATGTTTTTCCATCCACTTCCTTTCAATATATTTGTATGTTTCTGCAGGCATACTTCAGAGATATTGCAGGTTTGTTTCCACACCACCATATTGAAGTGAATATTGCAATAAAGCGAGTCACACAAATTTTCTGCTTTCCTGGTGCATATAAAAATTATGTTTACGCTATACTGTAGTCTATAAGTCTGCAATGGCATTATGTCTAAAACATGTACATACCTTAATTTTAAAATACTTTATTTTTTAAATGCTAATTATTATCTGAGTCATTTGCATGTCATAATCTTTTTGCTGGTGGAAGGTTTTGCCTCGATGTTAATGGCTACTGATTGATCAGGGTGGTGGTTGCCGAAGGTTGGGGTAGCTGTGGCAATATCTTAAGATAGGACAACAGTGTGAAGTTTGCCACATTGATTGACTCTTCCTTTCTTGAAAGATTTCTCTGTAGCACGTGATATTGTTTGATAGCATTTACCCATAGCAGTACTTCTTTCATAATTGGAGTCAGTTCTCTCAAACCCTGACATTGCTTTATCAGCTAAGTTTATGGAACTAAGTCTAAGTCCTTTGTAGGAGTTTTTGTAGTTATTTTTAAAAATGTTCACAGCATCTTCAACAGATATAGACATCTTCTCAAGAAACCACTTTCTTGACTCATCCATAAGCAACAACTCTCACCCATTCAAGTTTTATCATGAGATTGAGCAGTTCAGTCATATCTTCAGGCTGCACTTTTAGTTCTCCTGCCATTTATACCACATCTGCAGTTACCTCCTCCACTGAAGTCTGGACCGCTCAAAGCCATTCGTGATAGCTGGAATCAGCTTCTTCCAAACTCCTGTAAATGTTGATATTTTGACCTCTTCACGTGAATCACAGATGTTCTTAATGGCATGTAGAATAATGAATCCTTTCCAGAAGATTTTCATTTACTTTCCTTGGATCCATCAGAGGAATCACTATCTATGGCAGCAATAGTCTTATGAAATATATTTCTTAAGTAATAAAACTTGAAAGTTGAAATTATTTCTTGAACTGTGCTGCAGAATGGATTTTGTTAGCTATTGTGAAGACAGTGTTCATCTTTTTGTACTTCTCCAGCAGAGCTCTTGGGTGACCAGATACATTGTCAATGAGCAGTAATTATTTTGAAAGGAATCTTTTTTTCCTGAATAGTAGGTCTCAACACTGGAATTAAAATATTCAGTAAGCCATGCTGTAAATGGATATGCTGTCATCTAGGCTTTGTTGTTCCACTTATAGAGCATAAGCAGAATAGATTTAACATAATTTTTCAGGATCCTGATTTTTAGAATGGTACATGAACACTAGCTAAAACTTAAAATCACCAGCTGCATGAGCCCCTGACAAGAGAGTCAGCTTTGAAGCTTTGAAGCCAGGCATTGATTTCTCCTCTTCTAGCTATGAATGGCCAAGATGGCATCTTCTTCTAATAGCCATTTCATCTACAATGAAAATCTGTTGTTACATGTAGCCATCTTCATCATTGATCTTAGCTTAACCTTCAGGACAACTTGCTACAGCTTCTACATCATCATTCGCTGCTTCACCTTGCACTTTTATATTATAGAGATGGCTTCTTTCCTAAATCTTATGAACCAGTCTCTGGTAGCCTCTAACTTTTCTTTTGCATGTTTCTCATCTCTCTTGGCCTTCACAGAATTAAAGAGAGTTAGCACCTTGCTCTGGATTAGGCTTTGACTTAAGGAAATGTCATGGCTAGTTTGATCTTCTATTCATCCTACTGAAACATTCTCCATATCAGCAATAAGGCTGTTTCACCTTCTTATCATTTGTGTGTTCAGTGGACCAGCATTTTTTAATTTTCTTCAAGAACTTTGCCTTGGCACTCACAGCTTGGCTATTTGGGGCAAGAGGGCTAGCTTTCATCCTGTCTTGGCTGTCAACATGCCTCCTTCACTAAGCTTAATCATTTGTAGGCTTTGATTTAAAGTGAGAGACATGCAACTCTTCCTTACATCTGAAATACTTAGGGGCCATTGTAGGGTTATTAATTGGCCTAATTTCAGTATTGTTGTGTCTCAGGGAATAGGGAGGCCTGAGAGAAGAAAGATGGAGGAACAGCTAGTCAGTGGAGTAGTCGGAACAAACACTTTTATTAAATTTGCTATCTCATATGAATACAGTTCGTGGCGCCCCAAGACAATTACAATAGTAACACTAAAGATCACAGATCACCATAACAGATAAAATAATAATGAAAATATTTGAAATATACTGTGAAAAGTACCAAAATATGACACAGAGACATAAAGTTGGACACGTATATGCTTTTGGAAAAATGGCACTGATAAGACTTGCTTGATTTAGGGTTACCATAAACCTTAAATTTGC
Source organism: Homo sapiens (assembly GCF_000001405.40). NCBI lineage: Eukaryota > Metazoa > Chordata > Mammalia > Primates > Hominidae > Homo > Homo sapiens. The sequence continues at coordinate 44,944,955 of NC_000006.12, read as the reverse complement.
AAAACTTACAACATCTGTGAAGCACAATAAATCAAAGTGCAATAAAGTGAGGTATGCCTGTATTGAAAGATAAATATAATATATTTAAAGTCATCTCTTATAGTCAGCAAATAATTGGGTCTTGCTTCTTTATTCCTCCTTTCTGTCTGTCTGTATCTTTTTTTCTTTTCTTTTTTTTTTTTTTTTTTTTTTTGGAGAGAGGGTCTTGCTTTGTCTCCCAGGCTGGAGTACAGTAGCATGATCATAGCTCACTGCAGCCTGAATCTCCCAGGCTCAAGCAATCCTCCCACCTCAGCTTCCTGAGTAGCTGGGACTACAGGCATGCACCACTACGCCTAGCTAATTATTGTATTTTTTTTTGTAGAGACAGGGTTTCACTGTGTTGCCCAAGCTATTCTCAAACTCCTGGGCTCAAGCGGTCCACCCACCTCAGCCTCCCAAAGTGCTTTTATAGGCATGAGCTGCTGTGCCCTCCCCCGATCTGTATCTTTTAATTGTAGTCCATAATTCTGTGATATTTGATGTATTAAGTCACGTGGTCAGATATAGGGTAACTTTTCCTATTTCTTTTCTGCTTATTTCCTCTCTTACTGTTTATCTGTTTCTCTTTCCTGTCTTCTTTTGGGTTGTGTGTTTTTTAGAAATTCCCTTTAATTTATATATTGATTTCTTTATGATATCTTTTTGCATCCTTTTTTCAGTAGTCATGGTAAGAATTACAATGTACATCCTTAAATGTTCAGTATACTTGGGAGTTATTACACTGTTTAACTCACATAAAATGTAAGACTCTTGTATATATATAGGTCCAGGTCCTTTATGCTATAATTGTCATGCATACTACATCTATATATATTATAAGCCATAATACCATAATTTTTGTCTTAAATAATCTAGTGCGTTTTAATGAAACTAAGAGAAAAAAATAGAGCTTCACTTGATCTTAGCCAAAAGGCTGAGAAGCAACTAAAAAAAAGAGCTTATTGTTTACCATTCCCATTGTTCTTTATTTCTCTTTCATAATTAGAGTTTTCTTGTATCATTTTTCTTTTCTGTTCTGCTAAATTTTGTTTAACATTTGTTGTAGTGCAAGTTAGCTAGTGATGGTTATCTTAGTTTTGATATTTCTGAAAAAGTCTTTACTTTTTCTTCATTGTTGGATGATGTTTCATTAGATACAGAATTCTGTCTCGAAAGTTTTATTTTTCAGTATTTTAATGATGTCATTCCACTTTTTTCTCTATTGTTTTTAATCATAAGTCAGTAGGTTTCTATTATCGTTTCCCTGTGTCTAATGTGTTGTTTTCTCTGGATGCTTTCAGAATTGTATTTTTACTTTTGATGTTCAGCTGTTTGGCCATGATATCCATAGACATGGTTTTCTTTGTATTTATCCTGCCGAAAATTCACCAAAATTCTTGAATCTTGAATCTCTTGAATCAAAGACAGTGTATGTCTTTAACCAAATTAGGGGACTTTTTGGCAGTTATTTCTTCAGATTTTTTTCTGCCTTATTCCCTCTCCTTCACTTCTGAAACTCCAAGTACATTGTATTAGTTACTTTGATATTATTCCATAGGTAACTTAGGTGCTTTTTAATTCCTCTTTTAATATTTTCTCTCTGTTCTTCAGATTGGAGCAATTCTATTGAACTTTTATCTTCTATACATTTCTTTCTGTCAACTCCAATCTATTGTGACACCCATCTAGTAATATTTTATTTCTGATATTTCATTTTATACTTCTAAAATTTCTATTTGATTTTTTATAGTTTCCATTTATCTATCATTATTTTTTATTTGTCCGTTTGTTACAAATGTATTTTATTTTGTGCTTTGGAGCATGGTTAGAATTGCTGTTTTAAAATTCTTGATTGCAAAATTAAATATGTGAATTTTCTTGGTCTCCATTGAATATAAGTCATGCTTTCTTGTGTTTTGCATGTCTGGTAATTTTGAATTGTAAAGTGGACATTGTGAGTAATACATCATAGGCATTTTAGGATTCTGTTTTATTCCTGTGAATATATTGTTTTTATTGGTGGTGGTGGTAGTGGCATTGGTATATGTGTTCAGCAGGGAAGTTACTTTTCTAGACTCACCTATAAACTTTGAACTCCTCTTCAGTGGCAGCAACTAGAATGTCTTTTCATTTCTTTTTGCTTTAGTGAGATTGCATGCATTTCATACCATACAGGAAGAACTTAGGGGTTAGTAAAAGATTTGCGGAAAGCCATACGTGACGGCACTTGTTATTTCAGCTACTCAGGAGGCTGAGATAGGAAGATCACTTTAGCCTAGGAGTTTCAGACTAGCCCGGACATAGTGAGACCCCATCTCTCCCCACCCACAAAAAAATATTTGGGTAAAATTTGTACACCGAATTTGGGGCTCCCCCTTTTTCTATTCTGTCCCTTTGGGGATTTCCTTTCTCATTCCGCACCTACTGTGATTGCGCGAACTCTGGCATCTCGTTTATCAAGGATCTAAGATTATATGTTAGCCACTCCTCTACCCACTGGATGCTGCCCTTAGGCTAAAACTGTAAAGACAGGAAATCCACCCACTGACATTCCCTTCTAAAAGTACATACTACCGTTTCCAGTTTCAGTCTGGTTTTGATCAGTCTACAGTGCTTTCATATACTTGGTTTTTTTTTTTATTACCTATTCAAAGTTTGTAAGAATTTCAGCTATTGTACTCTGCAACTCATTCAGTAGCTAAAACTATGGTAACAAAATCTTACCTAAAAGACCTCTTCAGTTAATTTGATTCACAAAGTATGTGAGAAGGAGTTGTAATTAACCTAGTGATATGTATACATAAATTAATTTTTTATGTTTTTAGAAATTCTTTACATTTTTCTCCGTATATTTAAACATTTCTTCCCGATCCTGTTGAAAACTATTAAATTGGAGTTATTTTACAACAAAGTTTTCCTGAGGAAAGTATTATCCCAGTCTATGTCTGTATTCTCTTGAATTTGAACTTAGTGGCATCAGAATTAATATTGTTCCACTTCAGAGGCTTTAATTATTTTTCTACTCATTTATACACTTCTTTCTATATTCAGACTTTTGCTATATTTTGAGTTTTACTCACTGGAAACCTCAGCTATGATGCTATAATGGTTCAAGTAATCCTGCATATAATAATAAAATCTCTACACTCACTACGTGTATTACAAGCCAAGAAATTTGATGTATAGTTATATCTGTAATACTATTGTTGTAGCCTTGGACATGTCCCGTATTTTCACTCTTTCATCTATAAAATTGTGTAGGAGTTGGAAACATTTAGAATAGACCATTCTTATGTCCCATCCAGAGATAATAATGTATGAATCCTTGAATTTAGTGAACCTCTATTATTTTTTCCTTAAACACCTTTCTGGTTTTAATTAAAGAAAACCTTTTTCAGTCACCTATAAGAAAACCCCATCAGACTAACAGCAGACTTCTCAGCAAAACCTTACAGGCAGGCTAGGAAATAATGGGATGGCATTTTCGAAGTACTGAAAGAAGAAAAAAACTGTCAGCCAAAAATTTTGTATACAGTAAGATTAAGCTTCATAAATGAAGGAGAAATAGCTTTTCCCAGGTAAGCAAACACTGAGGGACTTCATCACACTAGTCTGACCTTACACAAAATGCTCAAAGGAGTCCTAAACATGGAAACAAAAGGTTAATATTCGCCATCATACAAAGACACAAAAGTATAAAATTCTCAGGTCTTATAAAATATCACACAAAGAAGGAAGAGAAATGAATCAAATGGCAATTTGGCAGAATTCCACCAAACCACAAAGAGAAAAAGAAACAAAGAATTTATCAAACAACTAGAAAATAATTAACAATATCACAGGAGCAAAACCTCACTTATCAATATTAACCATGACATAAATGGATTAAATGCTCCACTTAAAAAATACAGATTGGCAGAATGGATGGAAAAAACAAAACATGATTTAACTATATGTTGCTTACAAGAAACTCACTTTACCTATAAAGACATATATGGACTGAAAGTGAAAGGGAGGAAAAAGACATTTCATGCAGATATAAAGCAAAAGTGAACAGCAGTAGTGATACTTAGATAACACAGACTTTGTATCAAAAACAGGAAAAAAGACAAAGAAAGTCACTACATAATAATAAAGGAATCAGTTCAGCAAGAGGCTAAAACAATTCTAAGTATATATGCACCCAACACCGGAAGGCTCAGATTCATGAAACAAATATTACTAGACCTAAACAAATATTACTAGACTTATTACTAGACCTAAAGAGATAGACAGCAATACAGTAATAATGGACAACTTCAACACCCTGTTGACAGCATTAGTCAAATGGTTGAGACAGAAGTCAACAAAGACATATTGGACTTAAATTGGACTTTAGACCAAAAGGACTTCAACAATCATTTACAGAACATTCTACCCAACAACTGCAGAATATGCATTCTTCTTATGAGCACATGGAACATTTGCCAAGATAGATATCACATGTTAGGCCACTAAACAAGTCTTAAGAGATTTTTAAAATCAAGTATCTTCTCAGACCACAGTGGAATAAATCTGTAACCAGTAACAAGAGGAGCTTCAGAAAGCATAAAAATACATGGAAATTAAACAATATCCTCTGGAATGATCATGGGATTAATGAAGAAATTAAGACACATTAAAAGATTTTTTGAAACAAATGAAAATGGAAACACAACGCACTGAAACCTGTGGTATACAGCAAAAGCATTGCAAAAGGGAAGTTTGTAGCATTAAATGCCTATATATCAAAAAAGCAGAAAGATCCCAAATTGATGACCTATCATTCTGTCTCAAGGAATTAGAAAAGCAAGAAAATACCAAACCCAGAATTATCAGAAGAAATAACAAAGACCTGAGCAGCACTAAATAAAAATAAAGACAAAAAAAAATACAAAAGATCAAGGAAATTAAAAGTTGGTTCTTCAAAAAGATAAACAAAATTGGTAAATTGCTAGCAAGACTAACTAGGAAGAGAGAGGATCCAAATAAACAAAACCAGAATTGAACAAGAGATATTACAACTGATACCACAAACATACAAAAGATTGTCACAGACTATTATGAGCAACTATACACTCACAAAGTAGAAAACCTGGAAGAAATGGATAAATTCCTGGAAACATACAACCTCCCAATATTGAACCCAGAAGAAATAGAAATCCTGAATAGACCAATAACAAGTACCAAGATTGAATCAGTAATTTAAAAATCTCCCAACAAAAAAGAATTCAGGACCAGATGGATTCACAGCCAAATGTGTACAAAGAAGAATTAATACCAGTCCTCCTGAACCTGCCCCAAAAAATTAAGGAGTAGGGAATTCTCCATAAATAATTCTATGAGGTCATTACCATCCTGATACCAAACCAGGCAAGGACACAACAAAAACAGAAAAGTACAGACCAATATCCCTGATGAACACAGACTCCAAAATCCTCAACAAAATACTAACAAACCAAATCTACTAGCATATCATAAAGATAATTACCATGGTTGAGTGAGTTTTATACCAGGGATACAAGGATGCAACATACACAAATCAATAAATGGGATACATTACATAAACAGAATGAAGGACAAAAATCGTGATTATCTAAATAGGTACAGAAAAAGCATTTGATACAATTCAGCATCCCTGCATTATAAAAACCCTTAACAAACTAGGCCTAAAAGGAATATACCTCACAGTAGTAAAGGCCATATACTACAAACCCACAGCCAACATCATACTGAAGTGGAAAAAGTTGAAAGCGTTCCCTCAAAGAACTGTAACAAGACAATGATGCCCACTTTAACCACTCCTATTCAACATAGTACTGGAAGTCCTAACCAGAACAATAAAGCAGGAGAAAGAAATAAAAGTTATCCAAATTGGAAAAGAAGAAGTAAAATTATTCCCGTTTGCTGATTATATGATCTTATATCTAGAAAAACCTAAAGATTCCACCAAAAACCTCTCAAATTTGATAAATGAATTCAAAGTTTGAGTACACAAAATCATTGTACAAAAATCAGTAGTGTTTCTATTCACCGATAATCTAGCTGAGAAAGAAATCAAGAAGGCAATCTCATTTAAAGTACTACAAAGAAAATAACAAAATATCTAGTAATATTTAACCAATGAAATGAAAGATCTCTACAAAGAAAACTACAAACCAGCGATGAAAGTAATTGTAGAGGATACTGACAAATGGAAAACCATCCCATGCTTATGGATCAGAAGAATTAATATCATTAAAATGATTATACTGCCCAAAGCATTGTACAGATCCAGTGCAATCTCTATCAAAATACCAACCCCATCTTTTACAGAATTAGAAAAAAAAATCCTAAAATTCATATGGAACCAAAAAAGTGCTCAAATAGGCAAAACAATCTTAAGCAAAAACAACAAAGCTGAAGACATTACATTTCCTGACTTCAGATTATACTGTGAGGCCATAGTAACAAAACAGCATGGTACTGATATAAAAATAGACACATAGGTCAATGGAAGAGAGTAGGTAACCCAGAAATAAAACCATGTATTTACAGCCAACTAAACTTTGCCTAAGTTAACAAGAGCATACACTGGGGAAAGGACACCCTCTTCAGAAAAAGGAGCTGGGGAATTGGATCAGCATATGCAGAAGAATGAAACTGGTCCCCTATCTCTTATCATATACAAAAATCAACTCAAGATGGAATAAAGACTTAAAGATAAGACCTGAAACTATAAAAAGATACTCAAAGTAAACCTGAGGAAAACTCTTCTGGACATTGGTCTAGGTGAAGAATTCATGACTAAGACCTCAAAAGCACAGGTAAAAAAAAAAAATAGACAATGGGACTTAATTAAACTAAAAAGCTTCTGCATGGAAAAAGAAATAAGATAGTGACAGGAGGCTGAGGCAGGAGAATTGCCTGAACCCAGGAGGCGGAGGTTGCAGTAAGCTGAGATTACACCACTGCACTCCAGCCTGGGCTACAAAGTGAGACTCCGCCTCAAAAAAAAAAAAAAAAAAAAAAAAAAAGATAGTGAGCAAAGAACCTGCAGAATGGGAGAAAACATTTGCAAATTGTGCATCCGACAGGGGACTAACAGCCAGAATTTACAAGGAACTCAAACAGCTAAACAACAACAACAAAAAAACACCAAGTAATCCCATTAAAAACTAGTCAAAGGAAATGAATAGGCATTTTTTAAAATAAGACATACCGATGGCCAACAGGCATATAAAGAAATGCTCAACATCACTAATCAGAGAAATGCAAATTAAAACCACAATGAGATATCATTTTACACCAATCAGAATGGCTATTATTAAAAAGAGAAAATAACATGTTGGTGAGGATATGGAGAAAAGGGAACTCATGTACACTGTTGTTGGGAATGTAAATTAGTACAACTTCTATTGAAAACAGTACGGTTTTTTTTTTTGAGACAGTGTCTCACTCTGGTACCCAGGCTGGAGTGCAGTGGCGTGATCTGGGCTCACTGCAACCTCCACCTCCCGGGTTCAAGCGATTCCCTTGCCTCAGCCTCCCGAGTAGCTGGGATTACAGGCAAGTGCCATCACACCTGGCTAATTTTTTTATATTTTTAGTAGAGACGGGGTTTCACCATGTTGGCCAGGCTGGTCTCAAACTCTTGACCTCTAGTGATCCACCTGCCTCGGCCTCCCAAAGTGCTGGGATTACAGGCATGAGCCACTGCGCCTGGCCAGTATAGCTATTTCTTAACTGAAAATAGAACTATCATTCAATCCAGCAATCTCATTACTGGGTATCTAGTCAAAGGAAAAGAAATCATTACATCAAAAAGATACCTCCTCTCATATGTTTATTTGCACTTCTATTTACTTTGGCAAAGATGCAGTCAACCTAAGTTTCCATCAACAGATGAATAGGTAAAGAAAATGTGGCATGTATACACAATGGAATAATATTCAGAAATGGAAAAGAATGGGTCAGGTGCAGTGGCTCATGCCTGTAATTCCAGCACATTGGGAGGCCGAGGCAGGTGGATCACTTGAGGTCAGGAATTTGATACCAGCCTGGCTAATGTGGCAAAACCCTGTCTCTACTAACAATACAAAAATAAGCCAGGTGCGGTAGGTGTGCCTGTAGTCCCAGCTATTTGGGTGGCTTATGCATGAGAATCACTTGAACTTGGGTAACAGAGGTTGCATTGAGTCAAGATCGCACCACTGTACTCCAGCCCGGGGGACAGAGCAAGACGCTGTCTCAAAAAAGAAATAAGGAACGAAATAATATTTTTTACAACATGGATGGAACTAGAGGCAATCATCTTATGTGAAACAGCTCAGAAACAGAAAGTCAAATATTGCATGTTCTTACTTATAAGTGAGAGCTAAATAATGTGTACACATAGAGGTAGAGTGTGGAATGATAGACAATGGAGATTTGGAAGGTTGGGAGTAAGTAGGGGTAGATGATGAGAAATTACTTAATGAGTAACTATGTTACTCAAGAAATGGATATCCTAAAAGCCCTAACTTTACCACTCTAATCTATGCATGTAACATAATCACACTTGTACTGCATACATTTATACAAAGAAAAAAATAAATAAAAGCTTTTTCTAGTTATATAAGAACTACATTTTAACAGTTACCATCTCAAACTTTTAAATGAGAAAATTACATATGTTGTACACTATATCCTTTGGCCAATGAATGGCCCACCTTCATGTGAAAAAAATTCTCCATAAGGATGAAACTTTGGAGGAGCTATGTGTGTAACAGGAGAAAGACAATACTTCCTTGGCCAGATCATATCAACTTTTGTGGTCTGCAAAATGTTAGTAATAGTAGTACTAGACTTTCAGTTGCTCTAGTCTGAGGTAAGTGTTACTTCTCTGTAAGACTTAAGATTTTACATTTAGCAGAAGATCTAGTTTACCATTATAGATGTGGAAAGAATAAGATGCAGTTGATTGAGATTCTAGATCCTTCTTAAACACTCACTCTGGTAAGGGGAAGGCTGAGAAAGGATAGGACACTAACCCTGCCAAGAACTTTTTTAAGTTGGGAGAAAAAGGTTCAGTGAGAGATCCAGGGGCAAACCTAAGTTTCAGTATAACTTTCTGCATCACAGTTGAGAGTTTAAACTGCTAAGATATTTTGTTCATTGTAAACCGGCAGAGAAAAGCAGAGAGACAACAGCCAAATCCGGAAAATATGTAGAACTCCATATGCTATTTCAGCTTCTAATACCCAGCATCAGTTTCTAGTTGAAGAACTATTAATACAAAAATGGAAGGATACAAGAATAGAGTGTGAATGCAGCCAAGAGGAAGAGGACCTGACATATGGAGAACTTTTCCAAACAGCTAGTACTTTTCTTAAAGAAATACAGAGTTTATATCCCAGAGAGATTTCTGCAAATACTCTATAAACAGGACTCAGTATTTTGTCAAATATTTGGGTTTAGTTTTTGAAAATTTAAAGAATATCATAAAATTTAGGCCTAATCAGGATGCTAAAGATGAATTGATGTATAAGTATAATGCTCTTCACACGTGTTTATAGCTGATATAAGATTATTAATAACAAATATGTACATTTTATGTTAATTCTTCTGAAGCAATTTTGAAGAATATAATGCTAGAATCACTGCTATATTAAAAATTCTAAACTTTGGATACATTTTTAATTTGAACAGATTATTAGCACCTTGATAAAGGACTAGATGTTGACAGACAAAGAGAATGTGAAGATATTTGTTGAGGTGGAAAAAAAAAAAACTGGGATTATAACGTTTAAAGGCTTCCTTCCGGAGAACTCAATGAGCAAATCAAGAAAGTATAAAAGTGCGCCTAGTAGCTTCATTATGCTAATGTTAACAGTTGCTGAATTATGGCAGATAAACCTGAAATTGGCAAAATGGAAACTCTAATGACATTTTTCACAAAATTCAATGTTTTTATTTTAATATAATTTAATGTCACATTTTGGCAAAAATAGCATGATTCAGCCAGGCTGGCTTATGTGTCTCCATATCTTACAAATGGCAGTCACAAAATTTTTCTAACTTAGCTTCTATCTTAGTCCATTTGGGCTTCCATAACAAAATCCTGTAAACTGGGTGGCTTATAAACAATAGGAATGTATTTCTTATAGTTCTGGAGGCTAGGAAGTCCCAGATTAAGACATTGGCAAATTCAGTGTTTTGTGATGGCCCACTTCCTGGTTCATAGGCAGTCATCTGTTCACCCAAACCTCACATGGCAGAAGGGGTGAGTGGTCTTTCCCTGGTCTCTTTAAAAGGGAACTAATTCCATTCATGAGAGCTCCACCCTCGTGGATAAATCAATTCCCAGAGGCTTCTTATCCTAATACCATCACTTTGTGGGCTTGGATTTCAACGTACAAATTTTAGGGGAACACAAAGACTTACCATAGTAAACCTCCTACTTCAGTTTTTGATCAGTGTTTCATATAATATCTTAGAGATAGCTCCATAGGAGTATGTAGGGAACTGCCTCATTCTTTTCAGTGGTTGCTTTGGTTTCTGTTTCTTTGAATGGATAATTTATTTAACCAATCCCTCATTAATGAACATTTAGTACTATAGTAAGTATCCTTATGTATATATATTATTTTGTACCTGTGCAATATATCTGTAGGATAAATTCTTACAGGTGAAATTGCTGAGTAAAAGAGGTTGTTCTTTTTCATTTTTATAAGATTTTGCCAAATTGCTATCCATAGAGGTTGCTATCTATAGAGTTATATTCCCTACAAAGAATTATGAGTAAAAAATGTATTAATTATCAAAAAAATACAGTAATTATCAGAAAAACAAATAATATTAATTCTGTGACTACAAATGACTTCTAGACCCGTTATAGTAATATGCAAGTTAATTCTTTAATGTTGATGGCCTGCCATCTGCTACCTACTATACTTTGAAGTAAATGAGCTTCCATTTCAAAAACTTAGCGATCCCATTTTTAACACTTAATTTAAATAACCTAATACTATTACTAGCTAACATTACCCAGGAGGCTGAGTCAGGAGGATCACTTCAGCCCAGCAGTTCAAGACCATCCTGGGCATCATAGCGAGACCATATCTCTAAAGAAATTAATCCTTTTTTTTAGCCATATGTGGTGGCACTTGCCTTTAGTCTCAGCTACTTCAGAGGCTGAGGCCAGAGGATCGCTTGAGCCCAGAAGTTTGAGGCTTCAGTGAGCTGTGAGCACACCACTGCACTGCAGTCTAGGTGACAAAATGAAACATCTCTTTATAAAAATAAAACAATTTCCTAGCATGTGTCAGGCATTGTTCTAAGTGGTTTATGTATTTCAACTTATTTAATTTTCACAACAGTCCTACAAGCAATTATAATTGTTTTCCCAATTTACAGGTGAGGAAACCGAGGCCCGAGATATTATGTATCTTGGCAGAGCTGGTAACTTGTAGGGCTAAACCCTAGCCCTATAAGTTATTTTGAAAAATCATGCTGAACACACATATACACATCTATAATTTCTTAAGTTTGTATTCACACTCTCATCGCAAATAATCCTTATCTTTTTTGTATCTTTTTGTGCTTGCAAACCTGCCTTTTACAGATGCGGCAAATTAAAACAGAAAGTTGTTGGTTTCGTTTTTGTTTTGTCCTGAGATACCTAGAAAATTAGAAACCAAGTTGAAATGGTCTTATGACAATCCCAGGTATGATAAATAAATGTATCATAATTTAACATTTTTCATTTTAAGTTGATGACCCTCAAGTTATTTCAGAAATGTGCCAAAGAAGCTCCTAAGAAACGTTTATAATAATAAATGTTAAAATGTTTTTTTTAAAAAAATAACTTCCTGTGGTTCTTTCAGTAAGCTTTCATGACACTTTTTATCTGCAGGCAAGTGGCTGTATTCTCCTGTGTCTTGACATGCAGGCTTAGGTGAAATATTGTGGGCATAAAAATTGCGTTTGGTAGGTCTGCTAGAAAGGGGTCATGTAAAAGTCATCTTTGATTTGTTAATGGAATTCTTTTTTAGATGTAGTATATGGCAGTAGTGATGTGCATCCTAAGGGAAAAACCGGTCTCTTTTGTAAAGGTTTATTTTCATATTTATACACTGTAGTTCTGTTGCGTGTTTTTGATTTAGTAACAATTTATGTGTTTTTCTGTCGCAGAGCACTGCAGCCTGTGGTGTTGAGGCTCACAGCGATGCCATCCAGCCCTGCCACATCAGAGAGGCCATTCGACGCTACAGCCACAGGATTGGCCCACTTTCCCCATTCACAGTACGTAATAACAGAGTTATAAAAAGTTATATTTATAATATGAAAGAATTTTGATTTTCAAGTGGTCAAATGAAGAAGCAATGGAATTGTTGAAAGCAATTTGTGGTGACTGTAATTTTGTTGTATAAAAGTGGCATAATTCTCTTGGGAAATGAAAGTCATTTTCATCTCTTTTTGGAAGGACACTTTTTTTCTACAAAATATTATTTTCTTTCAATTACAAATTAAGTTTTTTTGTTGAGGTTTATAGTTTCTATTTTTCAAAGCTTAGGTTTATAAAACGTTATTCTCAAATTATATGTATCTAAATATTGCTAGTAGCACTTTATATTTTAAAATTGGTTAGATTGGCATTACCACTTCTATCAGATATCCTTCTCCTAAACATGCTTTTAGTTGGAAGAAGAAGAGATATTTCTTTACTGGCTTTGAACTAAGCTGAAATGCAGACAGCCTTTTACATCTTCAAATGATTTGAAAACTTATAATCAGGGTTTTGTGTTGTTTTAATGGGGAATTAAAGACCTGATATTTCAACAGTCTAAAGAAAGTGTGTGCAGGTGTGTGTGTTTTAATTAAATGCTCATCTTATGGCCCTTTAAAAAAAAGATCTTATTTGTGTTAAGAGAAATTTCTTCAAGTCCTACTCTGTTTATAAGGAAGTAGTTCAACAGAAAGTAAAGTTTGATATACCTAACTGAGGAAAGTCAAATTTACTTTTTTGATACTCTGTTTTAACAAGCTAATGAAAATGTATATGTATAACATTATACATAAACAAATGAGAAAATAAATAGTATTACATAGTATACATTTTTACCTGAGTGGATTTTACTATTCATAAAAGTCATGATTTTGTCTATATTATCTTTTTTCCTTATGTTTAGTTAAATAGAATGCTTTCTTTCCATCCTTTATTTTTTTTAGTTGTTGTTAATTATGTAGATAGATTCTCTGTGTAACAGGAAGAACATGTTTTATAAATGTCTCCAGAAGCTCTCTGTAATGGTGAAACTTTGCACTTTTAATATTTGAAGTTTATCTTATATAAGAACATGATTTTAATATTGCTGATTAAAGCAATATATCCTTTTGCATGAATGTTTTTGAAGTCTTATAATTGAAAAGAAATAATTAAATCAAGTTTCTTTTACATGATGGGTGAAGCTGTTTTAAATGACAGGCCAGAAGGAAGATGAACATGAAAAATTATGAATGAGAAAAATAAGAGATAATTGGAAGTAAGAATTTAAAAACCAACTGAGAGTGAAAAAAAACTTATAATGAAAGATTAAAAATATCAAATCCATCGAAAACAGTCAAATAATGATGAATAGGTTGAGACAGTGGAAGGGAAAAAGAAGAAAAAAGAGGCAGTGTTTGATAATAATCTAGAAGCAATTAAAAGATAGCAAAGGGAAACATGATTTTTGAGAAATAACCTAAAATGGTAACTAAAAGTAATGAATAAGATTACATAAAGGAAAATGTATCTGATACAAGGAGAAAATGCCCTAATCATGAAGTCTGCATTATTTCCTCAAAAAGAAGCGGTAGCTGCTTCTCTCTTCAAAGTTTTTGTTTTTAAAATAGACTGGACAGATCACCTGAGAGCCATCGTGGTTGATGACACTATTTACATACATGTGTGTGTGTATATCTTTTCCCCCATGTCCAACCTGGTACTTATGTATTACTACTTTTACAATCTAAGACTGTTAGTATTAGTATATGATAAAAATGCACTTTAAGCTAGCTTCAGGTATTGCCTAAGCTAATTTGGATCTAATAAACATAAAGAATGGGCTTTTTAAAACTGATGACACAATTTTAAAATGCTTAATTTAAATACATCTAGAAAATAAAACAAGCCATGACCTGGAAGGTTCAGTTAGCCGCTAGTAGAACAATCAAACAAAATCAACAACAAATGGTAACAAACTCCACCCCAGAGGGGCACCCAAGGTGTTATTATTCCTCAGGAGGGGACCACCACCTGGAAAGGTCTCCTCCATTTTCTTCAGCTATGAGAATTTGCGCACTACAAGAGTGAATATGCCTGCACTTTTTTTTTTTTTTTTTTTTTTTGAGACGGAGTCTCACTCTGTTTGCCCAGGCTGGAGTGCATTGGTACGATCTCAGCTCACTGCAACTTCTACCTCCCAGGTTCGAGCAGTTCTCCCTACCTCAGCCTCCTGAGTAGCTGTGATTACAGGCACCTGCCACCATGCCCAACTAATTTTTGTAATAATTTTTTTTTCTTTTTTTTTTTGAGACGGAGTCTCACTCTGTCACCCAGGCTGGAATGCAGTGGCGCGAACTCGGCTCACTGCAAGCTCCGCCTCCCGGATTCACGCCATTCTCCTATCTCAGCCTCCTGAGTAGCTGGGACTACAGGCACCCGCCATCACGCCTGGCTAATTTTGTGTGTGTTTTTTAGTAGAGACGGGGTTTCACCATGTTAGCCAGGATGGTCTCGATCTCCTGACCTCATGATCTGCCTGCCTCAGCCTCCCAAAGTGCTGGGATTACAGGCGTGAGCCACCTCGCCCAGCCTAATTTTTGTAATTTTTAGTAGAACTTCGCCATGTTGGCCAGGCTGGCCTTGAACTCCTGACCTCAGGTGATCCACCCACCTCGGCCTCGCAAAGTGCTGGGATTACAGGTATGAGCCACAGCGCCCAGGCTACCTATGCTTTTTTATATCATGAATTGCATGACCAGGGTGACACAGGTTTCAGGGTATATAATACATAAATCTTCCTTTTAAAGTTAAAAATTATCTCATTAAAATGGGATGGATTTGTAGACTGTGTGTGTCAATAACGCGGCCACCCTGTCTTGGCTCCCACATACCTCAAGCTGCTAAAAAAAAAAAAAAAAGGGAGCTCATGGTAGAAACTTACCATGATTGGGGATGCTGATGTTCACTTCCCTAAGGTCCACTCTGAGGACCTGACATGGTACTTTAAGCTGCAGTGGGGACACTTTGCCACCTTGGCTTTGAGCTGCAGCTCCTAACAAGAGAAAAGGTATGTGGACTGCTTTTATAGTAATCATAGATTGACACCTATATTTTCATACAGAAAGGCTGAACTGACTTGCCTCCAATGTAAAATGTACTTCATAAATTAAAATGCCAATGAACAACTAGTTTATATTTATGAAGCATAGAGATTTTGTCTTCATAGCATGTCATCCCAAATCTAGAGTTTTTGGTATATATTTAAATGTAACATCTAATTTAGAATACCCATAACAATGTGTATATATATATCCATTTACCAATAATTTGATATTGTTAATAGTTTACATGGAAACATAATTCAGATACTATATTTAAAAATCTGCTTTTAGCGAGTCATCTTTCTGTCTACTTTATGACTTCTGAAATAATTTTATACCAAATGACATGATCAATTTCAGGAATATAATTCATTATATAAAGAATTGTAAGTGAATTTTTCACCTTAGGAATTATTTAAAGTGATAGAAGAAAGGAATACTTAAAGCCATGTTAGCTGGGGAAGAAGGAGAAGAGTACAAACAATGCTTTGAATTGTAGTAGCTCCTGGAGTAGGAAGTACACAGGGAGAATGGCATAAACATCAGTCACCTGCCACACACCTGTGAACACCACATTCATGTGTGCTGTGGAGACACACACCATCCGTCCCCACTCAGTGGTTAACAACAGTACTCTCTTTGGCATATTGGTTTTCATTGGTGATTTGTTTCTTTTCTTTTCTTTTTTTTTTTTTTTTTTTTTTGAGACGGAGTCTCGTTCTGTCGCCCAGGCGGGAGTGCTGTGGCGCGATCTCCGCTCACTGCAAGCTCCGCCTCCCAGGTTCACGCCATTCTCCTGCCTCAGCCTCCCGAGTAGCTGGGACTACAGGCGCCCGCCACTGCGCCCAGCTAATTTTTTGTATTTTTAGTAGAGACGGGGTTTCACCGTGGTCTCGATCTCCTGACCTCGTGATCCGCCCGCCTCGGCCTCCCAAAGTGCTGGGATTACAGGCGTGAGCCACCGCGCCCGGCCCTTGTTTCTTTTCTGTATTCTCATTTATTCTCAATCCTACACAGAAGATAAGAGAAGGTATCTTACCTTCTTAAGTAATTTTCCTAAGTCAAGCTATTCATTAGATTAAATTAAATTAAACCAGAGCTAAGATTCAGGCCTTCCAACCCCTAGCTTCAAACACTTTCTCCTGAAATACACACTTTTGCAACTGTGCCCACCGTACCTCACTTTCTGTATACACACTCTAAAGAACCTTTAGAGAAACTAATTTTACTTTTTTGCTTCTTGTTTGTTTTTCTTAGTTCTAAAAATCACTTCAGATTCTATGATCTGCAGTATTCTAGAGTGCTTTTGCAACCTAGAATGTCCTGAGTGATTTTGATGCTTGCCATCTTATATTGCATTTTTATTCATAGTAGTTGATAATATGTGAAGTTATATTGTGTGGTGATTAAGAACTTCGATCCTGGAGCTAAATGGCTAGGGTCCAGATCCCAGCCCTGCTACCTACAAGCTGAGTAGCCTTACACAGGTTTTTTCACCGCTTTATGGCTGTTTCCTCATCCCTAAAGTGAGGATATTAGATTATACTTCATAATAGGATTTAAGAAGTACTGTAAGAACTAAGCTCTTAATAAATTATATTAGTAATAGTGGAAGTAGTAGTAGCTATGGTATATTTTTTAAAAGACATAAATAATACAAAGTAAGCGGAAACCATTCCACTCAACCACACTCAAATGCGTGTGCCTGTGCACACATATGTACACACCGAGCCTATCTGGCCTTACTCTATAAGCCCGGAAAAAAACTAAAAATTTCAATAATAATGTGGTTTGTTTATGGACTAATAGTTTGTACCATTGAAATTTAAATACCATGTAAAAATTATTGTTCCTGAAAATATTCATTTTTACTCTTTGGATTAATAACGGCTAAAGAATATAATTGTTTTTTTAATCACTGATCATCATAAATAAGTCTTAGCAACTGAGTGTACATACTTACCACCCGATTTTTTGCATACCAGCTAGGTTTTGCATACTAGCTCTGTGGAACAGAAATCTAAAGAACAAATGGGTGACCTAATTTATAAAGTTTCTTCAATTTCAGTGTTTGTGATTTTACATATTTGCATAAGTTATTGAAAAGGTTTTCAGAAATTGATGAATATATCAAAGTTGATACATTTTTTAATTACTGGGCTTATTTTTCTCAACTTTTAAAGTTTCTTCAGTTTACTCATTATGAAAGAAATGCTACTGTTAGAAAATTACGAAAATATAGAAAAATAAAGAATAGAATAAAACTTACATCCTAGAGATAACTACTGTTAATATATCACTACCTTTTCATCCTGCCCTTTTTCTTTGTATATACATATTAATAATTTAGCAAAATTGAGATTATTCTAATATTGTTACTTATCATTTTATAGTATATTATGTAGTCCTTAAAAACATGATTTGTAATAGCTTCATAATACACATTATACATCTAACTGTACCTTTATTCACTTAACCATTCCATTTTGTTCTTTATTTAGGTTATAAATAGTGATAGTGGATATTCTTGTATGTAAATATTTATCCATCTATCTAGTTGTTTCCTTATGATAGATTACTAGAAGTGAAATTCCTGGATCAAAGGATTGGACCTTTTAAATTTCCTGATAATCTTACCAAAATAATTCTTAGAAAACATGAATGACTTCATAATTGTATAAGTGGTATATGAGAGTATAAACTCAAATCAGCGTTGAATATTATCAGTTTTATTTTTGTCATTTTCCAGGCAAAAATAAAGTAGCAACTATAGCAGCTAATATTTGTTGAGCACTCATGCATCATGCACTGCACTGTACTGACTCACACAGGCCTCATGACGACCTTAACAAATAGAAACTATTGTTAATTTATAGATGAGAAAACTAACAGACTGTTACTAGCCTTCCCAAGTTAACATACAGCTAGTGAGTGATAGGATATTTTTGTTTTAATTTGTATTTGATAACTAATGATATTGAACATTTTTATATATTTACTAATAATTTGTATTTCTTTGAATTGAATTATGTCTTTGCCATTTTTTGTAGGGCATTAGATTTATTTGTATGAATCTACTAACTTATGTGAATAAATTTTTGTAATTAAAAAAATTTTTAAGACATTTATCAGTCATGAACAGTAAAACTTTTTGTCAGGTTTGTTGCAGGTATTTTTCCCAGTTCTCCATTTATCTTAATTTTTTTCTAATTCGATATGTTTTCAATATATAGGATTTTATGTAGTTAGGTCTACTGGTATTTTCCTCTATAATATTCCGTTGTCTTAAGATTTAAAAAATTGTATAACCTGAGATTAAATACACATCTGTATTTTTAATTATTTTTTATTCAACTATAATTCTACATTTTTATCTAATATATGGAATGAGAGTTTCTATAATATAAAAACTAAATATCAAAATATGCCAATCAATTAAATGAGTAATCTATCCAGTTCCTATTTATTAGGATTACTTTATTTATCATCTGTTAAATTACTACAAGCGTATCGCGGGTCTTTCTGTTTTCTATTCTGTATTATTTTCCAAAATTATTGATAATGTTTTGTATGTACTACCTGAATATATAAAGAATACAATATTGAGGAAGGGCCTCAGGGTCTAAAAATGGGTGTAACAAAGGTTTAAATGAATTGTCCCATCAGAAAATTCATTGGCATTTGTTTGAAGAATATTTTTTTCACAACCTAAAAATTCAAATGCTTTTGAATGGTAATGGTAATGATTTTAACAAAAACATTCTTAGAATTTACTTGTTCAGGGTTAGAAGTAAAGAGCATTTTAAAATGTTATGATTAGAGCATTTGGTGTTTTCTCTCAGAGAAAATAACTCTGAGGGGTAGTCTAGTGTTCTCTTATGTCACAGGGAAGGTGGTCAGACATGTTTTATCTAGATCTTCACTATTTACAAGCAGTGGGTGGTACCCATGGTTACCTACTCAAGCCTAGCTCTCAATGGGAAGTGCTGTAAATTGCTGATATAAACCCAGGTCTGTAATTTTGAAAGCCAGAGAAAGGAAACTGTGTTTGCCGAGTGTGATGACATAATCCCATCTGTAATGCCTAAATCTATTTTAGTTTCTCCTGATATTCACAGTAGAAAAATGTTAACCCTCTGAACTTGCATGTTATCAGGTAACTTTCTATTGAACTAGAATAGTGAGACAATAAAATTGCTCATTTAAGCATGGTCATTAACCTGAATAATACCTTAAGTGCATCTGTAGAAACAAATCTCTAGTCCTTACTGGAGAGGACTTGAGCTAGCCAGTTAGTCTGGACCTCTGAGAAGCTTTGTGCTGTACCCAAAGACACTTTGCAAGTGCATGACAGAACTAACCCTAGAATCCAGCCTCCTGACTCTCAGATTACTGTGCCCATTTACTTTGATGTAAATTTATTAGAGGGTACTAGAGATGTTTTCATATCATTAGTTTAGGGATGTTCATAATGGACTAATAGGGATCGAAAATATGAAAAATTTTTAAAGAATTCTTCACATTGAACTTTTAAAAACAAAAGTGGCATGGCAGATTGTTTTGATCATTTTGATCTAGAATTTCATATTTGCAAATATTTATGTCATGAGCACATTAGGTTTGTCTGCATCTTATGTGTTCAACCTGGAAAATTAAATGTCACAAAATATTAGAATAATTTTCAAATGTAAATACCAAGTAGAAATTGGGTAGAAATAAATTATATGTGTTTTTACTGGAAGTGAAAATTTTCATAATAAATTTTTTGAGAGTACTAAATCTATTATTACAGATTGGAAACCAAACATATGTTTAAAACTGTAGGCCACTGATCCTAAGGAAAAAAATTAACATGTAGCATATTTATCATATAAGAATAACCTGAAAGTGAGTATTTCCCAGAAAGATATGAAACATTTAATTTAATTACTTTTAATTTTAATCACCAGAGCCTTTTCTGTGTACAGCAGCTAAATACTCTATGGCTTACTGGTACCATAGGCTTCAATAAATTCTTACTAATCCTACCCATTAAACTTTTTCTTTATTGGTTGACCTGTATTCTTAACTCTTTCAGTGGTTTTATTCTAAAACTACAGCATTTCCTAAACTAAATTCTGTAGAAGACAAGTATTCCAAGAGGTATTAAGTCTGTATTTGTGTAAGGAAGATCCACTCTTAAAATTTCACTCAGTAAGTATAGGTGTATTTTGAAGTCAAAGTTATGGATGACAGTTGGAATATTATATCCATTAATGTCCACTTTATTTTTGTATATTTTTAATTGCACAGCATTGAAAAGAGTTTGATTCAAAATACAGCCGTTTTTAATAATGTGCTATACAGGCCTGCAAAAGTCTTGGTGCAAAAGAAATAGTAAAAATTATTTGTTTGAAAGTTGTTTCACTAACAATATCTGGCACGTGCTTCCATTTCTAAACTGGAAAGTGTTTAGAGGGAATCAATATATGGATTTCTTATCCAGCATAATTCTTCAAGGTTTTCTGGAAAATATTTTTAAATGAATCTTAAAACACTGTAAGCTACTTAAAGATGTCACAAAGAAAATCTCCGTCATCTGAGGATCCTTCTCTGACAAATATTTATTGAAGTTTGAGAGTTAAATTTATTTTGCTTCGTCTATTGAAACCATATTTGGTGAACTTCATTTTCCGCTATTGTAAGCATAACATCATGAGTCTACATTGCCAACTGGAGTTCTATTATAAAATTGTTTATTGTTTTTTTGTTTTTTGTTTTTTTTAATCAGCAGGCAGATGTGGGGAGAAGGGAAGAGAGATCTTATCTCATTTAAACTCTCTGCAGCAATATCTTACCTTGGGGCAGCCAGTACATTTGTTTATAAGAAATTATTCAGTTCTGTTTTGAAAAATCCTGGTATTGCCAATAACTAATGTTTGTCTCTGTGGTATACAGTGACTGTTCAAACACATTTTACTCTTTCCTGCTTTCACTTTGTGTTATTAGTAAACACCTGAAATTTAGTTCAGCACAGGACATACATCCTGAGGTGATAGACTTACTTGCACAATTTTATTCAGAGTATATTTGGGCTGCTTTAAATATCAAAAACAAAACCTAAATTCCAAGACGTAACTTACTAATCAACAGAACAATTATGAAAAGTTCAAATATAAAACAGTGGATGACATAACCTTTATTTGGAGTAGCACAAAAATTGTGATAGACATTCAAACCAAACATCTATGGAGACCCTAGAATACTCCAAAGAATCCTAGAATTTTCAGGAACATAGTCTGGAAAAGCAAATCACTTTTCTCTAATGGGGGACATAAAGCAGCAATGAAAGATGACAGTCTTAATCATCCCTCTGTATTTTCTCCAAGTTTATATATTTCAAAGTCTTTTTAAATTGGTAGTACTTCAAGAAATCTATTTTTGTTATAACAGGTATACTGTATCTTGAGGAATAGAGGAAGAATTTGATCATGAGTGCAAGGAAAGGGGTAATTTATACCAAATAGAAACCTTTTGAGTGGAATATTCTAAAAGGACTAAATCTTGAGGTTTAAATGTTGTTACAGTTTCTGGGTTTTTGCTGTCTTCTGGAGGAATGGAAATCGAATGAAGAAAATCCTTGGAGTGACTCTGAAAAGGAAAATATGGCTTTAAAAAAATTACAGGATTCTTTTAACTCATGAATTCATGAAAGCAGCACAAGGATTAGCCAGGAGAAACTAAACTAAGTTGAGCTATTTCTAAATTTTAAAATTGTGCTGTAAAAATGGCAAGAAACTTCTTTAAAGTCTATGAAGAAACAAGAAGATTATAAATACTCAGATAGATGACTCTTTCAGTACATTAAGTTGCTCATGTTGACCTAGCAAAAATATTATTTTCATTTTTTAAGTATTTTATATACAAATTAGTTGAATATTAGAAAAATAACATATCAGTTCTATTTAAATAGATTATTTATTTACTATTGCCAGAAACATCTAACATTCATAAGTGTGTTTTGTTTAAGTGAAGCATTTGTATACTGTTTTATTGATAGTGTGACAAAAAAATCCCCTCCAAATACCTGTGATGAGAGCCTGTTGAACTGTAGGTGATTTACTTTTTGGTGATTTCTTAAATAGTGTTACATAACTTTAGTCAACAAATGTAATCATTGAAATGTCCTTTAATTTACTGATGTAGCTGCAAAGTTAATCCCAGAACATAATAAGTGGATTGTTTTAAATAGGAAATTTGCACCTTTCAAAAATGAAACTGATACCTTACTCTTATTGTGCCCAACATATATTTAAGACTATATGCAAGTTAGTTAAAATGTGCGGGAAAAAAATAATTATGCCTTGTTTTCCTAACCAGTGTTTTAATTATGATTTGATTTAAACCAAATCCCCTAGGCTATGTATGCACAGATCAAATCTCCCATCCCCACATACTGCCTCTGCATGACTCTAGGATGCGAGAAGAGAAAATTCATAGTCCATATGTCAGTCAGATGTTAATTTTTGCCCTGGCACCTGGATAGGTTCTCCCACCTGATTAGAGTGCACTCGCAGCTCTGGGCATATGCCCAATAGGTGGAGTATGCTCTCTAGATCAGGAAATATTTTGACTGATTAGTTGGCAGAGGTCATGAGGACAGAGCCCAGTGTCAGGCTCTGAGTTTGCCCAGGCGCATTCAAGGTGACAGTTGGGCTGCTGTGCCTCTCTGGTGGAAATAGCAGGGAGGGAGTATTTGAGTTGACTTTCTGGCTGCAGAAGTTCACAGCCTGGCCTACAGATTTCTGTCAATCCAATTCAAACACTTGTGTAGATTTTACAGTTTCCAGTAGAGACGTTAGAGACTACATTTCTGGCTCTGATTTCACTCTATATTCCTGATCTAACCCAAAAACCCATACCTGTATTCAAGACTAATTAGGTAAGATCCTAATAAGTAAATGAGTTATAGTTGACAAATATTTCTCATCCAAGCAGGGTTTTGGTGTTCAAAAGAGAAAGAGAAAAAAGAAAAGAGAGCTAGCTTGGTTTCTACACTGTGCTTTTCTCTGAAGCCACTGTCTAAAGAAGAAAGTATTAGGGGTTGATCTTCATGTTGGTGACCTAACTTTGCCTTAATTTTTGATGGCAAACAATGTCTATCGTTCACACAACCAGCTTGCAAATGGTTAAAATAAAAAATTAAGGAGGCAGGGCAAGACTGTGTACTGCTATGAGTCAATCTGTCACCCACCACTGCTAGAAAAACAATCCAAAGTACATGCCTTCCTGATAGAATGAAAGCACACTTCGCATACAAAGGACAGCACTTGATTTTTGAGTATGGACAAGAATCCGTATCTGTACAACTGAACTACATGTGACCATTATTAACATCCACATGTGTCCTGAGATCCTTATAGCTTTGATACCTGCATTTATTCAATAAGCATGTGCCAAACATTGTGTTAGAAATATATTGGGAGGGAGGTATGGTGTATGGAGATAAGAAACCAGTTATCCAAATATAGCAAAGGAGGTGAATAAATAAGCAGTGCCATGTGACTGATGTTGTAACTAAAAGAGGGACAGTCCCTTAGATACGGCGAAAGGATGGCACAATCTGCCTGAGGAAGTGAAGGAAAACTTTTAGGGTGTTTAATATTTGACTTTATAAAACAGAGGGGAAGGGAATGAATAGTGATTTTGAAAAGACAATACAAGCACACAGAGGAGCAGGAATAAAATGAAAAATAAAATAGATGTATGAAAGTAGCATGGCTGTTCAGGCAAAGATGAGGAACTGGATCTGGAGTACGTTGAGATGAGATGAAGCATCAAAGATAAAGTGATGCCATTTTGAGAAGGACTTTTAATTGCGAGCCAGTTTACCCAGACTTTATGATTTAGGGCAGCAGTTAGCAAACTGTTCTGCCAAAATACATTATGGATTTCCCACAAATAATAGTGTTTTCTCTAGTTATACAAATTTTTGTCTCTTAAATTTCTTTTTCCTTTTCTGTCTTTTTTTTTTTTTTTTTTGAAAGAAACAAGGTCCCATTCTATCACCCAGGCTGTGATGCAGTAGTGCAGTAATAGCTCACTGCAGCCTCCATCTCCCAGGCTCAAGTGATCCTCGTACCTCAGGCTCCCAAGTAGTTATGCACCACCATGCCTGGCTAATTTTTTAAAACTTTTTGGAGAGATGGGGTCTCACTCTCTTGCCCGGACTGGTCTCTAACTCCTGGCCTCAAGCAATCCTCCTGCCTTGGCCTCCCAAAGTGCTGGGATTACAGATGTGAGCCACCACACCCAGTGGGAAATTTTCTTTTAAACAACAGACATAGTCATTAAGGAGCTATTTCAGATTTTTTTAAGCAAAGTATTAATATGAACAGCTCTGTGTTGTAGAAAAATATAAGTGATTGTGGGTTGGGCACAGTGACTCATGCCTGTAATCCCAGCACTTTGGGAGGCCGAGGTGGGTGGATAACGAGGTCAGGAGATGGAGACCATCCTGGCTAACACAGTGAAACCCTGTCTTTACTAAAAATACAAAAAATTAGCCGGGTGTGGTGGCATGCGCCTGTAATCCCAGCTACTCGGGAGGCTGAGGCAGGAGAATCGCCTGAACCTGGGAGGCGGAGGTCGTGGTGAGCTGAGATCACGCCACTGCACTCCACCCTGGGCAACAGAGCAAGACTGGGTCTCAAAAAATAAAAAAGAAAAAAGAAAAAGAAGTGATTGTGTTGAGAAGAGACTGGTGTGAGGGGATATAATAGGCAAGGAAACAAATTAGGTGGCACTGCAATATTGCAGGCGAGAGGCTAAAAGAGCATCTTCTGAGGCAATGGCGTGAGACCAGAGAAGACAAAATGTATTCAAGATATATTTGCCGTATAGAATAAGTAGAATAAGACCCTGAGTGAGAGAAGAATAAAAAAATAGCAAGTTTACAATTTGGCTGAATGCATAGAACAGACAATTAGAAATGTTCTCGAGACTAAATTCAATGCTCATATACTTAATGAAGAACTTGCATTAAATTTAAAGATTCACCAGGGAAACTAATTTCAGGGGGATATCCTGGTTAAGGGTGGGGGTAGCTCAAAGCAGAAGTCATCTAAACTTTAAAAAAAAAAAAATACACTATAGCTTTCTGTTTGAACTTCTGGGAGGGTTTGTATATACGACCAGAAAGTCCCACATATTATGCTGTTTTGATGAACAAATTGACTTTCTAAACCGTTAATGAATTTGGTCATGCATTCTTAGAAGACGCCTAATCTAACCAGGTTTTGACTTTTTTTTTCCTTCATTAAAGCCATGCCTGCAATAGCTTTGGGTAAGATCCAAGGCATTATTTTCCTAAACTTTGATTAGCAGCTTTTATCTCTGTGAGAAGCTATCGTCTCTGTCATTGCTCTTCCACGCCCCCTGAAAAAGAAACTGTAAGGAACGTAATGAGAGCAGCACTAACTTACACACCAGATTTTATAGGATTTATGAAATGATGAGTTAGCACTTTTTGTACAATTTAACAGAAATCCAGCCTTACTGATTGTAGTGATGCTTCTAAAGGAGACTTGCTATGTAGTTCATCATCACCCATACAATCATTCCACCTCAATAAGCACTTCCAGTCTGTAAGAAGCTCAGGCTCAATTTCAGGCATTTTTGCCCTTCCCTGCTAAGTGTCCCTCCTTCAGATTTATGAAAGAAAACATTTCTTTCTGTGAAAGGTTTTTGTACACCCGCATCTGGAAGTGTTTATTTCAGTGGCGTGTAAGCTATCTGTGGATTTCGTTAGCACCAGACCCCCTTTTGTGTACTTCTGCCTTAAAAATTTTATAAATGATCTTATTGAATTTGTGCCAGTATGCACATGGTTTGGCTGATTGCAGCATATATCCTTTACCTGCCAGTCACCTTTGATTTATGTTCCTTCTGCTAAGCTTTTGCCTTCCAAAAATGGTGCCACTGAACTGTCCTCTAAATCATCTTATTGGTTAAATTACTCCAAGATGAGTTGGTATATTTTTGGTTGCCTACAGTCAGATGAATTTATATTTTTATGCCCTTACCCACTTCTAGTAAAGTCACTTATAAAGGAGGATTGGACAAGGTATATCATCGATCTCTTTATTCCAAATGAATACCATCTGAAACACTGTGCCAAGTCCAGACTAAAGTGATGAAGAAGTGTTCTTTGGCATCTACTTACAAGTCCTTCTTTTGCAAATAAGTCTGTAGCTTGAACTATAAATCTGATGTGGGGACTTTTTAATTCTCAGAAAAGGGGAAATAAAGTCACTGAAACAAAATATGTAAACTTTGTCAGAAAAATAGGGATTTTGTAGGCTTTCCAAAACTTTACTAACTTGTGAGTTTCATGATGTTTCTTGGAGAAAACCAGGTGGCTTAGCAGTTACTTAAAATGTTGGCTATTTGTGGGAGTGGTTTCAAGGGGATTCATATTTCTAAAGAGAGATCTTAGCTAATTCCTAAGACCTTTTGGCAAAATGATGCATCATTTTGAACTAATTTTCTAGAGATACATTGGTCATTTAACTTAATGTCACAGGTTACCAGCTGTATCACTAGATTACCCCCAATGAATTTACTTAGAGTGAATTTGCTAATGAGGAAGCCAATATTGTGCTGATAGAGCATGGCATTACCGATAGAAATTTTAAAGTAGGTTTTAAGTACTCAAATATCTCACTTAAGCCAGCTTTGCAAAGAACTGGTTTTTTTCTATATAATATATGATGATAGAGGAGTATTTTTAAATTTCCATGATTGTACTGGAAATGGTGTGGAAGTATTTAAAATACTTGGATTACACAGCTCTCAGTATCGTAGTTCACAAACTATTGTAAGCAAGGATAGAACTTCTAGGCTGCTTGGCTGTGGTCCCACCTAGCCTGGAGGTATTTATTCTAAAAGACTCATGAGGCTTCATTTATACTCCTGAAAATTTATGTGGTGCTCCCTGTGCTCTACCAAGGTGAAAGCTGTCTCAAGAGTCTGTCAGTCATATTTGCATGTTTAGACAGTCATGGCACTGACATGCTGTTCAGAGACGCAGCATATGTAGGGCTGCTGCTAATAGAAAATCACTACCAGAGATGTAAGCACTGTTTCCATTAATATGTCAGTTTGACTTTTAAAAACATATATGTACACACATGTATGATCTTTTAGATAGAATGTACATATATTGTACGTATATGTGTGTAAACATGTATATGTATGTGTATACAGTCTCAAATACAGTCTCATTTAAAATGATTATCCTAAATGAACCAAAAATTTAATGAACACTATTTTACGTAAATGACCAGTTAACATTCTACTGTCTTTGATGGTTTTTCAAGGGCTTTTGAGTCAGACAACTTGCCTGAGTCAGTTTTGTGATTTGTTAAAATTAGCAATTTTTTTTTTTCTTTTTGAGACAGGGTCTCACTCTGTTACCCAGGCTGGAATGCAGTGGTGCAGCCCTGGCTCACTGCAGCCTCAACCTCCCAGGCTCAAACAATCCTCCCGCCTCAGCCTCCCAAATAGCTGGGACTACAGACGTATACTGTCATGCCCAAGTAGTTTTGTTTGTTTGTTTGTTTGTTTGTTTGTTTTTTGTAGAGACAGGGTCTCACCATGTTACCCACAGCCTTGAACTCCTGAACTCAAGCGATCCAGCTGCCTCAGCCTCCCAAAGTACTGGGAAATTACAGACATGAGCCTCTGTGCCTAGCCCCCAAATTAGCAACTTTTAATAAGTGTCAGTAATAATACTTCAAAGCTTCCAGCACTGTGCTTAACATAGAACATGCTTAAAGAAATGCAGTATTTAAAAATCATTATTATCATATTAGAATTTAAATGTAGATTACAATGCTAGTTTGCCAATAGTACCCTTCAGAGAATCACAAAGGGAAGCCCAGCCTGACATTTGAGTGTGAGACAGAGACCCAGAGCCATAATTGGCTTTCTTTATAGCCTTCAAAAAATTCCCTAATGTTTCTATGTCCATTTTCAGTTAGTAATAATATGTTCTCTTTACCAAAACCTTTCAGAATATCTTGAGATCCACAAATGCTGGACTCCTTTCCTGCCCTGCATGTTTGCCCTTGTGTGGGCAAACAGACCCATTCTGAGTACCATTTTACTTCCCAGTGTCCATGGCATTACTGACCACATATGGGGAATAAGGCTTAGAGGCAGTAAGGGTATGGTAAAAAGATGAGGATCTACAGAAATTGTGGGTTCCAAAAAGTAACTACCAAAATCATTTCCAGGAATGAGAGCTTACTGAAGTTGGAAGCTTTAGATTGAAAGAAAAAAATGAAAGATGCAGTGTATTGTGAATTGGCTTTAATGATAAGTTTCCAGCTTGAGCATCAGGAAAGGATCCTTACCCAGAAATAGTTCCTACTTCTGCTTTTACTGATTCCTAAACTTCTACTAGTGTGGAGTCATTGTCATCTCTTAAAATATGTCTTTGTACACCTGTGAAAATTTAACGTTTCAAACATCTAGATGAGAAAATCTATAATTCAACAAAATTGTTCAGCAATAACACTTTAAGTTGATAATGTTGATGAAAAGAGTCAAACTCTGTAAAATATTTGAAAAGATTTATTCTGAGCCAAATATGAGTAACCACGGCCCATGATGCAGCCCTTGGGAGGTCCTGAGAACATATGTCCAAGGTGGTTGGGGTGCAGCTTGGTTTTTTACATTTTAGGGAGACATGAGACATCAATCAAGTACATTTATTGGTCTGGTCCAGAAAGGCGGGACACCTTGAAGTGGGGAGGGGTCAGGAGCTTCCACGTTATAGGTAGATTTAAAATTTTTCTGATTGGCAATTGGTTGAGTTATTATCAATAGAAATGAATGTCTGAGTTACAATAAGAGGTTGTGGAGACCAAAAATTTTATCATGCAGATGAAGCCTCCAGGTAGCAGACTTCAGAGAGAATAGAGTGTAAATGTTTCTTATCAGACTTAAGGTCTGTGTTGATGTTAATGCTGGAGGGTATAATGTGGCATGTCCAACCCCCACTTCCCATCATGGCATGAACTAGTCTTTCAGGTTAAATTTTAGAATGCACTGGCCAAGGAGAAAGTCCATTCAGATGGTTGGGGGGCCTTAGAACTTTACTTTTGGTTTATGGTAACTAGTATGATCTTTGGTTTATTCTCTTAGTCTATTTCAGCAGAACCGTAAATTATTCAAGACAGATGAGAATGTATACAGTTTCCAGAAATTTCCTAAGAATTTAATTGTGAAATCTTGGTCGCCAGGTTATCTTAGCATCTGATAGTTACATACTTTTCTTCAAACCTAAGTTGAAAGTGTTTCTTTCTCCCCAGTGGAAAGAAAAATGTGTAATGTTATATGAACAAACTCTCTGAGGCCCTTCCAAATTTTGGTAGCAGTATTTCTCATGCATTCAGTTGGGAGAATTTTGCCACTCTCTTTACTTTTATCCCAAGATGGCTTCTTAGCACTCATACTTTCTTTAGAGGTAAGGTAAGGAGAAAGAATTGGATGTTCAGATTTAGATAGATATGTGCCCAGGGAATTCCTGGTGATACAGGGCATGGTAGTAAGAGTCCAGATCTCATCTCTTTCTTACTTCCTTGACTTTGTTTGAACTGTTTTCTCCTTTTGGATCTAGTCCTAAGCTTTGACCCACTTGCTCCAAGATACATCGTATTTCCTGATCTGATCCACACCTGGTGAGGACCTGTATCCTCAGGTAGACCAAAGGACTGCGTCTTAATCATCTTGGGTTCCTCTCTCAGCAAAGGACAATACTTTTGTTTATTTGTAGCTCAACATAAAAGATTGATGAATGGATGGACAAGTGTACAGAACGATGGTCTGAAGAGACAACAGCCACCTGATAGAGTCCAATTTTAATCTCCCTAATCAGTTTTAGGCCCCTCAAACTTAATGTGCCTTATATAAATGTACACTTCATTACCTATGATTAATTTGCATATGGGTAACTGCAGGGCAGCCAAAAGAAATCATAAGATTGTTTGATTATTACTGTCCAGGATTGATCATTGATTCCTCATGAATCCAAGGCAAAATAATGCCCAAGCTACCTCATGAGTAATACCTGTTTTGAAATAATATGTTCAGTGGGTAGTTATGTACTACCCTAACCATACTGGGAAAAGTATGAAGCTGAGCTCCTAGCACCATGCTGGAACTATAATTGGAGCTAATAAATGCCTGTTTAATTGACCTTTGCACTCTGCACCTCATTCAGCACTGAGGAGCAAAGCTCCACATAACCAACAAGAAAGAACTTTGCTGTCAATTTTAAGCCTCTGAGGATTATCTTTTAACTTCACTGATAAAACTCTTTAATCATTTTGCAAAAGTGGCTTTTAGGTGACTAGGTAATATGTATAAAACATTTAATCTTCATGGTTACTTTTATCACAGAAGTCCATTCTGTCTACCTATTTGTTCCTGACAGCAATTTTTTAAAAAAATGTATTCAAAGGAGCAATGCCTAACTATTAGGTTCTGGATAGAATATTATTATAATAGAATATTATTCTTTGTAATGGTACTTGATGAAGGCAGATTTTACTCATGTGACTATTTTATGAGCTATTAAATGGAAAATATTTAATGAGGACTCAAGTTGATAGTTGATAAACATTTGTTATGAAAATCACAAGTTACACATGAAACTATATGATAGGGGTGGCACTGAATCATCACTATCCATTTAGGAAGCTTTTGTCTGAAAAATTTTAGATACCAAAAATAACCACTTGGAAAACAAAATTTGAAGAACCCCAAGTAGCAGAATAATATGGACAGTAAGACGCATCTATTTGTTAGATGAATGTGTGTTCTCATAGACACAACCTAATTTTTCTGATAAAAGTGCTTTTGTTAGTGGGATGCTTTTGTAGAGTTGCAGACACATTTTTATTATACATTTTTATGTGTAGTCATCAATTAAGAAAAGAGTCTAGACGTCTTGTTTTCAAATTTGGAAGTTATGTTCTCTTCTTGGATAACAAATTCACATGCAGCCATGAAATTCATCAGGTTCCCATGCAGACTGTAGTTGTCTACATTCTTAATGAGGAGCCCTTCTCTCATCCTGTTAAGAAATTCCCAACATAAAATATTTTGTGCTATATGGCTAAATAAAAAAGCTAGACAGCTGCAAGTTGAAGATGGGGCTTCACATGTTTCCTGACTGGAGGAGAATTCATCTTTTTTTGTTTTAATTATGCCAAATAAAAGCCAATGATAAACACAGGCATGCTGTGACTCTGCTTTCCTTGGGAAAAAGAGAAGAATTCTCAGCATTGTAGCAAAGAAAAAATAATGCAAAGAAATGTGTCCTAATGTAGACTGTCAACTGGAAGGATGATGATTCTACTCCATTATGCAGATAGAGATGAGCCTTGGGAAGAAAGGGAGAAGAAATCCCCTCTCCCATCTACAATCAGGAAATGCAATTCTCTGAAGCCTCTTTTTCCTGAGGGGTAAGCTTTGGTTTGCCTCTTCTTACTGGCCAGGGAAATCAGTTTTTCTGATGAACAAAGAAGAATGAGAGTCAAGTATTTCACACATTTTCTTGGGAAGAAGGCATTTTCCAATCAATGAATCGACAATAATTTTGAATTCCTAGTGTATTATCAGTGCAATATTAGACACTGGAGAAGAGAGAAGGGGAAGAAACTGAACATCTATGGTGCCTCCTCACCTAGCACAGTAACTGCCACATTCAGAGCCAGTGTTCATTTCCTTCTGTATCAACTATCAACAGCTGAGAACAAAAAGAGACTTTACATTTAATTGTAAGGAGGGCAACAGTAACTCATTCTGTAGATAAGTGTTAAACTTCACATCATTGGTTCTAGGTGCTTTAGGAATCCAGAGGTAAAGGGAACAACAACTGGAATAATCAAGAATCTCTGCCAGTGATTCTTGTGGGGCAGCACTACTGCTCTCAGACCAGGCAGAAGGACTCCTGCCCCAGGTCCCACAGTGTAGAGAGTATCTCCTATCACAAACATTGTTCAGGTTCCACTTCTCCACATCTCTTACAATGTGCCCTGAATAAGAGGCAACTGATGATGAATGGGGATGCAAAACATAGTATATACATACAATGAAATATTATTCAGCCATAAAAAGGAGTGAGGTTCTGATACGTGCTATAACATGGATAAACCTTGAAAATATTATGCTAAGTGAAATAAGCCAGACACAAAAGGACAAATACTGTATGATCCCACTTACTGGAAATATCTAGAATGAGCAAATTCACACAGGCAGAAAGTAGATTAGAAGCTACAGCAGTGGGGGAAGAGGAGGAATTATTGCTTAATGGGCACAGAACTTCTGTTCGGGATGATGAAAAAGTAGATGATGATGCTTGTACAATATTATTAATGTAATTAATGCCACTGACTTGTACACTTAAAAATTGTTAAAATGACAAATTTTGTTATATATATTTTATCACCCCCTGCCTCCAAAGGAAACTGCTGCTGAATTCCATGAAGTTCTGTGGATTGTGCTGCCATGACTTCGTAGACAGACACTGCTTAAGTAAGAGCAAGGGGAAGATTTGAGCTGCAGAGCTTTTATTTAAGAGGGAAAGGAAATTAACTCATCAAAGCCTTTCTCTGGGTATGAATGCAATAGTTTCTGGCATAAGGAAGCATTGTTTCCTAGTGGTGCCAAGCATCAGTTTTCTTGCCTCTCTCCATGTTCTAATTCAAGGTTCCAAATATGCTCACAAATTAACACAGTATCCACAGCAGTTGCAAATGTTAGCTGAAAAACAGTAACAATTCGTATTACCCTTACACTGGTACATATTTAGGCCTAGATGTAAAGTGCATGAACTGTAATAGTCATTCCTTATATTGGCAACTATATGGATAGTAGACATTAGAATTGTGAATACCTTCTTTAAAATAGAAATATTTAATGAGTCCATTAAATTTTCAAAAAATTATAATAAAAATTGCAGCTTTATTTTAAAAATTTAAAATCATCTGAAGGGCAAGACCATCATGATGGTACTAATACAGCTGACAAAAGAAAAGGTATACATGCCAGAATTTTGGCATAAATTCCAGAAGTATTTTTTATGCCGTAAGTAATGCATCGTCTTTTGAATGTATTGCTAGGAGTTGTGTCAATAACAGTGACATTCTTTGGAACAATTTGGAAGATAGTTATGATATTTTCTGAATCTGCCCAAAGGAAAAAACATCCTAATTAAATATATACCAAATTTGACCTTGCAACCACTGTCAAACATGTGGTGGGAATGCTGACTAAAAAATTTAAGTGATTAATTCTAAGACAAAAGAAGATGCACTAAAAGAGAACAACAGAAGATTCTCAAAGCCTTTTTGGAGGAAAATGAAATCAATTTTGAATTGTGCTATCAATAGTTACTTGATATGGATAATAATGTTAGCAAAAGCTTACCAATAGTGTTAGCAATAGCTTTAAAAAAAAACTCATCAAAAACAATTATATCTAAGTTAGACTATTTCATTTATAAAAGAAGCTACTTTTTTTTTTTTTTTTTTTTTTTTTTGAGATGGAGTCTCACTCTGTTGCCCAGGCTGGAGTGCGGTGGCATGATCTCGGCTCATTGCAACCTCTGCCTCCCAGGTTCAAATGGTTCTCCTGCCTAAGCCTCCCGAGTGGCTGGGAGTATAGGCACCTGCCATCATACCTGGCTAATTTTTGTATTTTTTAGTGAAGATGGGGTTTCACCATGTTGGCCAGACTGGTCTTGAACTCCTGACCTCGAGTGATCCACCCTCCTCGGCCTCATAAAGTGCTGGGGTTACAGGCGTGAGCCACCATGCCTGGCCCCCTTTTTTTTTTTTAATTTGAAAGAAAATACATTTTCTAAATCAAAGAGAAATTAGAAAAAGGAAATGAAAATATTTGCCTAATTATGAAGAAGATTCACAATCTTAATTTCTTTAGATAATATTTTCTGGTCATGGTAGATAAAGGCATATTATTCAGAGAAAAGTATTTCAGTGACTGTCTTATCATTTTGGGGTTTATTTTGTTGTTATTTCTGGAAAAGTTACTTAAATCCCATGAAGTAAGTAAGGGGATGTGCATTGTTTGAAAAAGTTTTAATTTTGTCATTTAATTGGAAAATGAGAACAATGGTTATTAATTCTGAAATAAAAATGAAAGGAATATAGTAAACAATTTTCTCCACCAGCAAGATACGCAGTAGAGAAACCTTGGGAGAAGATAAGAGACTGGGAATGAAGGCATGACATGTAAGGATCTGGAGCTAATGGGAAATGTTGGGAAACATGGAAGGTCAGGTTTCAGTGACACCTTGCCAGCCTGAAGGTCCAAGGTGTAGGGGAAAAGAGAGAAGGAGAAGATAGGGGAAGGGAGGTTCTACAGACAGGTAGAGAGTTGAGCATGATTACAGGACTCAGAAGACAGTGGGGAAATAGGCCCAACTGGAGCAAGGGAAGTGGGTTCATGAGCAGAGGGAACTGCAGCCCAGAAATCCCAGTAGCAATTTTCTTCTTCCTCTGAAACACTTTAAGACTTTTGGTATGTATTGTCCAAATACTTTCCAAAAGCGCTATGCTACTTTACCCTCCCACCAGCAATTCGTGAGAGTTCTCATTTCACTGTATTCATGCCAGTATTATTGTGTTTTAAACTTCATTTAAAGTTTGAAAATTTGATAGCCTGCCAACATTTCTAAAATGGTAGCATTCCCTATTTTGAAAATGTTTCCTGAAGACTTGTAATGCCCTCAGCCTTTGGTATAATGGGAAGAGCCCTGGGCCTGAGCTAGGTGTCAGAGCCCTTACCTACAGGCCTTGAGGACAAGTCCATGCGCCTCTCTCCATCTGTAATGTGAGAGTCAAAAAACAGGCCCCTGCATGGTGCCATAGTGGTTGAAAAGGTTAAAGGAGATAATAAAAGTGAACAGTCTTCGTACATAGGAAAATTCTAGATAACTATAAAATTCAAGATAATTGTTATATATTAGTATGCTACATGGTTAAGACTTAATCTGAGCATTTTATAGGATAAGTGTGAGCTTAAAGATGTAGCACTTCTGATCCCAATTTTTAAAAATCAAAATCAGAGGTTGGGGAAAGGACTAAATAGGTGATCCAGAATTTCATATAGAAAATGAAATATATAAGAAGAGCCAGGAAATTTCTTGAAAAGTATAATTAGGGAGGGAGTTATTAATTAACTAGGCCCAATATCAAAACATTACAAAGCTACAGTAATTCAATTTGATGTTAATACATAAATAGATAAATTGAGCAGCCTAGAAAGATCAGAAATACACCCAAATATGGATAGCAAGTTTAGCATATGATATAGAAAAAATTCCCAAAATATGTTAGTAACCACACACACACACACACACACACACACACGCACACACACACACACACCTCTTAGGTATAGAGCAGCAGAAAGATACATAGTGTTATTTATATTAAGGGGGTAATTAAAGATATATTTTTATAGCTATATGTGTATACATATATATGCTAGTATATACATAGAATTATCTGGAAGGACACATGAAAATCATAAAAGTAGTTGTTGCTGAGGAGATAGATGAAAGCTTATTATTTAATATTTCCCTATGCTATAATTTAGAGTTTCTAAACCAATTTTCCACTATTACCTATTTATTAAAATTTTAGAGACAATATTAGCTCAGAGTAAGGCTGAACCAGTGAGTACTTCTATAAACCAAATATTTCAATATTTTTTTTTTAGTTTGTACTCAGATATTTTAGTGGCCTACATGTCTGATATGTCAGGAATTATATATACCTACCTTTCCACAGTTCTTTGCATAGTGCTAGGCACAAAGTTGGCTTGCAGTGAAGACTTTCTGGGGTGTAAAGGTGACTTTCCTTTACACATGGAATGGGTCTAATTTACGAAGCTAGATTGCGTAGTTGGCAGTTCTCTTAAATACTTTCCCCATAGTACCAGTGTGAAATAGCAAATTTTTGGCAGCCAGGCAAGTTCCATGAATTCATGCGTAGTATGTCTTTTCTGTTTAGAATTGAGATTCAG